>NC_000016.10:54562500-54865530 GCF_000001405.40 Homo sapiens
GTTGATCAAATTTTAAATGAATTATAAAAGTTGAAAATTAAATCTGGCTAAATTAGGGGCTTCCCCTGTTATTTTAATGAAGCGGAAGCCACCAGTGGCTTAGATCAGAGCTGTGACGGCCAAACGTCAGCAGCGGACTCCTTCCAGACTCCAACTTGTGCGTCTCTCCACAGCATGAGAGAGCAGATGTCTCAGTTCTTGGTTCTGGCAGTCCAACCTCGAGCCCAAGAAGTTCTAGTAAACCTGACAATGGGTTACTTCTCTGAATGTAATGGGCATAGGTAGTTTTACTTATTTATAGTTAATTCCTTAACATGGGAAAAAAATCCAATATCCACGTTTTACCATACTTTTGTATGGTACTCTGAGGTACTTTTGTATGGTAAAATGACTCCACATACCATCTCTCAGCTTCAACAAGAAAGAATGTTTGTAGAAATTAAAGCAAAGTATTGTTTTTGAGATAGGGTCTCACTCTGTTGCCCAGGCTGGAGTGCAGTGATATGAACTTGGCTCACTGCAACCTCTGCATCCTGGGTTCAAGCAATTCTCCTGACTCAGCCTCCCGAGTAACTGGGACTACAGGCACTCACCACCATGCCAGGCTAATTTTTGTATTTTAGTAGAGACAAGGTTTCACTCACCATGTTAGCCAGACTGGTCTTGAACTCCTGGTCTCAAGTGATCCACTTGCCTCAGCCTCCCAAAGTGCTAGGATTACAGACACGAACCACCACGTCCAGCCTAAAGCAATGTATTCTATACATGATCATCAATGATACCTACTTGCTAGTCTTTCCTTGGTTTTCCCATCCGTGACTTTATTGTTTCAGGGGAAGGCAAACTATGAACAAAGAAATCACTGATTAACTTTGTGTTTCAAATTAGACTCTTTCGAGTGCATAAAGAGACAATGATCAGTTGGGGAAAAGAGAAAACTTTCAAAACTTCCCCTTGTATGTCAAGAGCTAGGTTGAAGGTATGAACATGGAGTTCTAATGCACACAAAGCCTAGAGAAAATGGAGGTCATGATGTCAAAGAGGTTCCCACCTGACAGGAAGCATAAACAGCCCTTCAGTGCTTAGGGTTGACCCAGCACAGTGAGACATCATGTCCAACCTGGAGCACCATGGCCAAGGACATGGTCAAGGTGAAGAGGTCTGCTTGCCCACAGCCGGCACAATGGGGATCCCAAAATTCCCACATGTCCACATAAAGAGATGGAGAAGTCATGGGAAACAGTGAGGCAGGAGTTAAGGTCATGCAACCCCAGAGAGTGGGCTTTATGAAAAGAGGCCATGGCAGAGACCAAGAGCCTTAGCAGTGGACTCAAGCCTGATGTCTCCCAGACCAGAAGGAGTGGTCCACACCACCAGGTGTCAATACCAGATGCACAATCACCACGCACCAGGATGTAGGACCCCTCAGCAAGGTCCCAGAGAATAACCGAAGGGTCATCAGTGTCTTCTCTTGGCTGCCATGAGGCTGTGTAACCTTCCCTTGTACTCAGGCACCATATTGGAAATGACTGGGAAGGAGAGATCACTGGAGAGTGAAGAAACAGCTCTGCAGGAACCTTGAATAGGTTTCATATTTACCCAGAAGAGACTATCTTAAACCAGAAGTCACGGCAATCAATGAGAATAGAAACCCTAGGGAAAGATGAAGTCAGTTATAGAAAATACATCAAGTGACATCTGTTAATACATCTGAGTTCTAGTGTGTACATTTTAATGACGCTGTTTAAGGTCACAGAGGAGCATAAAATACTTGCAGTTTGCTGATCTTAAACAAAGCTCCAGGTGTGTATTTCCTAGTTTCCTGTTGACCTGATGTAATAATAGTGACTTAACAAAGATCTATGGTATTCTGAGCAGAGAAGACTATATGGTTGCTGTTACTACTCTTTGTGCGGGTAGAAACGTCAGATGAGATAAGGTCACTTGTCTTAAAACATCCGAATTAAGGTCCAAAGGGTTTTCTTCCTCTTATGGGAACCCCAGAGTCATGGGGAATGATTATTGGTGGGATTTTCCCAAATGCTTTCTCAAAGGAATCTTTCTTGTGCACTCTCTCCCTCCCAACTGTGCCTTGCATTAGGGATGTCAAAGGGAAGAAAAATCATGTCTGGATGAAAAGCAAGAAAGAAAGATGCTGGGGAAAGAGCTATTTTTAAATGAGCTTACTTTTAATGTAAACACATTTAAATCAGAGACAGGGAGGGCCAAAGAGTGGACCTCAAGCCCAGAAAACCCGATTTCAGAGGAGAAGATATTAAGATTACCAGTTCTCTCTCTCCTTCACATTTCCACCAGCTCATCACCCCTCAGAGGCAAGCCACCAAGCACTCCGGGCCACAAATCAGAAGTGCCACAGAAGACAGACCCCAGGGAATTGTAATGCCACAGCAGGGCTGTGTTGGGGAGCAGCAGCTCTAATTAACCAGAGCTGGCTTGCAAAGGTGCCAGGGCTGACTGGCCACTCAGCCCAAAGAGACAGAGAGTGGCAGGAGGGTTATTTAGAATTGAGCAAAGCCCCCTTCAATCAGGCTTTCAACGTAATTAGGAAGCAGAAGAACAATTCAGCAGTGGCCTAAGTGGATGTAGCACCAGCCTCGCCTGACAGTTTTTGCCTCTACTTTTATTTGCTCTTTCATTTCTGGACAAAGGGATTAAAGTTCTTTTCAAACTTTGTGATCGTGGCTCACAGTAAGAAATGCATTTTACATTGCAGTGTAGCATGCGCGCATACACACACACACACACACACACACACAGAAACAAAAGTTACACATTTGTACTGACCATTCTTTGTGCAATGGACTCTGATACTTTCTTTTCTTTTTAGAGATGGGGTCTCGCTTTGTCACCCGAACTGGAGTACAGTACCACGATTACAGCTCACCACTGCCTGGAATTCCTGGACTCAAGCAGTCCTCCTGCTTTAGCCTCTCAAGTGGTTGGAACTACAGACATGTGCCACGCCCAGCTAATTTTTTTATTTTTATTTTTATTTTTTATTTATTTATTTTTTTTAGAGACAGGGTCTTGCCATTTTGCCCAGGCTGGTCTCGAACTCCTGGGCTCAAGCAATCCTCCCACTTCAGCCTCTCAAAGTGCTGTAATTATCTCAAAGGCACACGAGCCCCTGTGCCCGGCCAATACTTTCTTTTCTATACTATTTTATTCCATATTTTTAAATGCTGGTCATGGTCCACTAAATTGAATTAGCCACCCACTAATGGACTGCAACTGAAAAATAGTGGTCTATAACTCTGTGAGCAGTACCTGCTTGTCTTGATATTTCATTTCTATCCAGAGAGTTTTCAGGTAGGCAATTTGTTTGGGATCTTACACTTTGATTATTTTGAGCCTCCTATATCTAAGATCCAAGACACATAGCTATTTTGTTGGGACTATTGGGATTGAGTTATTGCTATTATTACTAGTAGTAGTGTTTCAGTTATAAATAGGCCCATGAGAGATTTCTGGTTACAAAGTCAATGGGGATACAAAGACAATTTCTTGTCAGCTGAATGGAACTCCTGGAATTTCTAAAAAGAAAGTTCTTTCTCTGGGTTCTTTAGAGAGTTCTGCCTGTCTGGAAATGCAATCGTTACAAAAAGCTTGACATATCTTAGTAAAATTAGATCAGAGCTAGATATCACAACACTTGAGTCGTAGACTGGCTCTGATTAGTTATTTGATCTTGAGCAAGGCCTTTATTCACTGTGATGGGCACTGTTGGTTGCCTAATTCAGTATTAATGCCCACGCTTTCTTCTTTGTCATCTCCCGTGATACAGCTGGAAAGCAGATTACCCGCTCTCCCATCATCCTTTGCAGCCAGTGGTGGCCATGTGGCCCAGCTCTGACCAATGAGGTATCAGCAGAAGTTTGAAAGGAAGAGGGTAGACAGGGAGAGCTTTTGGTTGCCTGATTAAGGTAAGGCTTAGCTGGGGCCGACTCTTCTCTTCATTCTTCCTGCTTCGAGAGGACATGATTCGGGGAGCTGCGGAAACCCTCTTACAAACCATGTGACACACATGGAGATGAAACCAGCCTAGAAGGGATGACACAGAAGAATAATAGGGCCCAGGTTTCTGGTGGCATCACAGAGAACACAAGTATCAGCAACGGCCGGCCCTCGGATTTTTGGTTACTTGAGAAAAAGAAATGTCCGTTTTAGGCATTGTTGGTTGGATTTTCTGTTTCTTGGAGCCAAATGGCTTCCTAGGTGATATACCCTCTCTGGGCAATGTCCAATAAGGACACCATGTCATCAGTCCCCCTACTTTCCCCACAGAAATATTGTGAGGGTCAAAAATAGGGCTTCTCAGATTTGACACTTTTGACATTTGAGGCCATATAATCCTTTGCTGGAGGACCTTTCCTGTGCCCTGTAGGATGCTTAGCAGCTGCCCTGTCCTCTATACACCAGATGCCATGACCAGCCATCCCCAGTTGTGACAACCAAACATGTCTTCAGACATTGCCAAATGTCCTCTGGGGGACAAAATTGTCTCCAGTTGAGACCCACTGGCCTCAAGTAATGATGAATATGACTGCACTTTAACACTTAAGATTTCCAGGAGAAGGGAAAGCATTATTGTCAAGTGTATGGTATTTCCGTTTAGATTTTTTTGGTTGTTAAAACTACACTTAAAAAAATACATTGTATAACTCAGGGCCGGGCGCGGTGGCTCACGCCTGTAATCCCAGCACTTTGGGAGGCCGAGGCGGGCGGATCACGAGGTCAGGAGATCGAGACCATCCCGGCTAAAACGGTGAAACCCCGTCTCTACTAAAAATACAAAAAATTAGCCGGGCGTAGTGGCGGGCGCCTGTAGTCCCAGCTACTTGGGAGGCTGAGGCAGGAGAATGGCGTGAACCCGGGAGGCGGAGCTTGCAGTGAGCCGAGATCCCGCCACTGAACTCCAGCCTGGGCGACAGAGCGAGACTCCGTCTCAAAAAAAAAAAAAAAAAAAAAAATACATTGTATAACTCAGATAAAGGTTTTCTTGCTAAGTAAAGAAAAAGCAACAAAGTCTCCTGAAATCAAAGGAAAAATCCAGCAATATGTTCGACTTGACCCATTTCTCCCAGGAAGAGGAGTTGGTGGCTCTGGTATCTAATAGGGATGTTCTAGACAGACATTTTGGATACTGATTAAAAATGACTGCTGGGTGAGGTGACTCATGCCTGTAATCCCAGCACTTTGGGAGGCCAAGGCGGGTGGATCACCTGAGGTCAAGAGTTCAAGACCAGCCTGGCCAACATGGTGAAACGTGGTCTCTACTAAAAATACAAAATTAGTCCAGTGTGGTGGCACATGCCTATAATCCCAGCTACCTGGGAGACTGAGGCAGGAGGATTGCTTGAACCTGGGAGGTGGAGGTTGCAGTGAGCCAAGATCACGCCACTGCACTCCAGCCTGTGCGACAAAAAAAAAAAAAAAAAAAAAAAAAAAAGACATTGGAGTAAGGCTGTCTTTGCTTGCTCCAGAGTGACTGCAAGAGAAGAGTCTGGAAAACTTTTTCCTTCAGCAATGCTCTATCTCTTCAGTACCAGGAATGTTAAGACCAAGTGCATTATTAGCAAGTTATTGTAAAGGAGTTACCTTACGATGCCGCCAGATGTTTGGGAGGAAGAGGTTATCCTTGGGCAATGATTCTCCTTCTTTTGAACATAAAAATCTGAATGTCTTTTGAGGATCTCCTTAGCCCAAATTCTCCATCCATGTGATTTGGGAGGAACCATCCCCACTCTAGGTGCCAGGTATAAGATGTGACCCGGAGCCAAGACAGTTAGCACATCCCAGCATCTGGCCACAACATTTGGTTCACAGACACGTGACCCAATCTGAGCCACAGACCAGTTCTGACTTTTGGAAGAAGTACAGACGTGGGTGCAGGGCACATAAGCTAGGGTCACTGAAAGCCACTGTACCAATGAGCAGGTGCCCTGCCTGAAGACAGTAACAAAGAGGAAAGAAGAGGAGAGAGACCAGGCCCTGTAAACATCCTTAGATGTTGGTTTCAGCCTGAAGCTGGGGCTACCCAGGACTTCTTACTGAGTGAGCCAATAAATAAATTCTGGGGTTTTTGACTCTCACAAACAAAGCCACGCTTGGTTATTAAAAGACAGAATGGCCTCATTGAAGGTGGTCTGTCTTATAGAGTAGCCCTCCAGACAGGGAGGGAGGTGCTGATGTATTGGGATGATATATTTCACTTTATAATAAGAAACCTAGCAACATACTTAAAATATTGAAGAAAAAGAAGAAGAGGAGGAGGAGAAGAAAAACAGGAGGGGAGGAGGAGAGAGAAAGAAGAAGAAGGAAGAGGAGGTGGAGAAGGGAGAAGGAGAAGGAGGAAAGAAAGAGGGAGGAGGAGAAGGAGGAGGAAAGAAGAATCCAAACAATAAAACAAACGGAAACAAACCTAGGAGTCTGTGTGCCTGTGAATCCCTCCTCTCCCGGCAGAATATATCAGAGAGATGTGGGAAACTTGACTCTAAGAGGCCATACTCTGGAGCCGGACATTAATAAAGATGTCTTTGGGGGACTCAGAAACTCATAAAATAGAGTCTGGCTGAGCCCCGAGGTACGGGGTGGCAGCTTGCCCAGAACACTGTCAGGAGCCACTAAAGCTTCTGAAACTCCAGAAATATGGATTCTCTCTCTCTTTTTTTTCTCCCTCTCTCTCTCTCAGAGGAAAACTTGACCCACATAAATATTGTCTGATGACACGTGTTGAGGTTGCTGGCAGAAGTTCCAGGCACTCCCACCTGCTGTATTTTTGCCACCATGACAAATGAAAAACAACAAGGCCAGGGCTAGGGTGGCACCTGCTTCAGGGCACAGCAGCCTTGCTCCTTCTTGGAAACCCTGAAGGTGTGCGCAGGTCCAGACAATCATAGCTCAGGCCCATTTTCAGACACACTGGTTTCTCCTGGAGTGGACACACACGTGGACACAGCATGATCACATTAGGGTTTACTCTTGGTGTTGTACATTCTATGGGTTTAGACAGATGCAAATCTTCCTGATTCTATGGTTCCTTTGGCTCCTGAGAGGGTTGCATGTCCTCTTAAGTTGACACTGATTTTGTGACTTAGGCCAAAATCATTAAAAATGACATCACACAGACTAAGGGTCATGTGGCTCTCTGGGCAGTGAGGCTGAAAAATGTCCTCTTTGTCCAAAGGAAAATGATTTGGGGGCAAACAAAACAAAACAAAATCATCTCACTCATGACAACTACATGCCAGAACACCTTTCTTTCATATCGACTCAGGCTCAAACATTCACTCTGAGACCCTCAGCAAGTGAACTGGCTTCTTGGCTATCCACTTCTTTATCAGAGAAAAGTGGCTGATAATCTCCCTCATCCCTCATGTATTGTGAGAAATGTGTGCCTGGCATAGAAACATACAATAGTTGCCATCATCATAATCATCACTATTGTCATTGTAGCCACAGAGCAAAGTTCTGGGTTCAGCCGTTTGCCAACCTCACTGCAGAGCAGAGCTCAGAAGACAGCCCAGTGCCTTCTCGTGGTGCCTACTTCCTGAGGGCTGCCAAGCAAAATGAAATTTGGATTGGTGCTAGTTGGAAATATATAAGAGTTTCTTCCAAATAATAACCCCAGGATTATAAGAGATTACTTATTTTTTGGTATCTGTCATCATACTTTTCACACAACAGGGGCTCAACTGAACTTAGCAATCAAAAATTGTTGATTGATTAGAAATTACCTGTGTGAACCACAGAGTCTCCCTTTGCTGGGAGTGGGCAGTGGTGGCATTTGAGTATGTCTCAGAGCCCCCAGGTGTGAAGTGCTCATTCCCTTCTCCAACTAATGTCGGGCCACAGATGCCAAAACAGCCCCATCCAGAGCTCTGCTTCATAAATAATCGGTCAGACACAAATTTGACTTAATCAAGGAAGGCTATATAAAGCAGATTAATGACATTTTGATGAACTTTTCAACTCAATTTGAAAAGCCATGCTACGTTAACCACCATTTCCAATTACCCTCCAGGAAAAATTCTGGAGAAAGTTGAGACCCCTCTAAAGTACAAAATGTACTTGTAGAGAGATGGTGATCTATACCACAGTCATCTTCTAAGATCCCTTCCACATGAATGGTCAAGGAAAAAAACAACAACAACTGAACCAACCAAACAAAATGAGTTCTCTTTCTTCAGGGGAATATTCCAACATTTTCAAACAAAAGATGGAATTTAGCACCATTTGATTTGCATCTAAAAGGTACTTAAATGTGGGCAAATCAGGGCAAAGGCTGAGGCAAAGCCTTCTACTGGACATGCCTCAGTTTCCCCTCTTTAAAGGCACTAGTAGTGGAGTGGTTGCCTTTAAGGTCTCTCTCCTGGTATGGTAACAGGCACTGGGGGAGTGATTGGTTGACCAGCCTCCCCCTACTAAAGCCTAAAGCTCCCTGAGGAGAGGGACTTTTGACTATTTTGTTCACTGCTGTGAAACCATTGAGCAGGGATAGGATTTGACCTGATATATATATATATATATATATATATATATATATACATACACACACACACATATATATAGAGAGAGAGGGTCTAAACTCCAGGCTGGAGTGGCACAATCACTGCTCACTGCAGCCTTGAACTCCCAGGTTCAAGAGATTCTCCCGCTCCAGCCTCTTGTGTAGCTGGGACTTGTGTAGCTGGGACTACAGGCATGTGCCACCTCGCTGGGCTAATTTTTAAACTATTTATAGAGTTTTAAATATAGGGGTTTTAAACTATAGGGGTTTCGCTATGTTGCCTGGGCTGGTCTCAAACTCCTGGCCTCCAGCAATCCTCCCACCTTGACCTCCCAAAGTGCTGGGATTACAGGTGTGAGCCACCACATCCGGCCTAATTTGTATTTTTAAATGGTCTGTTTAAATAGTAAGTAAATTTGCTTTTAACTTCTAGCAAAAACAATGAAGGAATAATCAGGATCTTTTTTTTTTCTTTCTTTCCAATTTTGGCCCCAGGGGAAATGGTTAACAGAGTATTTCACTGTGTTTGTGGGTCCTGGTGACTTGTCTGGTTGAGATAATTCTGGTCACCCTTTGGCATGTCGACCTGTCCCAATTCATGTGGCAGAGCAAAGACGGGACTGGGCTTCAGCCTTTGGATGGTGGTGGTTGCATGGCGCTGCCTCTGTCCTTGTGGTTGCTAAACTCAAGACCCAGTGTATGGGCTGCTGCAGAATCATCTAAAGTTGCCTTCCCCACAACCTGTGGCCCAAAATGAGCTTCAGTAGGTACAGGGAGGACCACAGGAAGAACACATTGCATGTTTTTTATGACTACT
Organism: Homo sapiens; assembly: GCF_000001405.40. Lineage (NCBI taxonomy): Eukaryota > Metazoa > Chordata > Mammalia > Primates > Hominidae > Homo > Homo sapiens. The sequence continues at coordinate 54,571,848 of NC_000016.10, forward strand.
TTTTTTTTTTTTTTTTTTTTTGAGATGGAGTCTCCCTCTGTCGCCTTGGCTGGGGTGCAATGGTGTGATCCTGGTTCACTGCAACCTCCACCTCCCGGGTTCAAGCGATTCTCCTGCCTCAGCCTTCTGAGTAGCTGGGCATACAGGCATGCACCATCATGCCTGGTTAATTTTTTTTTTTAAGTAGAGATGGGATTTCGCATGTTGGTCAGGCTGATCTCGAACTCCTGACCTCAGGTTATCTGCCCACCTCAGCCATCCAAAGTGCTGTAATGTTCAAAGTGCTGGGATTACAGATGTGAGCCACTGTGCCTGGCCCAGATTACTTTTTTAGAGCAGTTTTAGGTTGACAGCAAAACTTAGAGGAAGGTACAGAGATTCTCTATATGTCCTTACCCCCACACGTGTGTAACCTTCCCCATCATCAACATGGTTCACCAGATTGGTACATTTGTTACAATGATGAACCCACGTGGACACAGCATGATCACCCAAAGTCTGTAGTTTATTTATGTGAGGGTTTACTCTTGGTGTTGTACATTCTATGGGTTTGGACAAACGCATAATGACAAGGTTCCACCATTATAGTATCACGCAGAGTGGTTTCACAGCCCTAAAAATCCTCTGTTCCCCACTTATTCATCCCTCTCCTAAGGCCTATCCTTGGAAAGCACTGATCTTTTTACTGTCTCCATAGTTTTGCCTTTTCCAGAATGTCATAGAGTTGGACTGATACCGTATGTAGGCTTTTCAGATTGGCTTCTTTCACTTAGCCGTGTGCATTTCAGGTTTCTCCATGCAACCTTGATAGCTCATTCTTTATTAGTGCACCCTGCATTTTTTTTTACTCTGAAGAATTTTCTGAATTATGTTTCCCTTTCCGCAAAATTTTTTTTAAAGAAAATCTGTTTCTTTAAACTTTTTGCCAGCAAAGGTCACCCTGAAATATATCCAACACACTCCTGAATCTAAACCTTTGTGCCTAGAAATCCTCCCCCTGACTCCTCACACCATCCTCCACACTTGACCTGTTAAAGCAGAAGTTAACAAGTCAAATGTCTGCTGGTGCCGGATCAGAGCACAGTTGAATGAAGCACGCGTATTGTAAGACAGGACCCACTCCTTGCCTGAAGTTCCTCAATCCAAAAGGCTCTGGGCACTGCAGGTTTGCTGAAAATGATTTGTGGCAAAACCTGTTCTGATCTGATCTATTTGGCAGCAAAACCTGCCCAGAACAGATGAGAGTCTATTTAAAGCCTCTATTTATCCCCCTCAATGTGAGTATTTATACATTGTAGTATACAGATATTAGTGTGATTGATTAGGGGGGTACTGCCCTAGACCCACTTGGGGATAGAATATAATAGAATATGTGCACTGTATTACATCTCTAAAATATAAAAAATTGTGAATCTGAAGACATTGAACCCCGGAAGTTTGGATGAGGAATCAGGGACCTGCACAATAGGGAGTGGTGGGGACTGTGGAAAAGTGAATAGAATCCCTACAAAGTGCCAGGCAGCTAGGTGTCGATGCTCAGGAAGGTGGGCCTGGTGTTGCCAGATCTTTTAATGCTTCCCAAAAGACAATAAAAACGCAGATATTGACATGCTGTCTCTTCCTGTTTTAAAAATACTGTGCAGACCACACAAAACCAGCCTGTTCATAGTTTCTTTGTCAGAATAACTCATTCTTGGCCTGAATCAAATGCTACCACTTTCAAAAGTGTTCCCACATTCCCCATTTGCTATGGATTGACTGTGACCCTCCCACCCCAAATATTCATAGGCTTCAGCCCTAACCTCCAATGTGACTATATTTGGAGACAGGATCTTTAAGGAGGTAATTAAGATTAAATGAGATCACAGGGGTCGGGCCGTAATCCAACTGGTGTCTTTTTTTTTTTTTTTTTTTTTGAGACTGAGTCTTGCTCTGTTGCCCAGGCTGGAGTGCGGCGGCGTGATCTCAACTCACTGCAACTGCTGCCTCCCAGGTTCAAGAGATTATCCTGCCTCAGCCTCCCAAGTAGCTGGGATTACAGGCACTCACCACCACACCTGGTTAATTTTTGTATTTTTAGTAGAGACGGGGTTTTGCCATGTTGGCCAGGCTGGTATCAAACTCCTGACTTCAGGTGATCCACCCACCTCGGCTGCCCAAAGTGCTGGGCTTATAGGCATGAGCCACCGTGTCCAGCTGCAACTGGTGTCCTTCTAAGAGGAGACACTGGAGTGCACACTCTTTCTGTGCAAGCACACAGTGAAAAGCCATGTGTGGACACAGCTGAAAGCCAAAAAGAGAGGCCACATCAAAAAACCAACCCCAGTGGTACTTTGATTTTGGGCTACCAGCCTCTAGAACTGTGAGAAAAGAAATCTTTATTGTTTAAGCCACCCAGTCTGTGGTATTTTGTTACGGCAACACAAGTGGGCTAATGTAGCATTCATCATTGATTTTCCCCTACCCCTATCCTAAGCAATAATGGCTTAATTTTATTCCATATTTACAGTATTATTATTCTTTTCTGTTGTTTTATCTATGGTTATTGGGTAATTCACATACAGCCCTTAGCACAATGCCTGGGGCATGGTAAGGCATCTCTAATCAGTACTTATTAATATTCTTACCAGTTTTTAATTTTTATTTCTTTGAGACAGTTCTGTCACCCAGGCTGGAGTGTAGTGGCATGATCACAGCTCATCGCAGCCTTGACCTCCTGGGCTCAAGGGATCCTCCCACCTCAGTCTCCTGAGTAGCTGAGACCACAGGTGCATGCCACCACACTTGGCTAATTTTTATTTTTATTTCTATTTTTATTTTTGTAGAGACAAGGTCTCACTCTGTTGCCCAGGCTGGTCTTGAACTCCTGGCTCAAGCCATTCTCCTGCGTTGGCCTCCCAAAGTGCTGGGATTACAGGCATGAGCCACCGTGTCCAGCCTGTTGTCATTATTATTGTTATAATATTATCATTATATATTCTTCAGAACATAGACATGTCTTACCCATTTGTTATTTGATTATTTTTGGTAACAAACCCTTAGGCTCCAAAGTCACAGAAGGAGAATATCTCTTGTCTGGGGGTGTCTTGGAGGGAGGGGTCCACCCAGATCCAGAACTCTGGGCAAGTTCTTTGTGTCTTGGTTTCTCAGTTTTTCTAAAGGTAAATCATCCTGTTTCTTCTCTACTTCCCCCTACACCATCATCTACACCCATATACACAGACACATAGACACACACACACACACACACACGGAAATGCCAGGTAATAATGTAATTAACCAAAAACACTATTACAGAAAGAGATAAAGAACAGAGATGCAAGAAAAGAAATGGGACTAAAATTGGCTTTTGGTGCAAAGAAGGTCAATTATTGAGGAGGGTGGTGATTTCAGGGCATCTCAAGGGAAAACGCAGCCATCCCAAACCCAGGGTGGCTGGAACATCTGGACTGCATGTAGCCAAGTGGATGAGGGTTGATTCAGAGATCTCGAGTTCAAATCTCAGCATCTTGACCCTGGACCTCTGTGTCCTCAGCTATAAAATGAAAATAATCAGCCTACCTTCTTCACAGCGTAGGCATGAGGAATGAGTGGACACACTCAGTAAATAAATGAGTAAATATGGGTAAATAGAAAATGCTAGCTATTACTGTTAATGATAGCACACAATCTGTCACCTCTCACTAAGTCATGGAACTGATCTTCAATTTATAATGTAATATCTCAGTGTCTTCAACTTAAGGGCGGTCATGAGATTCAGCTCTATATGCAATTATAGTGCTATGTATATAAGAGAACACTGCTATTAAAGTGGTATTCTTGTTTGAAATATTTTTCTAAATACAAATTTATCATATAACTTTGTTGAGGAGGAGAGAAGACTTTATAGGGGCTAATTGGACACATATCCTCAAGCAGGTCAGCCTGCCCAGCTCAAGGGGAAAAAGAAAGGAGGGCAGATTGTTTATTTATTATTTATTTATTAAGAGCAGATTGTTTTGAGAAGTCTTTTCGTGGCCAGGCGCAGTGGTTCATGCTTGTAATCTCAGCACTTTGGGAGGTGCAGGAGGATTGCCTGAGCCCAGGAATTCTAGAAGAGCCTAGGTAACACGGTGAAACCCCATCTCTACAAAAAATACAAAAATTAGCCAGGCGTGGTGGTGCACACCTGTAGTCCCAGCTACTTGGGAGGCTGAGGTGGGAGGATTGCCAGGAGCCTAGGAGGCAGACATTGCAGTGAGCTGAGCTCTCGCCACTGCACTCCAGGCTGGGAGTGGACAAAGGGAGACCTTGTCTCAAAAAAAAAAAAAAAAAGAGAGAAAGAAAACTCTTCTTGGGGTGATTTCCACTTCCCAGTGGTTAGTTAATGTGTCCACAAGCAGATTTTTCCCTGGAGGGCTTAGTAATTTCTTAGTGCCTACACATATTGCTGAATCCCACTCCTCATTTTTCTCATCTGTAGAATCGGGATATGAATAGTAGCTACTTCCTGGGATAGTTGTGAAAATTAAGTGAGCCCATATGTGGAAAAGGCTGAGAAGTGAGCACAAATGCCTGGCTCCTTTTGGCGCCACAGCAATGTTAGCTAGCATTCTGTTATCCTGCCTGGGGCTAGGCAGAGGTTCCAGGAACTTGGCTGTCTTTGGGATCTTCGAAAACTCTGCAGCTGCTATTATGGGGACTCCAAGAGTTGATCCAGACTGATTGGAAATAGTCTTGAGAATTGGTTATTTTCATTTTTTAAAAATTCGCCTTCACTGGCCTTTGCCAGCCTTACCAATACCACTGAAATCTGCCCGGTGATTATCATAGGATAAAAGCTTTTATCATGAAAAGTTTTGTTTGAGAAAGCACGAACTGTGCTTCTCACTGTCGGCTTCCCTGCACGCAGGGATTCTGTCCACACTCCTACAAAGGCTGAGATTATCTCTCTCTGTTAAGGGTTTAAAATCCTACAAGCCAGCCATGCAAGTGACCAGTATCAGATTATGATAACAAGATCATGTTCAGTTATAAAAACAAGTGTCTAAACTTTTCTCATGTCACTTTCTCCCGGGGTCCCTTCTGAGAGGGAAGCTCAGCTCATTTTGAAGGCAGCGCTTTGAACTGAATTCATGGGGTATTTGCATAAGAAGATTTGAGGTTGAAGAATGGCTGCTATTGCATCTGCCCATTAATATGCCTGCTAATTCAGCACATTGTAAGCCTATTGACAGCTCACAAAGGGCTCAAATTCAAGGACAGTTATCCTATGGCCATTGTGAGGGCTTCAATTCAAGGAATATGTTCGCTCGAGGAATACAGTTGTTACAATTAGATATTTTTCATGAAACATTATAAAGAACTAATGACAACTAGAAGCACAATACTGCAACAACCACCAAAAAACATTCAGAACTCCATGAGCTTGACTCTGGTTCTCTCTCTCTCCCTGTCACATAATCTCCCCCACACTTATTTTCCTAGATGCAGTCGGCGGGTGATGGATAGAGATCTCCAAATTCGAAAGCGCATTTATCTTGCTCCCTAAATTTAAATAAAAAGCAAAATGAAATAAACAGATCTCGGCAGAAGGGGAGAAACCCACATCGCCGGCATAAATAGTGGTTAATTTAATCCCGTTTATGAAAAACGTCACACTGTCACCTCCGAGGAATATACAAAGCAATATTCGAGAGCAGAGATGAATTATTTGAGGGGGAGAAAGCTTATCTCTTTTCAGAGGCGGAGAAAAGGTGTTTATGTAGATCTAGGACAATTCAAAAACCAGGCAGAAAACGGTGCTCACGGTGGCCGTGTTCAGGCGGCTGGGGGCATTTTAAGTGAGAAAGTCGCCTCTCTCAGGAGGGAACTTGCAAAGGGCTGGGTCTGGAAGGCGGGCAGTGTAGCTGGGCTAGGGAGGCCGGCAGGAACTTTCTAAGAAACTCGGCTGAAATGCGGTTTCCAGCGGGGTGTTTGTGAGCGGCGTGCCCAGGGACGCCTGGGATTGGGGACATTGTCTCTGCATTGTGCTCAGCTCCCACTTGGCTGGCCATTGTCACAGGGGCCCATCAAGCCCCTGGCCTGAGCACCGGTTGTATTTTTCTCACTCTACATCCCTCAGAAAAGACATCAAAGACCAGAGAGATGTGCTTTTCGCTTTGTTTGGTGTCTGATTCTCAACATGTGGTTTCCCGGGCCAAACTTCGGCACCTTTTAACCTATTCTGTTCAGCTTAGGCCTGAGCTGTATTTGAGCATTAGGGAAACTATAGTAACCGATAATCTGCCTGTTGCTGAAAAGAAACTATGTATCTTGTCACACAAGAGCTGTGGGACGATCATCGTCCTAGACGAGACCCTTTAGGGGCTCCCAGCTTTCTTTCCTGGGGCTCAGCCTGTGCCACTGAAAAGGCGTCAAAACCCTTTGCCTTTCTGGCACTGAAGACCCGTGTTCATGTTCATTTATATTTAACAAATAAGGCATTGTCCTTTGCAACATACCAGCATTTGATTATGTATTACAAATGTTTTCATCAAGTCAGAAATGAGGCCTCTTAACAAAAGGTGGGGGGGAAACTTTGGTGCAGCCCAGGGGTGGAGCAGAGACTGAGATTTTCTTGGTGGGATTTTTGGGTTCTTCGGCAAGTAAGGCTGGACCTATTGTACACAGTACCAACTGAAATTTTTAAGAAGTGCCAGGGGACCCCAATGCCGGATAGTTGAAGATGTGATTTAAAGGACAAATCCAGACTGAGTGGCGTAGTGTGGGGTACCTGTTGAAAGTTCAGGCTCTGGAATCTCACTATGAGGGTGCAAATCCCACCTCTGGCTCTTTCTCGCTGTGCAACCCTGAGCAAGTCTCTTGGGGTCTCTGAACTTCCTGTTTCCTGGTCTTAAAAGAGGGATAATAACGGACCCTACATGGAAGGCCTGTTAGGAGGATTAGCTGAGCTAATCCCTGTGACAGCACAGGGCCTGGCACACAGCAAGAGCTCAACAAGGGCTGACTGCCAGTGTCATTTCATAGAGTACACTAATGAGCACAGGAGCGGGGACAGGCAACACCATGGCCAGGATCCAAATGGGTAAATAATTGCAGTAACAGTTATTATTATCACATTACATCTTTATTGATACTTCACTCTATTAAAGAAATTTGTGTTAATTGTCAAAATAACTAAAATGATGAAGAAATGTAGAGCCTAGTAAACGAAAGTTTATAGGATCTCACCCTTCTGAGCAGGCAGAAAATTGGAGTGGGGCAATTGATGCACACTGGGTGCAAAATTTTAGGAGACGTTGACTCTCAGAGTTGTGCAAGTGAAACTTTTTGCCCTAGGTACCTTGCTTGCCTCAACTAGTCCCGGTTCAGCTTCAGAGATAAGCTCTGGGAGAAGTTTCATTTGTTGGCTTGCAGAGGTTTTACATCCCATATACCAATACTGCATTATTATTGGCAACATGAGCTCACACCATGTGGACTGTTAGAGAGCTCACCCTTTCACTTACCCAACAGATTCTGGGCATCTTTCCCTGCTAAAAGGATATAAGGCCTGCCCCCATCTTTGTGTTGTTTTTCCTTCTTAAAAAAAAAAAAAGAAGAGAAGAAGAGGAAGAAGAAGAAAAAGAAAAAGAGGAGGAGGAGGAGGAGGAAGAGGAAGAGGAAGAAGAAGAAGAAGAGGAGGAGGAGGAAGAAGAAGAAGAGGAGGAGGAGGAAGAGGAAGAAGAAGAAGAGGAGGAGGAGGAAGAGGAAGAGGAAGAAGAAGCAGAAGAAGAAGAAGAAGAAGGAGAAGAAGAAGTCATTCTACCTCTTGTTTCTTTGTTTTGCAATTATGCAATACAGAAATGAGAGGTGACCATGGTTATTATTTGGTCTCTAGGCTGCCTGAACTTTTTTTCTTTTTTTCTTTTTTGAGACAGAGTTTTGCTCTTGTTGCCCAGGCTGGAGTGCAATGGCAGGATCTTGGCTCACTGCAACCTCTGCCTCCCGGGTTCAAGAGATTCTCCTTCCTCAGTTTGCCGAGTAGCTGGGATTACAGGCATGCACCACCATGCCCAGCTAATTTTTGTATTTTTAGTAGAGATGGGGTTTCTCCATGTTGGTCAGGCTAGTCTCGAACTCCCAACCTCAGGTGATCCGCCCGCCTCGGCCTCCCAAAGTGCTGGGATTACAGGCGTGAGCCACCACGCCTGCCTGAACACTTTTTTTTTAATGCTTCTATGGAATGAATAATAGCTTATGTTTTCTTGGATGGCTATTATGAGCTTGTGCTAAGAATCTTACACTGTATTGACTTATTTAATCTTTATAACAATCATATGGGGCTAGTAGGCATCACTTCATCCCCATCTTACAGATAAGGAAACAGAAGTTAAGTAACTAGCCCATATCATTAAGTTATTAAGTGACAGAGTCCAGATGAGAACCCAGCCCACTTCCCAGAGCTCAAACATGAACACATGTGTGTGCGTACATATACACATACATTTTCAAACCAGCATCGTGTTCTGTCCATTGTTTTGGGACATCTTTCAGTTAGTTCAATGTAATATTTCAGCACTATCCTGTTGTCTGGAATGGGGAGTGACAGCAGTTTCATTTTAGTCCCACCCCACCCCACTCTCCCCACCTCAGTCTTTGTCTAAAGGTGGAATCCCACAGTCTCTGAGGCCCCAGGAATCACCCAGTCCAACCCAGTTACAGATGGAGAGGCTGAGGCACAGAGAGGGAGGGCAAGCTGCTTGCCCAAGATCACTGAGCATATTAAGTGGCCGTTCTGGGATAAGAAAAGGCCCAGGGCTCCATCAGAGAAATGCAAATCAAAACCACAATGAGATACCATCTCACACCAGTTAGAATGGCAATCATTAAAAAGTCAGGAAACAACAGGTGCTGGAGAGGATGTGGAGAAATAGGAACACTTTTACACTGTTGGTGGGACTGGAAACTAGTTCAACCATTGTGGAAGTCAGTGTGGCGATTCCTCAGGGATCTAGAACTAGAAATACCATTTGACCCAGCCAACCCATTACTGGGTATATACCCAAAGGACTATAAATCATGCTGCTATAAAGGCACATGCACATGTATGTTTATTGCGGCACTATTCACAATAGCAAAGACTTGGAACCAATCCAAATGTCCAACAATGATAGACTGGATTAAGAAAATGTGGCACATATACACCATGGAATACTATGCAGCCATAAAAAATGATGAGTTCATGTCCTTTGTAGGGAAATGGATGAAGCTGGAAATCATCATTCTCAGCAAACTATCGCAAGGACAAAAAACCACACTCTGCATGTTCTCACTCATAGGTGGGAATTGAACAATGAGAACACATGGACACAGGAAGGGGAACATCAAACTCTGGGGACTGTTGTGGGGTGGGGGGAGGGGGGAGGGATAGCATTAGGAGATATACCTAATGCTAAATGACGAGTCAATGGGTGCAGCACATCAGCATGGCACATGTATACATACGTAACTAACCTGCACACTGTGCACATGTACCCTGAAACTTAAAGTATAATAATAATAAAAAAATAAAATAAATAAGTAAAAGTTATTACAATGGGGGGGGGGAAAAAAAGAAAAGGCCCAGGGCTCTCTTGCCATGTGCAACTGTGTCCACCCATTTGTTTGTTTAACAAGCACTTATTGAGCATCCACTGTATTCCAGGCACTGTGCTAAGCCCTGGTATACAAAGCCAACAAATCATGGGATCTACTCTAAAGAAGTTAGAGTCTCATTGAGGAGGTGGACACATAAATAAACAAGAATAGAGCACTCTGATAGGTTAATGTATTAACCAGTTTGGGCTGCCATAAAAAAATACCGTAGACTGGATACTTAGCAGAAATTTATTTCTCATGGTTCTGGAGACTGGCAAGTCCAAGGTCAAGGTGCCAGCTGATTGGTTTTCTGGTGAGAGCTCTCTTACTGTCTTACAGACTGCTGCCTTCTCACTGTCCTCATGTGGCCTTTTCTCCATGAACATGCATGGAGAGGGAGACTTTTTTCTCTCTCTCTTCCTTTACTTATAAGGCCACAAATTCTATTGAATTAGGACCCCACTTTTATGCCCTCATTTAACTACCTCCTTAGAGGCCGTACCTCCAAATACAATCATATTAGGGGTTAGGGCTTCAACATACATATTTTGCGGAGTATGCAATTCAGTCCACAGCAAAATAAAAATCGTAATAATAATAATAGCTTGCATTTGATAATAACTTCTTATGTGCTAGGCATGAGGCTAAGCACTTTGTATACATGATGTCATTCAACCTGCACAGCAACCAATGAGGTCAGAACTATAGTCATCCCCATTTTACAGAGGAGTTCATTGAGCCCCCATAGAGAGATTAGGTAAATTGCCTAAGGACACATGGAGTAACTCCAGAAACCCCCACTGTTGGCCAGTCCTTGGGTAAGGGTGGAAAAGTTTCAAGAAGGAGGCGATTCCTGAGAGAAATTTTGAAAGACTGGTAGGAACAAGTGTCCTCAAGCTGAGGCCAGCCTGCATTCCTTCCCTTTGGACTGCAACTACAAAGCATGATGTTTATTCCCCCAACCCACCTTTGCCTTTAAAAAGTTCATAACTGCAGCCCCGTTGGGGGAAATGCTGCATTTGCAACAAAGTCCCTAGGCCCCAAACTTAAGTTTGCCTGCATTAAGTGCTTTCCCAGTGGCCCGCCACCCCCTGGCAACTGGCCGCCTTCTGCTTTTGACAGCTTGGCATATTTGGTCATTTACCGGGTGCATGTGAAGATCAAATGGGTTAAGATTCTTCTCTTTAAACAGCAGGGAAAAGAACATCAAAAAGGTGTACATTTCATTTCCCCAGTTTTGATTAAGTCAAGCATGAAATGAAATGTAATACCCTCAAGTGGCCGGGGTTTATACCATTGAAGTCGTTACTTCTGCTTCAGGAGGTCCAATCAGCCCTGGGCAAGGGGAACAAGCTAACAGAGTTTTAGGGTGGCCAGATGGACGGGGTTTACCATGGTTGAAAAGGCAGCTTAGTGCTTGCCTCTTCAAGCCAACTGTGTGAAATCCTGGTGTGGGCCCTTCCCCTCCCGGCTCGCCCTCCCGCAGCCCCCGCCCCCTTGCCTCCCTCTCCGTCCATTCGGGGCCAGCGGCCCAGAGGCTGGAGTGGCCACCTCCTGGATGCCACACCATCCATGGCTGCTCTGCCTGTGATCCTCCTGCTGCAACAGGCCGCAGGGTGCCCCTGGAATGTCTGCTGGGACAGAGTTGGCCCAAGAAGGAATTGGAATTCTAGGCAAGATAAAAAGACTTGATTCTTGGATGACTCTTTCTAGAACTCATGAACAAATTATTATTGCATGGGAGGAGGGATGGGTACCCCTCTGTGCCTGGTCTGGTGCTAGGCCCTAAAAATGTAAACCTAGGCACCTGGCTTTATTTGGGCTAGCAAAATCCTGTGAAGTCAGACTCGAGTGTTAAATAAAGATATAAAGGCTGCCCCCCAGGGCTCACCAACTGACTCAAAGAATCAGAGAAACTCTTTGCAGGTAGAAGCCATTTTATCTATTGGCCCCAGGCCCACTTTTTGATGGCCCATGGAACGATTGTCCATCTGAAAACAAAATTACAGTATTGGGTTAAGAACATAAAAAGAAAAACCACAAGATTAAATTTATGAAATGGTTAATTAAATATCTAAAGAGGTAGGATTGTGTCTGTGTTACAGGAAAGGGGTCCCAATCCAGACCCCAAGAGAGGGTTCTTGGATCTCCGGCAAGAAAGCATACAAGGCGAGTCTGCAGTGCAAAGTAAACGCAAGTTTATTAAGAAAAGAAAGTGGTGGGCTGGGCGCGGTGGCTTATGCCTGTAATCCCAGCACTTTGGGAGGCCGAGGCGGGCGGATCACGAGGTCAGGAGATCGAGACCATCCTGGCTAACACAGTGAAACCTGGTCTCTACTAAAATTCCAAAAATTAGCCTGGCGTGGTGGCGGGCGCCTGTAGTCCCAGCTACTCAGGAGGCTGAGGCAGGAGAATGGAGTGAACCCAGGAGGCGGAGCTTGCAGTGAGCGGAGATTGCGCCACTGCACTCCAGCCTGGGAGACAGGGCGAGACTCTGTCTCCAAAAAAAAAAAGAAGAAAAGAAGTGGTGAAAGAACAGCTACTCCATAGACACAGTGGGATATTCCCTAAAGTAAGAGGAGGAACGCGTCCACCCTTGGTACAATGCTCATATATAAACAGGATAAAAAAGATCACGGGGAGATGTGTTCTGCTACAAGCATTTGTGATAAAGAATTAATTTTCTTAATTACTATATTTTGCAAGAATCAATACTATTATCTTTAAAGCAAAATTAGGAATGCCTTTGTTCTCAAGATATCGAGATATTAGGACATTCCCAAGTCTGGGTCTGTTTAGTAAACATGATCAATTTCTTTTCTTAAGTGTAAACATCTAGAGGCTAGGAATACCTAACTTTCTGGAATGCAGCCCAGCAAGTCCCAGCCTCATTTTCTAACCTTCACCCAAGAAGGAGTCACTCTGGTTCGAATGCCTCTGACATCTGAACCCTAACCCTTGGCTGATGACATCTAAATAATGAAGAATAAACCAGAAGAACAAAATGAATCATTTATTCTCACTAAAGCAGAACTGGAAATGACTGAAATATTCTTAAAATGGCCGGGTGCAGAGGCTCACACCTGTAATCCCAGCACTTTGGGAGGCTGAGGCAGGAGGATCACTTGAGCCCAGAAGTTCAAGACCAGCCTAGGCAACATAGCAAGACCCTATCTCTACAAAAAATAAGAAATTAGCCGGGTGTGGTGACATATGCCTGTGGCGACATATGCTTGTAGTCCCAGCTACTTGGGAGGCTGAGGTGGGAGGATCACTTGAGCACAGGAGGTAGAGGCTGCAGTGAGCCATGATCATGCCACTAGACTCTAACCTGGGCAATAGAATAAGACTGTCTCAAAAAAAAAAAAAAAAAAAAAAAAACCCACACACACACAAACACACATGCACACTCACCTTCTTAAAATGCTTATAGAAAAAATTTTGGAGTAAAGAAGGTTATATTTAATGTGAGATATGGAAGCATTTTATATATTTGATAGACTCTGAGAGGGAGCTCCCAGATTTAAAGTTTGGGGATCTGGTGGGATTTGAACACAACTCCACTAATTATCAGCAGGCCACTTCTGAGCAGGGTGCTGCAGTCCCAGGGCTGAAATAATCAACTAGGGTCTTTCTTAGGCTGGAACAGACCCATTTTCCAGAGGTGCCTTCGGGAGGTTCTACTCCACGCCCAGCTGAAATCTCCAGGCTCTCAACAGCTGGAGGAGAATAGCAGGGCTTTGGGAAGAACTTAATAGAATCCTTAATGCCGCTAACAATCCACTGCTATTGAACTGCATTAAGTAGATATTATGGAAAGACAAAGAGCTAAATAGCTCGACATCACCCTCATTCGGCATGCGGCCCCCGGCCGAGACCATTTTAAGGGCAGTGCCATTGTTGCTGCACTGCCCAGGTTAGCTTTAAATTGCAAATGATACCCTGAAAAGGAAAGAGAAGTGGTTTTCTTTTCTTCTGTCCTCGCTGTCTCCCTCTTTCTCTCTCACTCTGTCCCCACTCTCTCTCTCTCAAAATGGCCCTTGCAGAAAGAAAATCATTTTAGGCCATAAGAAAGTGAAAGGCATTGTTAACATGGCTCGGACCGTGGCAAATGAAATACATCATGAGCTCTGGAGCTGAAAGCTACACTCGAGCTGTTTTATTTTGATGCTTTGGAATGTGGTCCACATGAGAACATAAACAATGCCAAATCTGTATGAATTAATAGGCCGGGCTTGACGTATTTCTCTTTGTTTGAGGCCAAACAGGCGGGAGTTGGGGGTGCGGGAGGAGGAGGAGAAGAAGGGAGAGGAGAATCTTATTTGATTAAAAAAAAATCCAATATTCTAGCTGATAGGAGGAGTGTGTGCGGCAACCCTTCTTAAGACGGGCCTTTCAGAATCAATGGCCAAGCAGCCGGCCACCACTTGAAGTTTCATCGCTAGCTATGATCAAAATGCTTTAAAAAAAAAAAAAGTCTCCATAGAATTGTTTGCAAACTGCAAAGTGCTTCAGCGACTGACATGAAAATGCTGGAAGCTGGAAACCTATTCCCAGGCAGAGGCCTTCTCTGTCACCTTGGTGGGTGAATAATTGTGCCTTTTGCATACGCCTTGTCATCAGCAGCAGGAATGAGGGGGCCCCAAGGACCGCCCTGGCAGCACGGGCGTTGCACCAGCAGAGTAAATTAAAACACGGATTAGAGCAAGTATGATTGGGGATGACAAGCGGGGCGGGTGTAGCCGCGGAATGAGCCGTGTTGCCCATATGGTCCTCGGAAAGCCCACGCAGCGCAGCTCTCTCCCCAGCCTGCTCCAGCTGCCCGTCTGAAGGGGGCACTTAGGAGGCCTCAAGCCATTTTCTGGAACTGGGAAAATTAGTTTCCCTTCTTTACGAGTTCAGAAATACCACCAGCTGCTACCAGGTACTTGGAGATTTCAGTGGATTCAGGCTCTCAGTGGAAGGAAGTGGGGGGTGGTTAGTGGGGTATTCTGATGTGCAGGGCTACCCCTTTGTGGTTACCTTGTTTGAATTCAGAGAAGAAACTTCCTGGGGGCCTCAGGCCACTGAAAGTTGAGTAAAGGTGGCACCCTGGCCAATCTCGCTGCCATGATGATGGGGAAAGAGCCAGGACTGTCTTGGCAACAACCCTTAGTGATACTGGCTAACATTTATTAGGCACAGATCATGTTCCTAAAAATGCTATAGTTGTATTTCCAGGGATCATGTGACGGTTTGAGCAGATAATACCCTGCCAAAGTCACTGGCCCAGGAGGGGCCAAATGGGGCTAAAGTTGAATCCACATTCTGCTCACCAAGCCATTGCTCCTGTGCAGAGTAGTGTCCCCTGGGGAAGTGGTCCCTTTTCTACTTTCCACAAATGCATTATATAGACCAGCAGGGCCCCCATATTTATCACAGCCTTACTACAAAACTATCCTATGGATCTGACGATCAGCATCCCCATTTTACAGATGAGAAAACAGAGGTTCAGAGAAGGTCAACAATTTGCCTGAAGTCACACAGTTAAGAAGTGGGGAGCTAGGATTCCAGAGTCTTCTGAGTCCAGAGCCCACCCCTTTTAACCACTGTGTGGGAAGAAGGAGTGGGTGAGGCTAGGAGAACTGGATAGCTACCCCTTCCCCAGATGCCTTATCAGTACAGGGGCCTAGAAGCACAAAAGGATATGGTGACAGTCCCAGGAATCGTTCTGGGAGTTGAAAATCCCACAAGGAGACAAAGCAAGATGAACTCTCCAAGGGCAACTGATGGAGGGTCAGTTTCAGCAAAACCCAGGCGTTTCTTCTCACCCTCAGTGGTTTTCCCCACAGCCCACAGCAAAGTCCTGCAGTTCCCCAATTGGCCCAAACACACACCAAAACCAGAACACATCTTAAACAAGTACAAGTAAACAGCATGCTAGTCTGCCCCTCCACTGAAAAGAAATTGCTACTCACATTCTCAGTGACAAGGGACGGTCTCAGGGCAGCCTCACCCTCCAATGTCTCCAGCTAAACTTATTGCCTGCAATACATTTTATCCTATGATGTTTCATGTGGACACGACACAACTAGATTTCTTTCTATATGTCAAAAAGCATGAACCTATATGTGAACTGAAGCACCAAAGAGTCTCAAATTATACCTCATGGACTTGATTCCTCCATGATCCAAAACATACAACAGGCCAACAAGAAAATTCCTCATAGGAAATTTGCTTTAAAGAGGACAAGGATGCTAAGGGTGGATAATCGAGTATTTGACTTCAAAATACTCTAATGTCAGAATCTAGGAGGAAGACTCATCTCTCTCACCACTAGGATGTCTGATAAGGGTTTCACAGTGTTCAGAGATTAACTTCTGGTGTTCACTCTCATCTCCTCCTCTCACCAAAACCATCTCTGGCACATTCCCAATCTCTGTAAATGACAAGTTCTTCCTCCCAGTTGCTCAGGACTAAAACTGTAGAGCTATATTTGACTCTTCTCTTTCCCCCACACCACATCTCCAATCCGCCAGCAATTCATGGCAGTTCTCCCTTTGAAACTTAGCCACCCCCACTGCTACTGGTCCAAACCACCATTGTTTCTCACCTGGATTGTTGTAGTATCCTTCTAACTAGCTTCCTGGTTTCTGTCTGCTTCTACATCACATCCTGTAAAAGAATTCACTTCCTGGAGCCCTGCAATAGCCTCGTGTTAACTCAGAGTAAAAGTCAGTGTATTCCCCATGACCTACAATTCCCCATGCACCGTCTGTTCCCTGGCTGCCTCCTTTATTTCCTCTCCCATCCTCTCCCTCTTGGATCACTGTGCTCCACCCATGGTTAACTCCACACAGTGCCTGACACACACCCAGCACGCTCCTGCCATGGGGCCTCCTTTGCACATGCGGATGATACCTCTCCCTGGCTGCTCTTCCCTCGGATATCCACAGGATATCCATCATTTCCCATCTTCAGATCTCTTTTCAAATGGTACCTCATCAGAGAGGTCTTCCCTGACCTCCTAAGGGAAGTAGCCATGCCAACCCCATATTTGTGTCACTTTCTCACCCCTACTGTTTTTTATTTTCTTCCTTAGCATTTATCACCTACACCTTGTCTGTTTCATACGCTCCTGTATCCTAGGACTTAAATCCACACCCATGTTTCAAAAATATACGTGGAAGGAATGAATGTGCAATAACAGCTTGCTCTGGTTATCAGCATGGCTGTGATTCCCTCTCTCTCACTTTCTCCCTCCCTCCCTCCTCCTTTCCCTCTTTCCACAAAGACATCTTGAATGCCTCCTGGGCCTACACACCTGAGGGCCTTCTCTGACCCAATGCTGCCCAGCTTGAAATGGGGCCATTCTTCTGCTCACACAGCAGGCATTCAAGGTGCACATGCTCTTCAAGCCCTTAGCTCTTTCTTTTCTTTATTTCATTCATTCATTCATTCTTTTTTTTTTTTTTTTGAGGCAGGGTCTTACTCTGTTGCCCAGGCTGGAGTGCAATGGTGCAATCATGGCTCACTGCAGTGTCCACCTCCCAGACCCAATCCATCCTCCCACCTCAGCCTCTGGAGTAGCTGGGCCTACAGTTGTGCATCATCATGTCCGCCTATTTCTTTTTTCAAATTTTTTTGTAGAGACAGGAGTCTCACCATGTTGCCCAGGCTGGTCTTGAACTTCTGGGCTCAAGAGATCCTCCTGTCTTAGCCTCTCTCTTCCAACCTACTTCTCCTTTTAGCCCTCTATCATGTTAGCCTTGTGAGTCATCTCTGAATCTGTCTGGATGTTCCCCTTTCTGATGGCCCAGGTATTTTTCTTGTTCTAAAACATACTTCTCTGTCCTTTCCCCAATCCCTCCCCTTCCTGCCCACTCCTTTCTATCTGGTGAACTTCCACTATGCTTAGGCTGATGCTGAATAAATCCCAGTTAGCCAGGGTCTGAATTCCATTCCCACACTGCTCTCTTCCCCCTCCCCCAACCAGCTGCAATTTCCAAAGCCTTTTCCAAAGCACATCATCCCATTGGTGATAGAGAAATGATGATCACCACCTTCCATTGAAGTCAAGGCACTTCATACTTCTACAAGCCTCCCAACCTGTGCAGGGTGCTCACTGCCTCAACCTGGGAATGCACCACAAATTCATGGAGCTGGGAAACGGCTGGTGGACACATGTGCGTGAGCTGTCCTCTGTGCACCCAAAGCGAAAGGTTCATGCGTGCAGCAAGAGGCTGCTGGGGAGGGTGGGGCAGGGCGGGGTGGGGCCATAAGCCCTTCAAATTGGAGATAAAGACCGGGAGTGTGGAGCCTGCTTTATGCCTGGCACACAGCAAGGGATCAATAAAGCTTTATCATTATGGTTGTTGTTATTCTCTGATTCTTGGGTTCCATATACACCAATTACAAACGTTGGCAAAAACGTGAACTGTGGGTGGCTACATTAAGCATGGTATTATTTCAATATAATCATGTGTCTTTTTTTTAACTAAAAACATCCAAATGCTTACAATTCATATATCTTTAAAAACATTGTTCAACTCCTCCCCCGCCAAAAAAGCCATGACCACCAGATGTACATCTGATACTAGACCAGATCTTGTACTGCACGGGGGGAAATTCTATAAAGAACATTATTGGGTCAGTTGACAAAATGGAAACACAAATTATAGATTAGGTGGAATGCATCAAGGTTAATTTTACTAAAGTTGATGACTGTATTATGGCTGTGTAAGAGTATATCTCTGTTATTAGGAAATCCCCATGGAAGTATTCAGGGGTATGTAATTAATTTGACTTATGTAACTTACCACCAAATGGTTTAAGAAGCAAATTTGGGGTGTGTGTGTGTGTGACAGGCACAAATAATAAAGCAAAGCAATGGGATAAAATGTTAACAGTAGATAAATCTAGGTAAAGAGGACAGGGTGATCTTTGTACTATTCTTAACCTTTATAACTTTTCTGTAAATTTGAAGTTATTTCAAAACAGAAAGTGTAAAAAACCAAAATACTGCTTCTTGTTTAGAATTACAATTTTTGTGTTAATTTAAAAAGAGGAGTATAGGGAACTTGATCAAATTTGAAGAAAAAAATAGGAAATACATTTAACAACCTAAAACTAACAGAAATAGAATAATTCTGGCCTGTAACAAGCAAGGGTGTTCTGTTGTTTGTTTGATGGTGGCTTTTGTTTTGTTTTATTTTCGAGTATTTGCACGGCTCTCAAGATTCTTTCTGAAAAGTGAGATTTCATCTTAAAGTATCACAAAAGTTTGGAAGATTATTAAATGCAGCATGCTTGATAACTCTACATGCTTCTGAACAAGGAGGCTTCTTTGAAGTAGTTTAGCATTTCAGAGCATCACATGTTAATTGTATGCAAAGAAATAAAACACTTAAGCAAACTTCAATCTAAGGAGATTTGCATAAAGGATTAAGACTCATTGGCCCTCCAAAATACTCCTCCAACAGAAAATGGGTGCGCTGTGCTCTCAGATCCCCCCAATTTCTTTGTGCTCTCATTGAAGTCCGATTTAATCCTGCTTTCTTCATTCGCACCTTCTCTCTAAACCTCCCAGGCCTGTGCTTTGAGAGCCAGGAATCATTCTCCTCCCAAATTGAAGGGGGTTTTCCTTTCATTAATTTCTCTAAGAAGATTACCCCGTGCTTGTTTGTTGTTGTTGAAGCAACTAATTTCCCTAAAGCTCTTTGTTTTTTCAACTGGTTTACACTTTAATGCCCTTGATTGAATTTCAACAACAAGAGATCAACTTGACCAACAAACTCTCTTTAGGAAGAAAACAAAAAGCGAGAACTTAGTGCAAACTATTTTAACTGCAGGCCTGCTTTAAAAATATATATATTCAGCCATTTAGACAGTTTTCAAAGAGATGAGTCCTAATTAGCATATCATTCAGGCCTTGTTTCATTCCTAAAGTCAAAGTGACCCTCACTGAAACTGAATTCCTCTAATTACTATAGCTGAAGTCACGGGAAAAGTAACACCCCGCAACATTCTGTCAGTATTGCAGATTTTTTAAAAATTTGGCTTATGTTTTCGTTCCCTCTCTCTCTCTCTCATTTTTGTTTTTCCTTCTAATATTTCTTGTCTTAAAAGTCTGAGGATAAAACAGATGGCAGACCTTTCCCTAAGAACTTCACTGTATCTATACATTTTGAACGTTATCAAAAATTTTAGTATGATCTTGTTTGGAAATTCCTTTTTTTACCAGGATAATTGTGTGGAAGTTAAGTGGTAACCTCCTTCATTCGGATTCACGGCCATTTTAAACACTTGCGCCAGTTAATTACCATAATTGGTTTGTTCAATTAGCAGGAGGCGAACTGGCGCTTTCACACAGGGATGCCTCTATTTACTTGGAGATACCGTCACTGTCATGCACCCCAAGGACACTGGCCTGACTTTTGAGGGCTGAGGTTTGGCTTCAAGTCTCTGGGGAGTTTCCCCTGCCTTAAGCACCTTGAAGATTGACCCTTGAACTTTCTAAGCTGAAAATGCTATTGATATTCTGTACTTTGTCAGAAGAAAGGAGGCTGGCAGCAGGGGTGGGGGACAGGCAGAGGGCCTGGCTGTGGTGCCCGGTGGGAGGGTGGAGCTCAGCGTGGCATCTCCTCTCAGATCGGGAGCCTCACCAAACGGAGAGGCAGAGCTCCTCTGGGCCACGTCCAAAAGCAGGATCTGGGAGGCCCCCACGCTGTTCTGTTGAAGGACTGTCAGCCCACATGTGATGATCTTCTTCCACTGGATGGCAAACTAATGGCCAAATAAATCCCAGGAGCAATTACTGAGTGCCTACTATGTGTAGAGTTAATCTACTAAATGGAGCATCCCCACTGGGAGAGGCTGTAAATAAGTGATTCAAATGGTTCAGGCACAAGACCCAGCATCAAACCCCACAATGGGGAAGAATGGCAGAAAACATCACCAGAGAAGCCAGTGAAAAACATGCCATTCTTTCTCCTGTTAACTTTCATTTCATTGCAGGTAAAGACCTGCTAAGATGATTTTAAAATGTTGTGAGCCCTTGTTTCTGGATGGTGATGAATGTTAGACCAGGTTCCTGTTTAAAACGCTAGAAATGAACAGAGCAGTGGATTATTTTAAAGCACCCCAACAAAAGGAATCCCACATTCCAAAGGTGAAATATCACAGATTCCCAATGGATGACGACTGGCTTACCATAAAATACTCCAAGGGGAAAGCAGGAGTGTTCAGAAATCCAAATGGCTGAAATGTAAACTGTGGACAGAGCATCTTCTTAGGTGTCAACAACACAGGGTCTGAAAATACATATATTTTTAAAATGCCTTTAAGATAAAGAGCTTCAAGGACCTTCTAGAATGATCTCAATCTGAAATCTATCTGTAATGATTTGGGTTATTAAACACATTGAGAACCTCCAGTTGAGGTAGCTTTTGTCTCTTTGGGTGGGACCTAAATCACACACTCATTTTTTTTTTTAGTTGTGTTTTAACATTTTATTTGTTGTTATTATTTCTTAAAAGAAATCCACTGTTCTAATTTTGGCTGTAATGTGACTCAGATGAAGGTTCAAGGTGAACAATCACCTACTGTATATAATCATATAATTTAATGAAAGCGAACACACTCAATCTTTTTCAAAATGTGCACTAGTGCCCAGCTATTGATCTTACATTTATCCAGGCATGTCTTCTTGTCCAAGTGTTTTAATAATCTAATTTTAAAATAGGATTCGTCTCTGAGAATATCTGAGTTTGAGCCCCATGCTTCCTGCAACCTATAGTAATGTTGGACTAATAAAATCCAGAGGTAAACTGGCATATGCTTGCTTTAATGAGGAAGTGAGAGAGACTGAGGAATTATTATTTGACAATTATAACTTTAGGAAGAGTCTCTGTGTACTAGAGCTGTAGTAAATAATTAAAAGAAGTGTTGCAGTCCATTTTAATTAGATCTCAGTGCATTTTAAAATATATATGGGGAGGCCTGTGTAAACCAGTGACTGCACTGTGTGTGAGAACCAGAAATGTCTCATTTGGCCAACAGAAGATACTGGTTCTAGGAATCCTACTATTTTTATCATTCAGTGCTGAATTACCAATTTCTAGAAGGGGATGGCCAAGGAAGGCAACATCCATCTTTACTTGTCTTCTCTAAGCCTCATCTCCCTTGTCAGCATCATGGCTGTCAGCTCCTTTCCCCCCTTCTATCTCAGCCAACATCAAAATGCGCCTCTTTCTGGCATCATCATTGTTCTCAATTTGAGCAGACTCCATGTGAAAAGGAACGGCGAATAGGGCAGTGTTCGACATTACATCTTGAACCGGAATAAGCAAATAGGCAAGTTGAATCTTTGGGGTCAAGCTTTAAAGTCATGTTTCTGACCCAAGAAATCATTTTCGGTGACAGTTATGACAAATGCTGAACACAGGCCCTGTATAAATACATCTGTGATTGTTGCAACAAAAATACTTGGGGTTATTGTCTACCCTGGGGCACCCCCACCAAGACACCTACTGCTTGCCAAACACATGTCTCCCTGGAAAAAGATGGTGAAAAGGACAGGCATGTTGAGTTTAAGTTTCTAATATGATGCTTAAGAGCATCAGTGCACCCTGCTTAATAGGGCCGCTAATTAGTTTGTGACACTTTCAGATTGTCCTAATATTGTTATTAGCAAAGGATAGTTGATGGCAAAAGTTCTCACACCCGAGAACACATTGGAATAACCTTTAAAAATAATTCTTTATAAATAAATAATTTTTTAATCTGAAAAATAAAAAATAATTTCCCTGCCCAGCCACATCCATGACCAATTAAATGAGAATTCCTGGGAATAGGACCCAGGCACCGGAGTATTTTTCAAACCCATCCTGAAGCCCCATTGACGTACCAGTGGATTTAGAGACATCTTGGCATAAGATGCTAGCAGAAACACTTTGAGTTTATAACTTCACATTTTGATGGCTACATTATAGTTCTCCAAAACCAAAATCATAATAATCAAAGATGTCAACATTTAATAGCCTGACTACACAAATACTGTTGGTGACCTGACGTATTTGCTCAAGAGCCTCTGGCTTCTCCAACAGAGTGCATCTGTGTTGCTTAGAATGGAAGCCCCTCTCCCCTCCTTCCATCTATTGAATTTGCAGAGAGGGCCGCCCTTTATCTCATATTTAAAACACAAGCAATATCTGAAATTCATTTTCAATTTATTTTCCAATCATATGAAAGGAAGGGGGAGAAAGATGATTCTATCGAATCTTCTCCTGGCTGGTAAAAGGTTGGTAAGGCTGGCTCTGGATGCGTGGCGGAGAGCTCCCGGGATAGTCTACGGGGAGCAGAGTTAATCGAATAAACTAATCTTCGCTGTGGAGATTAACTCTCAGTAGCTGCAGGAAACCGGGCAAGGGAGAATGCAAATAGCAGAGACCTCAAGGTGCTGGAGGAGTTAGGAATCTCCCCTCCCTCACTCTAACGCTGCCGCCGCCGCACCCCGCCACCTCCCCCCCTCCCCACCCCCGCCGCCCACCCGCCCTCAGGTTTTAAATTTGGAAGATATTGTGGAAATGGACAAACTCGCCTTTGCCTGCTGACCAGAGCCCAGCCCCAGGCATGAAACTGAGAAAGTGAGCAGTTGCAAGGACGTGACGCTTTCTTGGGCTTTCCTGAAGGGCCAGGACTGAAGGGAGACGCGATCTTGTCCAGCTGAGGGGAGCTCACAGTGTGTGCGCGATGGAGGGAAATACTCCCTGGAGGTGAAGATGTGGTTCAAAGCTGCACCTGATGTGGCTTTAAGAGCAGTTCCTTTCAAACAGCCTTTGATTCCCTTTTGACAAGGGGGGCAGGCGGTGTTATGGGGGTGCAAGCAATTGTGTCAAAACACAGCTCCAAGAAGAAACATGCTCTCAGCTTTCTCGGTGATTTAGGAGAAAGCCTCAGCCTGGAGGGTGGGAGAGGGTGTCTATGAGGATTGTTTAGGTCTGGAGAGGGATTCCTGCCCCCTGGGAGGGCTGTCTCCCTGTTTGCTCAGTTCTTGGGGAATCAGTCTGAATGCTGGTCCCCTGGGATCTGCTGGCTCCTGCAACCCCCAACTCCAGGAGCAGGGGCTCCAAGCCCCTCACCCTGACAGCAGAGGCAGTGAGAAGTGACAGCAAGGTCCCTGGAGGGGCTGTCTAGGCTCTCTGGTGAGCTGACACCTCCCTCCCCTTAATGCTTAGTCAGTCAGAGCTAATTTTTATATTCTTCAAATAAAATTAAGGTAAGCACAAAGATGAGAACACCTCACATCTCTCAAATTGACCACTTCTCCCTACCTCTCCCAATGCCAGCCCAGCCTTGGCTCCTGATCTCTCATCTGAACACCTTCAAGGGGCTCAGCAGTGGGTGTCACTCTTGATTTCACTCTTGACCTCCTCCATCTATTCTCTACCAGCAGTCAGTGGAATCTTGTCGCAAGATGCAGATGAGGGTGTGTGCTTCTACTTAGCTCCTCTTGCTCTTAAGAGAATGCCTGGGGCCTTTAATAAATGCCTTGTGCTTGGGCAGTAGACAGATGGTTAGAAGGGGCACCTGCGGATGCCAGGCAGCTGGCTTCAAACTCCAGCTTTGCCAATGACTGGCTGTGTGACGTGGGCAGGTCCTAGCAACCCTCTCCTCTGCATCATCTATCAATTGGGAGGAAGATGCTCGAACTGACCATGTGGCTTGTTGAGAGGCCTGGGCGGCCGACCTGAGTGAGTGTGTGAGTGAGCAGCACTCAGCCTATCTTCTCTTGTTATCCTCTGGCGTCTTCTCCTGCTGCCTCCTCTAGCTTCCTGTTTTTCAGCTATGCCAAGTCTCTCTCCGCTCCTCCAGGCTCGCTCCTATGGCAGGGTCTTCGCACCCGCTGTTTCCTCCTCCATGCCTTGCCCCTTCCCCCAGTTACAGAAGGGACCGTGAAGTCCCCTTGGCTTCCCCATCAACAGCCCTGATTGATGCTTAAATAAGAACAGATTCTTCTCTGCCCCCAAATAAAGAGTGACTCTCTCCCTACCCAGAGTCTCTGAACCCACCATCTGTGGACTTGGCTAAACCTGTGCCAAGGATCATGGCAGGCTGACAGCAGGTCGTCTCTGGAGAGGAACCTGGGAAGTATCAACATCTCCAGAGGAGCAGGGCTCTCGGAGGGGGAAAGGGCCTCACGTGGAGGTGGCAGAAACACTTGCGGCCTTAGGATCCAACCCAGGACACCCACCTTTGGCTGTGTGAGTACTAACCTCTGCCCCCGGGGAATGCCTGTGCGTGCTGAGCCTTGGTCTGTGTGCTCCATATGCGGATGACCCTCATTTATACTCAGAAGAACTTTACAAAGAGGTATTATTATCTTTATTTATTTTTTTTTATAGGCAGAGAACGAAAGGACTCAGCGAGTCTAAATGACTTGCCTAAAGTCACACAGCAGAGCTGGGACTTGAACCCAGGTGTTCCTGATGGAGCCCATGATCTCTAACACTGCTCTGTATTCATACTTATGCTAGAAAATGGTCTTGCTACGATGGCCCACCCCTCGTGACTGAACTGGGAGACTCAGAATTAAATGCAACATTTTGTCTTTTAATCACAGAAACTTTCAGTTCTCAGTGTCTCAGGGGAAAAAAAAAAACCCAACGTTGTTTTCAAGTTTTCACTGCAGCTTCTCTTGTAAGTCTTAACTCAGATGATGGTTCTTCTAGAAAATTGTCTTGGGATCCCCCAGGGCAGGGCAAGCCTGTGTCATCCCTGTTTCCAGAGCATTTAAGCTGCCCCTCTTTGACCATGCTTCCCCCATTCCAATCTGGGACATAAACTTCCCACTACCCTGAGCCCCCTGATGGTAGGAACTGCTTTGTTTCAAACTTGTGCCTCCTGGTTCTCCCTCCTCTTATCACTGAAGTGCTGGGTACATGGAAAGTGCTTCATACATGCTTGAGACTCCAAATCAGGTTGTTGGGTAACCTTCTTCACATCTCCATAGCAAGCTCCCAGCTGCCAACCTAGTAAGTATGCCCTTCATAGCCACAAACTCAGATGTATGCAAATAGGCCATTATTCTCTATGTCTCAGCTAAACTTTGCTCTCCAGCACAGATTCTATCCAAGAACAGAAAACTTGATTCAGTAAACAGAGATCACTCTTGTCTTGATTTTTTCCCCTGTAGTCCCTTTTGAGTAAATAATCCAGGCAAATTCAGGGTGTCCCCTTCCTCCTCTTCTCCCCTCCTTGCCAAGGTTGATTTAAGTTCTGGGGGCCAGGGGCAATCACTCAGGCATCCAGAAAAGGCTTCTGGTCCATCCTTATCAGTGGTTGTCCTTGCTTGGTTCTTCCGTTGGCCATGGGTCATTGACAGCCAGGCCTGCTGTCTCCATGGAGATGAGCCTGTCTCACCATGGCCTGCACACGGAGATGTGGCAGCCATTTAAATGGTGCTGGCAATCCTGATCTCTCCAAGAATGTATGCTTGAGAGTGGGTATGAGATAGGAGACAGAAATCTATTTTTTACCTAGTGGTTCTTTTGTTTTTGCATATTTTCAAAAATATGACATGTATTTTTTTATATAGCTTTTCCTGTCAATGCAAAGCAACTGCTTCATCTGATGCTCAACCCAAATGTTCAATGAAGTTTTTAATATTCTTCATGAATTGGAAACTTCTCTAAGCTTCCAGTCTATTATTACCTGCCCCTGCTCAGCTTCTTCGCAATAAGGCTTTAGTCCCACTACTCTCTTGAAGTTTACAATATTGAGTACTTAGAGTGGGTCAGGCCCTGTGTAGGGTACTGAACGTACAATCATTGGATTCTCAACAACCCTATGAAGAAAGTTCAAATCATTATCCCTCTAACTTACAGATGAGAATCACTGAGGGAGGTTACGTATTAGTATCCAAGGCCCACAGTTGGTAAGTGACTTAATAGAGGTTAACTATTACTTCTCAACAGTGAAGAGCATGCTGGCAGCTCAAACACAATGTGTCCAAAGCCTACACCAAAGTTCTCCAGAGCATCTCTTCTGCATAAAACAGTTATTTGAGTGGTGTATTAATCCATTCTCATGCTATTAATAAAGACATACCTGAGACTGGGTAATTTATAAAGGAAGGAGATTTAATGGACTCACAGTTCCACACAGCTAGGGAGCCTACACAATCATGGCAGAAGGTGAAGGAGGAGCAAAGGCACATCTTACATGGTGGCAGGCAAGAGAGAGTGTGCAGGGGATCTGCCCTTTATAAAATCATCAGATCTCTTGAGACTTATTCACTATCACGAGAACAGCACAGGAAAACTTGCCCCCATGATGCAATTACTTCCTACTGGGTCCTCCCACAGTACATGGGGATTATGGGAGCTATAGTTTGAGATGAGATTTGAGTGGGGACACAGCCAAACCATATAAAGTGGCATCATGAACTTCCCACAGACTCAGATAGAAACAATGGCATCCTTTGTGGCTTTACCTGTATTTACTTCGAGTACAAGTCTCCATTCTATTTTCACTTCAACAAACCTGCTAACCAGCCCCCTGCCTGATTCATATTAGATCATCAGGACATAGGAAAGTAGCTGGCACATAGTAGGGGTGCCCTAATTATCTATTGAACAGATGCAGCACCCTGACCTCTCCATTCTATGTGCTGCTGCCTGATTAATTCTCCCAAAGCACAGTTCTGAGTATGACTCCTTTGCTGAAACCCCTTTGGTGGTCTTCATTGTCCCACAGAATGAATCCTTTGCCTTTCCCTCTGGCATTTCTTGAACCTGCAGTCCATCTTGAACCTATCGTTTCAGCCTCCTCACTCACTCTACTGCTGCACAAACCCAGCCTCCACTCATAGCCATTTCTTTAAGAGCCTCCAAACTGCCCCTTCTTGGCCAAGCTACTCCTACCGCCTGGAATTTTTGCCCTGCCTACCCCATTTTCCCTAAGGAAGGGGCCCTAAAATCTTCAAATACTGCCTCCTTGAGTCAGCTTTCCCTGATCTCCCTCTGGAGACCTGTGACATGCTGATGTCCTCTTCTGTGTTTCAGTAGTTAAGGGCTCCAGCACTGGTGTCCAAGAGTCCTGGGTGCAAGTCCTGGGTCTGCCTTCTTGGCTTTATAACTTTAGTCAAGTCATTGAAGATATTTGGGAACAGAAAAATGAAGATAATTCTCATAGAATTACTTGGCAATTTAAGAGAGATAATGCTTTTGAAGGGCTTAGCACTGTGCTGGGTGCCTAATGAATTGCAACTTACTGATTTCTCCTATTACTATTATCATCAGGATATCTTGTCTTCTCTCTCCCATTAGACCAGTGGCTCTCAAATTTGACACCAGAATCCCGAGGGAGCTCTTAAAAATTAGAAGCTCAGGATGTATGCTTGGGGATTCTGATTTAATTGGTCTGGGACATGGCTCCTGCATTAGTATTATTTATTTATTTATTTTATTATGGCAAAATATAATGTTTATCATATTAATCCTTTGTAAGTATAAAATTCAGTGGCATTAAACACACTGTTGTGCAACCATCACCATTATCTATACCCAAGACTTTCTCATCATCCCCAGCAAAAACTCTGTACCCATTAGATAATAACTCTCTCTTCCTTCTCTACCCGCCCCTTGGTAACCTCTATTCTACTTTCTGTCTCTATGAATTTGTCTATTCTAGGCACAGAGTATAAGTGGAATCATACAATATCTGTCCTTCTATTTCTGGTTTATTTCACTAAGCATAATGATTTCAGGGTACAACCATGTTGCAGTATATATAAGAATTTCTTTATTTTTTATGGCTGAATAATATTCCATTGTATGTATATACCACATTTTGTTTATCCATTCATCTGTTGACAGACATTTGGATTGTTTCCCCTTTTGGTTATTGTGAATAATACTGCTATGAACGTTGGTGTATAAATATTTTCTCCAGTTTCTGCTTTCAATTCTTTTGGGTATATACCTAGGAGTAGGACTGCTGGGTTATATGGTAGTTCTGCATTTAACCTTTTGAGAAATGATCAAACTGTTCTCCACAGCAGCAACACCATTTTACATTCTTACTAATAATCCATGAGGGTTCCAATTGTTCCACATCCTCATCAACACTTGTTATATTCTACAGGTCATTTCTTTTAAATTGTAGCCATCCTAGCAGATGTGAAATGGTATTTCATTGTGGTTTTGATTTGCATTTCCCTAATGACTAATGATGTTTATCGATTTTCTGTGTGCTTATTGTCCATTTGTGTATCTTCTTTAAAGAAAAGTGTATTCAAATTCTTCACCCATTTTTAGGTTGTGTTTACAATCTTGTTGAGTTGTAGCAGTTTTTTTTTTTTTTTGTATATTCTGGATATTAATCCCTTATCAGATATATCATTTGCAAATATTTTCTCCCATGCAGTAGGTTATGTTATTGTTTCCTTGATGGAATCCTTCAGTGCATAAAAGTTCTTAATTTTGATGAAGTCCAATTTATCTGGTTTTTATTTATTTTGTTGCCTATGTTTTTGGTGTCATATTCATTAAGTCATCGCCAAATCCACTTCACTTTCTCCAGTGTTTTCCTCTAAAAGTATAGTTTTACCGATTAAGCTGAAGCCTTTGATTGTTTTGAGTTAATTTTTATGCCTTAAGTGGTGTAAGGGTCCAACTTCATTCTTCTGCATGGTGGATATCACTTCCCCAACATCATTTGTTGAAAAGACTATTTTTTTCTCATTAATTGGTCTAGGTACCCTTGTCAAAAATTAATTGACCATATATGTGATGGTTTATTTCTTGGCTATTTATTTTTATTTTTATTTTTTTTTTAGAAACAGGGTTTTGCTCTGTCATCCAGGCTAGAGTACAGCAGTGTGAGCATAGCTCACTGCATCTTCATCCTCCTCCACTCAAGTAATCCTCTTACTTCAGCCTCCTGAGTAGCTAGGACTACAAACATGCACCACCATGACTGGCTAATTTTTTTATTTTTATTTTTGTAGAGAGGAATCTTGCTAGGTTGCCCAGGCTGGTCTCAAACTCCTGGCCTCAAACAATCCTCCTGCCTTGGCCCCCCAAAGTGCTAAAATTACAGGTTTGAGCCACCACACCTGGCTTTGTCTCTCTATTATATTCCACTGGTCTATATGGTTGTCCTTATGTCAGTACCATATTGTTTTTATTATTGTACCTTTGTAATATGTTTCAAAGTTGGATAGTCTGAGACTTCCAACTTTATTCTTTTTCAAGATTAAGTAGTTTGAGACCCCTTGCAGTCTCATATAAATTTAAAGATTGGCTTTTCCATTTCTGCAAAAAAGGTTATTGGAATTTTGATAGGGATTGCACTGAATATACAGATTGCATTACAGCAATGTTACATCTTTCTACCCATGAACAAGGGATATCTTTTCATTTATTTAGATCTCTACCTTATTACAGCAATTTTTGTAGTTTTTGGTGTACAAGTCCTTTATCTTCTTGGTTAGATTTATTTCTAAGTATTTTTTTAGGTGTTAATGGAAATAAAATTGCTTTTCTAATTTTTTAAATTAGTATTTTTTAAAGCTCCCCAAGAGATGCTAATATGTAGTTAAGGTTGAAAACCACTGTCTTAGTCAAAACTTCCTAAGGTAGAGGAAAGCTTATGTCTTTCTAACCTTCCTATTTCCTTCAGTGTCCGGCAAGATCCCTAGCATGGAATCACTGCTTAGTAACTCTTCTGATGTATGTGTGTATAGCTTCCTGCTTACAAAATACATTTTTAAACTTATTTGCTTTCAAATATGCTGCACTTGCATCCTGATACTCCTGGCTTCCCCCCACCCCTACCTGCCTTTTCCACATCTTCCCAATCAATTCCCAGAGAGAGGGCCTGTTTACCATTGACTCCTTTGTGAGAATGGACTTTGTGGTGAACACTGACTACAGGGCATCTCTTACTGGGATGTGATTGGGGACCTCTCACCTCCTGAAGGAAATAACAATACCTGATTTCAACCACATAGCATTGACTGGAAAATGACCTCTAGGTACCAGTAGTGGCAGACAGACCAAAAAGATGTAGCCAGACAGATGGGCAGGTCTGCCAGGGTAGGAGTCTGTTTTTAATTGAGAAGACCAGCACAGACACCTCATGGAGTCCACATAAGCACCCCCTGTCATCACCTGATCATTCCTTCCTTCATATTTATTATACGTGCCCATTAGGACTGGTACCCAAGGGGCTTCCAGCCCCAGACATACACTCAAGGACAAGTAGCTTCCCACTCAGGGTTTCTGGTCAGGAATTCACAACAATGAGGGCTCCAAGTTCACCAGCGTCAGTTGGCAATGCTCTCTGAGAAACTGAACAGATGGGCTCTAATTGCAGACCTGTTGTGGGGACATTGTTAACAAACACACAAGTAGCAGTATACAGAGCTTTTTGGAAACGAATGTGACTTGGCAGCTGGGGATGGCGGTCTAATTACTAACATCTGAGTTTCTTGTTTAATGAAGGGGAATGTGGAAAACGGCCGTGCTTGAAGCAGCTGGGATAGAGAAAGATGCCAAGGCAATGACTGCACAGTGCCTGCACACTCTGTTGGTGGCCAGGTGCCTCCGTATCATCCACAGACCCCTCTTCTTCTCCCTCTGGAATCTAGACATCACTTTTGGGAGAGGGGATGGAATTTTTGGGGTCCTTAGTTATCAATTGTAGACCACAAAAGAACAGCATGATTGGGACACGTTGGTTCATCATATTCATTATTAAGTTCTTCTTCTTAAATAAAGTCAAATTCACACTCCAGAAAAATACCATGTTTAACCTGTGACTCCCTGTATCCCCTTACACAATGCTATTTAACCTTAAAATACACATATCTTGGTTTCACAGTTCATGGATTTCCAATAATGCTTGTTCAGACTTGTGTAGACTTGCTTTGTCCAAGTACTATTTTAAGCACTTTCCCTGACTAGCTCATTTAACTCTTTCCATAACACTAAGAGATGGATATTATTATTATTTCTGGTTTACAGATGAGGAAACTGAGGCATGGAAAGATTAGGTAACCTGTTGGTGAGATGTTGTCCTCAGGTTAGTTTTAGCCTCAGGATGACTTGTCTGATGTTAGTGATAATTGGCACTCAAAAAGGGGCTTCCTAAATTCCAGGCACATTGTTTTACAAACTTGATCTCTCTTATTTAAGCCTCACAGTAACTTTATGAGGTAGATCTTGTAGAAACTAAGGTTTAAAAGAGTAAATAGGGCCAGGCGTGGTGGCTCACGCCTGTAATCCCACCACTTTGGGAGGCTGAGGTGGGCGGATCACCTGAGGTCAGGAGTTCAAGACCAGCCTGGCTAGCATGGTGAAACCCCTTCTCTATTAAAAATACAAAAAATTAGCTGGGTGTGGTGGCAGATGCCTGTAATCCCAGCTACTCAGGAGCCTGATGCGGGAGAATCGCATGAACCTGGGAGGCAGAGGTTGCGGTGAACCGAGATCGTGCGACTGCACTCCAGCCTGGGCAACAAGAGCGAAAATTCGACTGAAAAAAAAAAGAGTAAGTAACTTGACCTGGTCAATTATAAAGCTAGTGATGTGCTGAGCTGAGATTTCAATTCAGGATGCTTGTTCTGAGCTTCAATGGGCTGCCACTCTGTGATAAAAGCTCTGCAGTGGAACATTATAGAAACTGCAAGGATTCTTTTTTTGTTTTTTAGCTCATTGACTATCTGATCACAGAGTCCATTTAGGAGGGTCCATGGAAGAAGCTGCTCTTGAGTTTTAAGTCCAGGGAAAAGCAAATCATCACTGGAGGAATCAAATTGTTTTTACTGTATGGACATTGTAAAATCTGTAAAAACCAACCTCTCTAACCAGGGTGCAGGTTCCCTAAGCGGAAATGCAGGTATGTGTGGAGATTCTAAGTTTTTACCTTTTAGAGTTGTTGCAAAACCACCAGGTAAGCAGTATCTTCACATCCTCCCAGTGTCACTAGTCCTTTAAAAAAGCCATTCAGGCTCTGTTTGTAGGCTCCCCAGGAGTGTGCACATACATTTGAGAAGCACATTTGTAAAGAATCATGCTTCTCACCTTCCCACCTTACCTCAGTTACTAGGCTGCTCTGGAAGCATGGGGAGCAGGCATTTAGGACCTTGTGGCACACATTTTGTGTACAACAGCCTTACACCAAGTTTCTCCTTATTTCCCATTTGATCTAGTTTCTGTCTTCCTTACTAATATTTGTGGCAAATTATATTTTCTAAAATTGACAACAACATTTCTGGTCCCACAGGCACCTTCAAAACCTTGCTACTCTCTTCCCCTTGAACTAAGGTGGGTGTTTGTAGCTACCTTGACAAGTACAGTATGGTGGAAGTGATGCCATGTTACTAGCAAGGCTAGGTTATAAGACATGATACAGATTGGTTCCAGTTCCAGATAAGATGGAGTAAGCACACTTTTCCTTATGTCTCCCACTAAATGTAGCTATCAAACTTGGACACAATACAGGGGGCAGCTATTTGAGGACTCTGAGAAGTAAGAGTAGCAGGCAGATTCAAGAAGAGCAAAATGTAAAATATCACTGAACTGAGGGTGAGTTTATTTTTTCCCCTGGTTCTTCCACCACTTTGCCCTGGATACTGTTATGGAAGTATATGGCAGATTAGGGTAACTGGAGTCCCAGCTTCTTGGATAGAGAACTGAAAAGGGACTCCACAGTGTACTGGAAAATACTAGGGAGATAGAGAAGAGAGACGAGTTCCAGAAAGCAACTCCATATAGTTGTTTGTGAATTCCTGGACTCACCTCCAAGCTGAATATGTGAGGATCTGATCCAAATTAATATACCAAAGATGTTGAGAGTTGTACTGACTTACAAACCACTGCCCAAGTGGCAGACTGGCCACTGGGTAATGTACATGAAGACCAGATTCAATATTATTGTGAAGTCTTTAAAAACTGAACTGGAATTAAAACCCTAGTTCACAAAAGACATGTTGGAACTTACAGCCTGAACAGAGACAGATCAATTGCCTGCTAAAACGAAAATGTCAACCTTCTCCACAGGACTTACATAAAACCTAGTGTTTCATAATGTAATATTCAAACCTGTCCATGATAGTATCCAAAATTACTTGGCATATAAAGGGCCAGGAAAATCTCAACTTGCATGAGAACAGACAATCAACAAATGCAAACACTGAAATAACAAAGATGTTGAAACGATCTGACAAAGTAGCAATAATACAAATGCTCCAATAAGTAATCATGAATGTTCTTGAAATAAATGAAAATATAACAAAGCTCAGCAAAAAAAAAATAAAATAAAAAGTCAAATAGAAATTTTAGAATTAAGAAATGTAATAACTGAAATAAAAAGCTCACTAGATGGGCTCAAAAGTTTAATGAGATTACCTGGGAAAGAGTCAGTGAGGATGAAAGACATGAACCTACAAATTCAAGATGCTCTCAATCTCTAACAGGTAAACCCCCCAAAATCATAATTAAACTGATGAAAACTAGATCAAAGAAAAAATCTTTAAATGAGACAGATTAAAATGATACATTACCTAGAGGGAACAAACAATTTGAATGGTTGCAAATTTCTTATCAGAAACCATGGAGGCCAGGGAAGAAATGAGGTGGCATTTTTAAAGTGCTAAAAGAAAAGAAATACCAACCCAGAATTCTATAATGAGTAAATATATTCTTCACAAATAAGGAGGACATAAATAGATTTTTAGATGAAGGAAAAGTAGAAGAATTTATTGCCAGCAGTCCTGCTCTAAAATAATTATTAAAGAAAATGATAGCAGAAGGAAATCTGGAACATGAAAAATGAAGAACAACATAAATGGTAAATATCTGGGCTAACATAATAGACTACTATTCTCCTCTTAAGTTCTTTAAAATATGTTTAATGATTGAAAGCAAAAATCATAACATTGTCTGGTGGAGTTTTCAATGCATATAGATATGTCATATAAAACAATGATAACATAAAGGAAGGTAGGTAAAAGGACCTATAAAGTGATAAGGTTTCTTGCTACTTTCCACCTGAAGTGCCAAACTATAGATTCTATGTAGACTGTAAAAG
Organism: Homo sapiens; assembly: GCF_000001405.40. NCBI lineage: Eukaryota > Metazoa > Chordata > Mammalia > Primates > Hominidae > Homo > Homo sapiens. The sequence continues at coordinate 54,606,525 of NC_000016.10, forward strand.
TTAAGTATGAATATTATAATCTCTGTAGCAACAAATAAAGAGATACAGCAAAAAAAAAAAATAGAAAAAATGAGATACTAAATATACTTAAACAATGCAAAAGAGGGCAGAAAAAGTGAAAACAAAAGGGAAAAAATCCCAAATAGCAAACACAAAAAACAAATAATAAAATGTTACACCTAAATTCAAACATCAATAATTACATTAAGTGCACATGGTCTAAAGTCAACAATTACCCATTTATGTCTAGTGTTCCATTATTGGAACCATAAGCATGTGGGAGTTATTTATATCCTACTGCTCAAGGCCATCATGAAGGTCGGATTTTTCAAATTCAAAAAATTACAACCTCATGCATAAATGGGTTAAAAAAGAGAATGTCGGAATGGATAAAAAGGTATGACCCAAGTACATGCTGTCTACAAGAAACTCACTTCAAAGATAATCATATAGGAAAGTTAAAAGTAAAAAGGTAGAACAGAATCTGTCATGCAAACATGAATGAAAAGAAAGCTGAAATGGCTATATTAATATCAGCAAAGTATACTCCAGAGATATAAAAATTACTAGAAATAAAGAGAGATATTAGGTAATGATCAAAGGATCCATCACTAAGTAGATATAATGATCCTAAGTGTATATGTATGAGACAACACAGCTTCAGAATACATGAAACAAAAACTATTAGAACTGAAAGAAGAAAAAGACAAATCCACAATTACAGTTGAAATTTTAACACTAATCTCTCGGGAATATCTCGGGAATATACAGTAGACAGCAAAACATAAAGGATATAGGTGAACTAAAGAACATCATCAATCACCTGGATCTAAATTTATAGATTATTCTACCCACCAATAACAGAATGTATATTGTTACAAGTTCACATGAAACATTTATCAAGATAAACTGTATTTTTGCTCATAAAACAAGTCTTACCAAATACAAAATAAATTAAAATATAAAATATGTTCTCAGACCGTAGTAAAATTAAACTAGAAATTAGTAATAGAAAGACAATAGGAAAATACCTAAACAATCTGTAATTAAACAATAAAGTCCTAAGTAATCCATGAGTCAAAAAAAAGTCTCAAGGGAAATTAGAAAATATTTTAAACTGAGCAGAAGTGAAAAGACATTAATCAAAATTTGTAGGATGCAGAAAAAGCTGTGTTTAGGGATAAATTTATTTCATTAAATGATTATATTAGAAAAGAAGAAAGATCTTAAATCAAGAATCTAAGATTGTATTTTAAGAAACTAGAAAAAAAGAACAAAACAAAAACAAGCAGAAAAAGAAAATAATAAAGAACAGGAATCAATGAAACAGAAAACAGAAAAATGATAGAGAAAATCAATGAAACCAAAAGCTGATCCTTTGGAAATATCAAAAATTGTTAAACTAGGCTAGGCAGAGTGGCTTACCCCTGTAATCCCAATACTTTGGAAGGTCAAGGGAGGAGTATCACTTAAGCCTAGAAGTTTGTGACCAGCCTGGGCAACATAGCGAGATTTTGGATTCTGTCTGTATAAAAAATAAAAATAAAAAAACCATCCTGGTGTTGTGGTGTGCACCTGTAGACCTAGCTACTCAAGAGGCTGAGGCTGGAGGATTGCTTGAGTCCAAGAGTTCAAGGTTACAGTGAGCACTTTAGCCTGGGCCTAAGATCTTGTCTTTAAAATAAAAAAAAATTGTTAAATCAAGACCGACAAAAATAGAGTACACAAGTTATCACTATAAGAAATGAAAAAGAAGATACCACTGAAGCTCCCATAGATATTAAATTAATATATGAAATACTATAAATAAATCTATACACATAAATTAAGCAACTTAAGTAAATATGGACTAATTCCTTGTAAACCACAAACTACCAAAAATCACACAAAATAGTACTATATAACTGAGTAGGTATATAACCTTGAAAGAAATAAAATTCATAGCTAAAAACTTTTCGGGAAAAAAATCTCCAGACCCAGAGAGTTTCACTGATAATTTTTACAAAATATTTAAAGAAGGTGTAACACTAATTATTCACAATTTCTTTCAAAATATAAAAGAACATTTCTTAACTAAATGTGGAAACCAGCATCACCTTGAATTACCCTGATAGAAAAAGCAGATGGATTACAAGAAAACTATGGACCAGTATCCCTCATGAACAAAAACAAAGATTCTTAACTCATCAGTATGTATATGTTAAAAGAATAGTATGCCATAACTAAGTGGGTTTTATTCAATGTATTTCACCATATTAACAGGCTAAAGAAGAAAAACCACATTATATCAATTGAAGTAGAAAAATCATTTGACAAAATTTAACATATATTTATGATGAAAGCTTTTGACAAACTAGGAAGAGAAAGACACTTTCTTAATCAGATAAAGGGCTTCTATAGAAAACCTACATCTAGCATAATATTTAATGGAGAAAAACTAAATGTCCCCTACCCCAAGATGGGGAACAAAGCAAGATGTCCACTCTAACTATTCCTATTCAACATCATACTGAAAGTCTTAGCTGATGGAATAAGGCAAGAAAAAGAAATGAAAATCATAGACAGGGAATACAGACATAAAGCAATCTCTGTTTTCAAGCTATATAATTTTCTGCATAGAAAGCACCCCCACACCCACAAAATCTACAAAATCTCCTAGAACTAATGTAAATTTAGCAAGGTTATAGGATATGAGGTCAACACAAAAATAATTGTATTTTGATATTCAATTATCAGACCTAACAACAGACAATTGCAAACTCAATTTTTTAAAAAATGTATAATATACTTTCTCTCTTCCACTCACAGATGCAATACTTAAGTATAAACCCCACAAATCATGTATAGGTTCCATATGCTGAAACCTACAAAATGCTGCTGAAGTAAATAAAAAAGAATTGTAAGAATTAGAAGATTCCACATGGGAAAGATGCCATTTCTTCCTAAACTTATCTTTAGAGATAAAATGATTCCAACCAAAATCCTATCAAAATTTTTATTAATATAGACAAGCTGATTCTAAAATGTATACAGAAAGCAAAAAAGAAAAACCCCTAGAATAGCTAAAACACTTTTCAAATAAAAAAATGGTATTCAAGCAATCAGGCTACTTGATTTTAAGTCTTGCTATAAACTTTCTATAGTCAAGACAGTCTGATATAGGCAATAGGATAAACACACAGATTAACAGAACACAACAGAAAGTTCAGAAATACACTCACACAAATATGGGTCTGTTAATTTTTTTTATACATGTGAAAAAGTATTTTAATGGAAAAAGAACAGTTTTTCAACAATGGTGTTAGTACAATTGAACATCCATATGTGCAAAATGAACTTTTACCTAATCCTCACACCTTATTAAAAAAATTAACTCAAAATGGATCATAGACCTAAAACGTAAAGCATAAAACCACAAAACTTTTAAGAGGAAATTTTTGTAATGTGCAACAAGGCAAAGAATTTTTAGACAGGACACCAAAAACATAATTCATAAAAGAAAAAAATTGATAAATGGAACTTCAAAATTAAAAACTTTCGATTTGCAAAAAGCACTGCCAAGAGAATAAAAAGACAACCTACAGACTGGGAGAAAATACCCACAAGTCATATACCTAACAAAGGACTTGTAGTCAGAATATACAGACAACTCTTAAAACTCCGCAGTAAGAAAACATGTAATGCAATTAGTAAATGCGTAAAAGACGTGAACACACATTTCACCAAAGAGATATACAGATGGCAAATAAGAACATAAAAAGATGCTCATTACTAGCTACTAGGGGAATGCAAATTAAAATCATGATGAAATACTCCTATGTTACTATTAAGTGGTTAAAATAAAAAATATTGACAAAACCAAGTGCTGACAAGGATGTGGGGTAACTGAATCACTGATCCATTGCTAGTGAAAATGCAAAATGTTCCAGACACTCTGTAAAACATATTGGCAGATTCTTCTAAAGTTAAACATACACGTTTTCTATTTTTGTATATTTACCACAGGGAAATTAAAACTTACCTTCGCATTAAAACCTGTACACAAATGTTGAAAGCACTTCTACGCATAATTGCCAAAAGCTGAAAACAATGCAAATTTCCTTCAGTGGGTAAATGCATAAACCAACTGTGGTTTAGCCATACAATGGAATAGTACTCAACAAAATCAAGGGATGGACTATTGACACACACAGCAACTTGGATGAACTTCAAAGGCATCATGCTGAGTGAAAGAAGCCAGCCTTGTAAGTTCACATGGTGTGTGATTTATTAATATAACATTCTCAAGGGGACAAAGCTGTGGTGATAGAAAACAAACCAGCGGACACTGGGGGTTATGAGTGGAGGAGGGTGTGACTATCAGGAGGTAGCAGGAGGAAGTTTTTGGGGTGAGGAAACTGTTCTGTGTCCTGATTGTGGTGATGCTTACATGAATCTATACCTGTGTTAAATTTCATAAAATGTACACTAAAAAGATCAGTTTTACTGTATGATTTTTTTTTAAAAAAAGAATATTCTGATTTTTTTTCTGCTGCAGCTTCTAACTGTCCATCTTTCTTTGGATGTGCCCCTTTGGTGCCATGAACTCCCAGATGAGAACCTCCTAGTCTTAAGCCACCTTGCTGGAGAGACTACCTGTAGAGGCTACTTACAGAGAGATACCGACTTAGAGAGGCCACTTAGAGAGAGGCTTCCCAGCTGTTCCAGTTCCCATGTGGTCCAGGGTTCCCAGCTCAAGGCTGGCCACGGGAGTGAGCCAGCCTTCAGATGATTCCAGCCTCCAATGTCTCTCTGCAACTGCATGAGATACCCTGCGTGAGGACCACCTGGCGGAGTCTCATCAACCCTTGGTACTGATAATAAAATGATCACTGACGTTTTAAGGCCTAGGGTGGTGTGTTATACATCATAGATAACTAGAAAATTACTATTATTTTTAAAATTATTGTAAGAGAGATGGGTGCTAAGCAGCCACAAATTAATTTGAACTAGTGTATCAGTTATTTACTACAATATGTCACATAACAAACACACACAAAACCCAGTGGGTTAAACTTGAAAACGTTTATTTAGCTTGTGGGTCTGCTGTTTGGATGGGTGGTTCTTCTGGGTTGGGCTGGGCTGGACTCACTCAGGTGTCTGTGGTCAGCATTCAAGTCACGTGAGCGTCCGTTTCATGGATCTTGGCTGTGTTCCTCACCTTTTGGAGGTTGGCTGGCTATTGGCCCACTTAGGACGACTTCTCCTCTGCTTCTTGGGGGCAGTGGGCTAGCCTAGGCTGGTTCACTGCTGGTGGCATTGGCAGGGTCTGAGAACAGATGCATGTCAAGCTTTGTGAGGCCTAGGCTGGGAGTTGGCACCCTCATTTCTGCCGCAGTCTATTGGCCAAAGCCAGTTACAAATTTAGCCCAGGTTTACAGCGTTGAAGTCCTAACCCCCTAGTACCTCAGAATGTGACTGTCTTTGGGGAAAGTCTCTTTAAAGAGGTGATTAATGTAAAATGAGGTCATTAGGGTGGACCCTAATCCAATCCGACTGGTGTCCTTAGAAGAAGAGGAAATTAGGACACAGACTGGTACAGAAGGAAGAACACGTGAAGACACAGGGAAAAGACAGCCATCTACGATCCAAAGACAGAGGCCTCAGAAAAAAACTCATCCCACCAACGCCTTGATCTTCCGGCCTCCAAGAACTGCTAGACTCCAGGACTTCCAGCCTCCAGAACTGCAAGAAAAGAACTCAGCCTGTGGAACTTTGTTATGGCAGCCTGAGAAAATTAACACCCATTCGGATGAGGGAACAGACTCTACCTCTTTATGTAAAAAAACTGCAGTCCCATTGTGAACCATATGTGTTCAAGGAGGTGTAAAACATTGGGGCGATTTTTTTTTGCCATCAATTTGCCCTGCCTATAGAGGCTGGTGTGGGGAGGAGCTAACTCATGGGGCAGGGATAGGAATGGGTTGGAAATCAAGAAGCTTGGCTGGACTCCTAACTCTGCCTTCTCTGGGCCTCAGTTTCCTCATCTGTGCCATAAGAGTTCTCGACCAGGTCTTGCTGTGTTTCCTCCCAGCTCTGAGAGCCTAGGATCAAACCCCAAGCCAAGCTCTTCCCCACCTCTCCGACAACGTCTAATTCCAGAGTGAGTCAGGAGAAGCGCTTCCCTGCTTGGCCCTGGACACATCCTAGGACTTCAGCCCGCAGCCTCACCAATAACTGCTACCCATTTGAGGACAGAGGCCCCCTGCTAGGTCAGGTTTATCTAACAGTGCCTGGCAGAGACAGAACAGCTCTGCACAAAAGCTCTGCTAAAGAGAAAAGGCAGCAACTGTATCCTTCGTGTAGTCTCACGGACGACCCCTCGAGAGGGCCAGTTAATGAGCATGGATTTGGGGGAGTTTTGCCTGAGACCTGTAGAGAATTGGCTGACAGTAAAGATAAAAAGGGAAAACGTAGATAGGTAAAAATTAATGAAATCCCAGCAAAAAAAAAAGCTATGAAAGGGGGAGGAAACTGCTATGACGGGGGGCTACCTGGTAAATCTGGAAGCACATTAACCAGGTGGCCTGAATCGGCCAGGCCGCAGGCTGTGAGGACTCCCTCCACCAACATGGCGGGACCTATGATCCTGTGATACTGTTGATGCAGGAGACAAAGGGGCCACAACTTTTCGAAAGAGGTATGAATCAATGTCACAGCTACCTGGAAATAAATAAGTAAGATATCCTCCCATAATAATAATAATAATAATAATAATAATAATAATAATAATAATGGGAAGCTTTATTTATTTATAATTATTTATTTAATAAATAAATTGGGGATTTATTGAATAATCATTAGGATTTATTTATACATTTATAGAATTCTTTATAATATATATTTATAATTATAACATTTTGATAATTATGTAAATTATATAATTGTTTCTAATATTTATATAATTATATTTTTATAATTATTTATATTTATGTAATTTAAATAATTATATCTCTATAATTTAAATAATTATAATATCTATATAATTTAATTATTTATATTTATATAATTTAAATAGTTATTTATATTCATATAATTTAAATAATTATATGTATTTGTGGATTTATTAATTTATTATTATTATTTGGGGTTTTAACATTTGCCAGACACTGATCTACCTATTTTAAGATTGTCAACTCACTGAATCCTCACAAAAGTCTTATGAGGTAAATACTGAAGTACCATTAGCACTATTTTTACAGGCAAGGCAAGAGAAGCACAGGAAGATTGTGTCTCAAGCCAATGAGTAATAGAACTGGACTTCAACACGGGCAGGCTATGTCAAAAGCCCAGGACTTTAGCTACTTTTGCCATAAGGAATCTCCATATTTTCTGGAGCCTGTTAGGTGAGTGAAGGAAAAAGGACTCATTTTACAAATGGAAATATTGAGGCCCAGAAGGGGGCCTCCATGAATTGGATTTGCAAGTGTCTGCAATCCACTCACAGTGCTATATTCTATTCCATTTGAGTGCCTCATCCTCTCTGTTCACCTGGTGAACTCCTACTAATCTCTAAAATTCCACTCAGATGTCACCCGAGAATCTTCCATGCTCACCTCAGGAAAATCAGGTTCTTCCTTCTTTGGCTTCCACAAAACCCAGCATATATCCTTAATAGAATGTTTTTCATATGCAATATTTTCTCTTTTATTTCCAGAATTTTTTAAAAGAGAAAACCACATAATGATCGCCAATATCCATGTTCCCAAGCACTAGAATTTATGTTTGTTAACATTTTGCTATATAGACTACAAGTCATTTTCTAAGCAAAAAAACAAAATGTAACAAATGAAATTGAGATATTCTTTTTTACCAATACAAGAAATAAAACATTGAAGTTGAGGTATCATATCTGCAGTTCACTTCCCCCTGCCACTGTCAGGAATTTGTTGTGCATTCTTCTGCTATATTTTAAAATTCATATCTATCTATTCACAAATGTGTGTTTGTGTGTGTGTGTACATGTGTAAGGCAAGGACTGCATTTTATTCATCTCTCTGGAGCTCAAATGTAGCAAAACACCTGGCACTTAGGTAATAATGATGATGAAGAAGATGATGGTATCGATATAGTTTGGATATTTGTTTCCACTCAAATCTCATGTTACAATGTAATCCCTAATGTTGGAGGTGGGGCCTAGTGGGAGGTTTTGAATCATGGGGGTAGATGTCTCATGAATGGCTTGGGCCATCTCCTGCGTGATAAATGAGCTCCTGCTCTGAGATGTGGTGGTTGAAAAGTGTGTGGCATCCCCCCTTCTTGCTCCTGCTTCCACCATGTGACTTGCCTGCTCCTTCTTTGCTGTCTGCCATGATTGTAAGTTTCCTTAGGCCTCCCCGGAAGCTAGACAGATGCCAGCACCATGCTTCCTGTAAACCCTGCAGAACTTTGAGTCAATTAAACCTCTTTTCTTTATAAATTACCCAGTCTCAGGTATTTCTTTATAGCAATGCAAGAATGACCTAATACGATGATGATGGCTAACATTTTCTAAACCTTTATCATGTTGCAGAGCCAGTTCAAAGCTATTTTGTGTGAACTAACTAACAGTTTTCTCAATGATTGTATGGGGAAGATGCTATTTTCAAGCCCAGTTTATAAATTTAAGAAAACTGAGGCAAAGAGAAGTTAAAATAGGAAATATGAAAAAATTATTTAAACCAAGGCAGTCCGGCCCCAAAGCCTCCTGTGCCCGTGCACATGTATGTGAAATATAACCTACATCCAGAAAAGAACATAAAGCATAGATGTACAATTGGACAAAAACTTGATAACCACCACTGAAGACAAAAAAAATAGGGCATTGCAAATACCCCAGGGACCCTCTGTTCTTCCTTCTTGATTATAATCCTCTCCTTGTACCACCCACAGGTTCTTTTTTTTTTTTTTTTTTTTTTTTTTTTTTGAGACAGAGTCTTGCTCTGTTGCCCAGGCTGGAGTGCTGTGGTGCGATCTCCGCTCACTGCAAGCTCCGCCTCCCAGGTTCACGCCATTCTCCTGCCTCGGCCTCCCAAGTAGCTGGGACTACAGGTGCCCGCCACCACACCCAGCTAATTTTTTGTATTTTTAGTAGAGACGGGGTTTCACTGTGTTAGCCAGGATGGTCTCGATCTCCTGACCTCGTGATCCACCTGCCTCGGCCTCCCAAAGTGCTGGGATTACAGGCATAAGCCACCGTGCCCCACCACCACCCCACAGATTCTTAAACAATAAAATTTGCTTTCTTTGATTTTGAGCTGTATGCATGAAATCATTTAGCACATATTATTTTGTGCCTTGCTGCTTTGGCTTAATGTTGGATTGTGATATGTTGTTGCATATTTAGTTTGCCGTTGAGTGATATACCTTAATTTATTTACCCATTCTTCAGGCCATTTAGTTTGTTTCCAAATGGGGGCAATTATAAAAAAGATGTTGCCATGAACCTTCTTGCATATGTCTCCTAGTGTATGTTGCAGATGTTTTTCTAAGATTCACACCTAGAAGAATTGCCAGGGCAGAAGGTATGTGTAACTCCACTTGGAATGGATAACATTAAATTGCTTTCTAAGAGCTGGAACTCTTAACCACACTCTCAAATGACCTTACCAAAAGTATGTGTTGGAGGAATAAATGGATATTTTAAAAAGTGAAATACCAAATACAAGGAGGGGACTGCATTAACTAGTATCAGAGGCTGGGAATCCAAGCATCTGTCTACTGAAATATGCATCTCCTGGTGGCACACATAGGCTCTGAACCTGGAAATAGCTGAAATCAGCTGCCCTGGAGGATCGTAAGGAACACATCCCGCCCGTCCAGTGCTCTGCCTGGATGGCACCTGCTGACAAAGCAGAGGGATAGATGTGAGCAGTGATTTGGACTTTATCTCCTGACTAGTTAGTTATATCCTGCCCATATCAGCACTGAGGAACGGTCACCGGGAGGCGGCATAGAACTCTCTACGCAGCCAGAGCTGTACTGGGTGGTCCTGCCTCAGTTTCCTTTTTGCTTTTCTGGGACCTTAGGGAACCTGGAATAGTTGCTGTTATCACTATTTTTACAGACAAGGCAAGAGAAGCATGGGGAGATTAAGTCTCCCTGTCAGATCCAGTGTCCTCTTGGGGACTGCTCCGGTACACACCCCTTCCACCTTTATCCACAATATCCTCGAGTGGACATCACTGGGGTTCCTCTGAATGACTGAGTTGCCTCTTCATTATTCCGCCCAAGATGTCAGCTAAGGCTGTTTACAAATCCAAGGATTCTCTTGCCAAATATACAGTCTGTTCTCCAAGCTTTCATGTTATAACGAAATGAGTAACAAGCAAGACATCTTAATATCCTATTCTGCTAGAAAGTGAGATATTTCCCCTCCCTCGTTCTTAACAGATAAATTAATATCATCAAACATTCTGAAAAGATCTTTTATGAAAACATCTCACTTGCCAAAAAAGAAAAGTTGTATTATAAAACTGGAGAAATTTGTTTCAACTTGTTAAAAGCCCTATTCTCAGCCATGAATTCGGTTCCCGTTTTTTTTCCCCCTTCAATTAATTTCACACTAATCCATTTCTTTATCAGGCGTTGGAGTGAATGCATGTGGATCGAGTGATGAGGATGAGGGGGCAATGGAGGTGTTTGGCTCTGTAATTTCATCCTTGAATTTTGTGATTACTAACAGGACAACTTTTTTAATTTGCTCTTTTGTCTGGATTCCCTGGCTGACAATCTGCTCGGTGAGCTCGGCTTTTTAATCAATCACCTACATAATCAAATGTCACTGGCTATCTGCTCCGTGTAATTACTTTTGCAATTAAAAATCAACCTCAAGTTGCCTCATCTAATTAGAGGGATGGGCAGATTTTCATCTAGATTGATTTTTTAATAAATATTGACTTAAAATGCCATAATCTCATCATATTCTTTCATTTTCTTTGTACCAAAAATCAAACAAATGGAAGAATTAGCAAGCAGAAGGAATCGAGGGACTTCAAAAGCTTCTGCTGGTTCAGACACACAAAACTATGCTGTACAGAAGCCCAGCTTAGCTTGCCTAATAACAACACTCAATAGCTTCCACCTTTTATTGGAAAAAAGAACAAAGCAATTCAATGATTATATTTCACACCAACATTGTTGCAAGCCCACCATTCTAAGAGCTCCTAATTTCATTTATTGTACTGCCAAAGACAATCATTTCTATGAATGATATTATTTCCTTTAAAACAATCCCACACATGCTACTAGAATTTTTTAGCATTATGAGAAAACATATAATGCTTAATGCTGGAACCGCAACCACTGAGTTTTCTTAAACATATGAATGCCACTACAGCCAGATAACTTCCTTGTCTTTGCTGCCGTGTGTCTTTTATGTATTGTAATTAAAACATTGTCAATAACACAGTTCGTTGCTTTTTGGTTGTAGTGACTGATGTTGAACATGGAAAATCCACAATCTGGTAAGGGATTACCTACAGGAAAATAACACACTTTGCTTAGAGAACAATTGTCCCAAGATGAAATGTAATGGTATCTTGTATGTCTGTTTATTTTTTTTTAATCAAAAAAACCTGTCAGTGACCCTGACAAAATTCTATTTAAACCTCAGCAGATTGGGGTGATGATGAAGAGGTAATAATATTTCTAGCACCCCTGCTTTATTCTGGCACAAAGAAGATAAGTCTGTCTTCTTGTGCATTCACGGTACAAGGGAGAAATAGGGAATTGTCCACATCTGACTGCACAGTTCACTCTAAGAATAGAAAAAAAGGGTTGACCAAGGAAAGCCAAACCTTTAGGTCTTATTGGTGGCAAAACAAACAGGGGAGTAAGGACTGACTCAAACAAAAGAGCCAAGGACAATAAGAAAGAGAGCAATGATTCCACCCCTGCTGCCCTCCATGAGGCAGAGAAGTTCTCTGCTAGGGGGATACTTCATCTGCAGTTTCAGCCTTACTACCAACTTGGTGTCCAAATTGTTTTTCCCAAAACGATATGCCATGACCTACTAGTCATATAAAACACTGCTCCAAAGATAAAGTCTTTGTGGTCAAAGTACTTTCAAAAATGTAACATTCTCTACCTCCTTGCTGGAGAGAAATGATACACATTATCCTAGCAAGTTTTGGAAAAGCCCTGCCACAACAAAGTCTGTTTGGCCCAGAATTTATCAAATGTATTTGTCCATAGATTATCCTATTTATTGATTTATTTGTTTGTTTACTGATTTATTTGGGGGTACCAAGTAGAACCATTCTCTTAGTACACACTTGGGGAAACACTGGTAGTCACACTACACAGAGATCTCATTTTTCTGCACTATTGGCCCCTCTGGGGGACAAACCTTGTCTTCTGGAATGTGTCGTTGATTATGCTTTCTAGGTGTAAAGTCCTGTCTAGTATGTCTGAGTATGCTTATGTGGGTTGCCTATGACCTACAGCAGTGGTCCCCAACCTTTTTGGCACAAAGGACTGGTTTTATGGAAGACAATTTTTCCATGGACTGGGGTGGGCAGAAGGCAGGGAATGACGGCTTCAGGATGAAACTATTCCACCTCAGATCATCAGGCATTAGATTCTCATAAGGAGCATGCAACCTAGATCCCTTGCATGTGGAGTTCCCAATAGGGTTTGGACTCCTATGAGAATCTGATGCAGCTGCTGATCAGACAGGTGGTGGAGCTCACGTGGTAATCCTCACTCACCTGCTGTTCACCTCCTGCTGTGCGGCCCAGTTCCTAACAGACCACAGACCAGTAGTGGTTCACAGCCTGGGGACAGGGGACCCCTGACCTACAGGATATGAGGATGGCAGTGGGGATTCTGGGCTTGTAGTAACTAGGTGTTGTCTATGGTTCTTGCCAGAGGGAAATTCTGCAAGTATCTGCTCTGTCATCATAGAGCATAATGCAGGTTGAAAGAGTTTCATGGGTACTCCCTGCTGTGTGGAAGAGGGACAAAACTCTACCAAGAGTTTGAGGAATGAATAGAAAGAGGAAAGGAGAAGGGATGACAGTGATACTAGTTGACATTTCTTGAACATTTACTATGTGGCAGGCACTGTGCTGAATGTTCTACCTGCCTTTTTCTTTTAACCATCGTAATTGTGCTAGGGAGCAGGTACTGTTTGCAGTTTGCAGTATTATCATCATCCCCATTAAACAGATGAGAAAACTGAGGCTTCAAGCAGTGAAGTGATTATGAAAGGTCACACAGTTGGGAATTAGGAGAGTTAAGTCCCACACCCATGTCTGAAAGACAACAAACACTTTGAGTTTTGAACCATTTCTTCTAAGAATAAGATGACACAAGAGGTAGGAGCTGCTGACATGGGGGAGAGGGATTGTGCTGTTGTGGAAGAAATAAGCATTGGGGGCAGGTATATGACTTGTCTCTTGTCACAATAATTCTATGTTATGACCCACTCCAAAACTCAGTGGCTTAAGCAATAAGCATGTCTTTAGCTCCTGAATCTGCAGTTTGACTATGGGATTCTGGTCGTGGCTGGCCTAACTCATGAGTCTGTGGTCAAGCGCAGTTTGTCAGGGGGGCTCTTGCTGATCTTGGTTGGCAGGTTTGGCTAGAGAACTCTGCTGATCTTGGCTGGCACTCTCCCATGCTTCAGGATCATGGCTGTTGGTCTAGGATGGCCTTGGCTTGGACAACTGGAGCAACTCAGCTCTGTGCCATAAAACTCATCTTCCATCAGGTTGGCCTGAGTGTCTTCTTATGGAAAAGGCAGGGGGGCAAGAGAGGAAGTGGAAATGTATGAGCACATTTCACTTGCTGGATGTTTGCCAACATCTTGTTGACCAAAGCAAGTCACACGACCAAGCCCAGAATCAAAGGATGGGCACTGCCAAGTTACATAGCAAAGGGCATGAAGGTGAAGAATCTATCACAGTGGGAAGTGTTCTGATTGGTAAATCTAAGCCACAATTTACCCGGACTCACCTCATCAGACCACTTGTGACACAGGATGGCTCATTTATGCCATACCAAGGACCTAGCCCTGTCCTTCTTCCTGGATAATCGTGAGGCAGGTCATCATGTACTAATGGGTGATAGACTCCTTCTTCCAGAAAGACTAGCCAGCAGCTGGAGCTTCCCCATTCGAGGATACTTCATACAACCCCTCTCAGAGAAAGCCAGACAGGAGGGTTCATGCACAAAGGGGCATCTTTGGAGGTGGTCTCAGGCTCTAGAAACCTGCTTTTCCCCCGGTCCTCTGTGTCACTGGCAGAGCCCTGAATCTGAGTTTCCATAATAGGCCTGCTCAGAAGCCAGAGTGAAGTTTTATCAACACACAAAGCCTAGGGCAAAAACTCAGATACCAGCAGGAGCACTGAATAAATGAAGCTGAATTCTTTCAACACAGGTACCCTTTTATTTATATAAAATACACATAAATATTCTTTAATTCAACACAGAAATATGCTCTACTATTTTTCTTAAAAGGTGGTGCTCTCTTCATCTAGATTTTTTTCTCACTTTTGTTGCATTGTGATTACAGAGGTGTATTTTCTCTATGCTTAGAAAAAACGCTAATCAGCAATGCAAACATAAGGATAAATGACCATTTATAGTTGGCCCTGGTGTGGGGTATGTGGTAAGGAGTGGTGAAGATTGTGGAGAACTGAAAAGCACTCAATGCATATAAACCACGAGTCTGCTTCTTAGCTCCAGCCACCTCTGGCTGGGTAGGAATGTAGGTGCCATCTGTCACAACTTTATTTTGAAAAGAAGCTAGAAATCTGGATTTTTGATGTAAGCTCTTAAATAGTGGCTCTCTGCTTAAGAAAGTAATATGCAGATGAGAGGAAGCACATCTGTGGACCAGATCCAGCCTATGGGCCATTGGTTTTCAATCTTTGGTCAAGGCTAATGACTGCATTGCACAGATGGGGAAACTGAGGCCCATAAATGGAAAGAGACTTGCTTGAGGTCACAAACAGTCCATTTCAGAGATGTAATTAGAGTCAAACTCATTCATATGCCTCAGGGTTTGACCACAACTACTTTCCTAGCCTCAGTTTCTGGTGGCTGTATCTCCTCAGTCACCCAAGTACCCCACAAACTGGCCTCACCTGACTGACTTCTTACTGTTTGGTCAGACTGTTCTCTCTGCTGAAATGTCCTCCCAGGCTCAGGTCAAATGTCAGCAGCTCTTGGAGACCTCCCCCATTTCTTCAGGTGAAATTAGTCTCTCTTATGTATTGGGATTATAGCATTTCTTGCTCTGGGTTTTAATGTTTTAGTCATTTATTTGTTGATCCTAGTCTGAGCTTCTGGAAAGCAAGGACCCTGGGAATTTTATCTGAGGAATCCTAGAGCCTAGTTCAGTATCTGACAGATAACAGGTGCTCAATAAATGCTTGTGTAACAAATAGAGACATAAGCAAGAGGATAATGAACAGAGTATGTGAATGAAAAAAACCAGACTTTGTTCACCCAGCCTGCGTTCTTCACCACATACATTATCATCAGGATTTTTTGCAAAAGAAAAAAAAATGAGGTAGAAATATGAGGCCAGACACAGTGGCTCACACCCGTAATCCCAGCAATTTGGGAGGCCGAGATGGGAGAATGGCTTGAGCCCAGGAGTTCGAGACCAGTCTGGAAAACATAGGGAGATCCTGTCTCTATAGATAATAAAAAGGATTAGCCGGGCATGGTGGTGTGTGCCTGTAGTCCCGGCTACTCAGGGGGCTGAGGTGGGAGGATTGCTTGAGCTTGGGAGTCTGAGGCTGCTGTGAGTAGCGACAGTGCCACTGCACTCCTGCTTGGAGGGGATAGAGTAAGACCCTATCTCAAAAAAGAAAGAAGGAAAGAAGGAAAAAAAGAAGGGAGAAAGGAAGGAAGGGAGGGAGGGAGGGAGGATGGAAGGAAGGAAGGAAGGAAGGAAGGAAGGAAGGAAGGAAGGAAGGAAGGAGGGAAAGAAAATATGAAAAGGTAGAGCAGAGAGGCTGGGACAACAACAGTCCTGGTGTCAAATACTGACTGTCATTTACAGACTGCATGATCCCTGCCTGATGACATATTTAACATTGAAGCCCAAGTATTCTTGTCTGTAAAATGGGTTCATAACAGCACCAACATCAAATGGGCTGCAAGGATCAGATGAGGTAATGCGCATAAGTCACTTAGCACAGTGCCTGGCAGATAGTAGGTATTCACTAAATGCTAGTTA
Source organism: Homo sapiens (assembly GCF_000001405.40). Lineage (NCBI taxonomy): Eukaryota > Metazoa > Chordata > Mammalia > Primates > Hominidae > Homo > Homo sapiens. The sequence goes on from NC_000016.10 coordinate 54,622,738, forward strand.
ATATTATTATTATTGGAAAGATAAACTAAATGCCTCTTTTCTCCTTCAGTAGTTCCCAGCCTCTTCTTCATCCCCCCCAAAGATAAACAAACAAAACAGCAACAGCAGACAGGTAGAATTCAGAAGCTAGCACAGCACTGTGATGGGAACCCAGGGTTTTGGGCTTCCAGCCCAGCCTTCTGCCGTCTTATCTTTCTCCTCCCTACTCTGTTGCTTTGAAGTAAGACTCTCTGTAAAATCAGCATTTTCTTCAGCAAGCGGGGACATAGAGAAACGCAGCCATGGTTTGCTCAATGGAGCTTTTCCCGTCCCAGTAAACACGTCCCTGAGAGTACCTGAACCAACACGCAATATCAGTGCCGGCCTGAGGATTAGCAGGCAGAAGGGGCCGCAGGAGTGGGATCCCTTATATGTTTTCATCTCTCTCCTCTCCAGGAAAACAAACAGCTTCTGCAGACTCTCAATTGTCCATTATGGTAAAGTCTGTGATCATCGTAGGAAGCCAGCCAGCCCCTCAGCCATGTGCTTCTGGGATATGCTCTTACAAACCGACACCTATAATTTATGTCTCGGATCCAGTCAGAAAAAGAAACGTTCTCTTTCCAAATTCAATTATGGTCCTCATAATAATTAATAACAATAATAGTTGTTGCTGTTCTCATTTGAGTATTATATACTATAAGGCAACCCCCCAAGTTTAATTTATGACCAAATAAATGGGCTGATGGAGAGGAATGGCCCTGCATTTTTCAGTATAATATTTTGTTGCATTTGCATTTGGAGGAGGATTTGTGGTGAGCTGGAGGATTAAATCCCATGAAATCATTATACAAATTTCAAAATGTCAAGTACTCTGATAGAGATTATGATTTTATCTTCTTATTTTGACAGGAAACCGTGTGTGGCCACCTCTGTCTTAGAACAAGTGATGAAGGGAGGCCAGGGGAGACCAAATAAAGATAGAGGAGCTTGCGAGTTTCCTGATCAGCTGTCTTTTCATTCTGCTCGCTTGTATGACAGAGCGTAATAGACATTTTCCTTTGCACAAAATAATAAGAGCAGTACTTATCGCGCGGTGCCTCCAGCCAGTGGCAAAAGGAAATTAGAAAAGTCCAATGAAGCTGAGAAGTAATTAATCATCATACAGTGGAGCCTGTCAAATCAGAAGGGTCCTTCCAGCTGATAATGCTCCCCAACTCAATTTAGACTGATAGAAATTAGAATTCTTTTTTTCCTCTGGCAAAAACAAAAAGACAAGAGTTAGCACAAACACGGCCAACTGTTGGCTTTCTTGACTGCCTGACCCATTTACAGCAATGTTTGCATCAAGTTTAACTCAAGCCAAAATTGAAGCAACATCATTTACTCCTCAAGGCAATGGGAAATCATCACTATGCTGTTTTAAGACTCCCCCTCCAACCACCACCGCCCTTTCTTCTCCCCTTTACCCACACGAATAGCCATGGCTGCATAAGAAAAATTAAAGGTTGGTTCTATTGATCAGGTTGGCTACTCTCTCCATAGAGTTGTGGGAGGGCAGCATTTAACAAGGCCTGTAATGAGTCTGGACTCTTTGGAGATCAAGTGAAATAAATAAAATGGGTTCAATAGGAGCCACAGAGGGCTTTTGGCAGAGGGAAGTAGGATAACAAGCTGCTGTCAGATTTTTGAGTCTTGTGGCAGGCACCAGGGTGCAGGGAGGAGGGGAAGATGGCACCCCCTCAAGGAAAGACATCTGCTTGTTGGAACAGCCTATGTTGCTGATAGCATAGTCCAGTGCCTCCCTGCCCCTACTCACCACGACCTCCAATTTGGGTCTTGCCACGCTGTAAAGGCCAAGTTAATATTGTTATTGATTCCTCTAGGTACCCCTGAAGGTAGGGCCTCATACAGGCTAGGGCAGGGATCTTGAACTCAGACATGCACAGGGAGCAGGAAGGAAAGAAAATGAATGAAGCTGGCAGACAATGGGCAATAGGGAATGGTGGGGTCTGGGCTAGTTGGAGCTTGCATATCTTTCCTAAGGGGGGCAGCTTCTAGTCCATTCTTGGCAGTCATTGCTGGCGGGCAATTCATAAGGTATATTTCCAGGGCTTCTGATTTGCCATGATAAGCCTCAAGTCCAGAATTCAGTGGAAAATCTCCATACTTTTATTTATTATTTATTTATTTATTGAGATGGGGTCTTGCTCTGTCAGCCAGGCTGGAAGGCAGTGGTGCAATCTCGGCTCACTGCAACCTCTGCCTCCCAGGTTCAAGTGATTCTCCTTCGTCAGTCACCCTAGTAGCTGGAATCATAGGCACACGCCACCATACCCAGCTAATTTTTAGTAGAGACAGGGTTTCACCATGTTGGCCAGGCTGGTCAACCTGCTTCTGCCTCCCAAAGTGCTGGGATTATAGGCGTGAGTCACTGCACCCGGCCAAATCTCATAACGTTTAAATGCAGGCAACTAATTTTTTTTCTGAGACAGGTTCTTACTCTGTCACCCAGACTAAAGTGCAATGGTGTGATCATGGCTCACTGCAGCCTCCTTATTCCTGGGCTCAAGTGATCCTCCTGCCTCAGCCTCCCATGTAGCTGGAATGACAGGCATGAACCACTGTGTCCAGCCCTAAAGAAATATTTTGAAGTATGTGGGCATATCCATCATCGCCTACCATTTGTGGCTGGTCCCTAGAAAGGTGTGGGCCCTTAGCAGACAGTGTATTTCAAACAAGCCATTGGGTCCTAAAGACCAGTGTTTGAACTCTGGATCTACCCTAGTTAGTTGTGTAATCCAAAGCAAGGGACTTAACTCCTTGGTGTCTCAGTTTCCTCCTCTGTAGAAGGTAGGTAATATTTAGCATCTACCTTATAAGCTGGTTAAAAATGCAGAGTACTCACTGCAGTGCCTGGCATACGATAAGTATTCAACAAAGGGCACTGGTGAATTGAATCATCACACTGCATCAATCAAAGTGCATCTATTTAGACAATCTTGCCTGCCTGCCCTCTCTTTTTAGAACTCACACATCTATCTTTCTCAGCTCCTTACTGGGAATTTACTATTAAGACACCTAGCACCAGGCATGGTGGTTCATGCCTGTAATCCCAGAGCTTTGGGAGGCCAAGGCGGGTGGATCACTTGAGGTCAGTAGTTCGAGACCAGCCTGACCAACATGGTGAAACCCCATCTCTACTAAAAATACAAAATTAGCCAGGCGTGGTGGCAGGAGCCTATAATCCCAGCTACTTGGGGGGCTGAGGCAGGAGTATCACTTGAACCCGGAGACAGAGGTTGCAGTGAGCCGGGATCGCACCATCGCAGTCCAGCCTGGGCAGCAAGAGCAAAACTCTGTCTCAAAAAAAAAAAAAAATACAACTAGCAACTTCCTTCCATGGGAGAGGCAAACTAGAAACTCATCAAATTGTAAGAATTACAGAACTTCAGACTGCAATTATGCTGCTCAAAGCAAACACATTCTTACATAGAAAACGAAATTGTCACCTCCCTCAAGCTAATATGGCTGCCTACTTAGTTGCCTGGTCCTGCTTATCATTTGATGGATGTGGGTACAAACGAAGTTAGGGGACAGGCTGGGTGTGGTGGCTCACACCTGTAGTCCCAGCACTTTGGGAGGCCAAGGCAGGTAGATAGCTTGAGCCCAGAAGTTTGAGACCAGCCTGGGAAACAAATCGAGACCTTGTCTCTACATATAATTTTAAAAATTAGGCCGGGCGCGGTGGCTCACGCCTGTAATCCCAGCACTTTGGGAGGCTGAGGCGGGCGGATCACGAGGTCAGGAGATCGAGACCATCCTGGCTAACACGGTGAAACCCCGTCTCTACTAAAAATACAAAAAATTAGCCGGGCGTGGTAGCGGGCGCCTGTAGTCCCAGCTACTCGGGAGGCTGAGGCAGGAGAATGGCGTGAACCCGGCAGGAGGAGCTTGCAGTGAGCCGAGATCGCGCCACTGCACTCCAGCCTGGGCGACAGAGCGAGACTCCGTCTCAAAAAAAAAAAAAAAAAAAAAAAAATTAGCCCGGCATGGTGGCATAAGCCTGTGGTCCCAGCTACTTGAGGCATAAGGATCACCTAAGCCCAGGAGGTCGAGGCTACAGTGAGCCGTGACCGCTCCACTGCACTCCAGCCTGGACTAGAGTGAGACCCTGTCTCAATAAAATTAAAAATAAAAAAATAAGTGACGGGACAATCTGGGGGCTTGGAGGGAGGTAATCTCTTATAAGCGGTATTTCTCCATGGGTCTTGTATTCAAAAGGTCTCAGGGATTCCTACTTTTTTTTTTTTTTTTTTTTTTTTTTTTTACTTTCCCCATATCTGATAGCAGAGAAACAATCACAGCAGTGACACCTGTGCTGGCAGACAACCACAGCCATGTCTTCTACGCAACGTCTTCTACTTTCGTTACCTTTAATCCTGACAACAAACACTGCATGGTTAAGTATTGTCATTTCTTTTTCACAGGTGAAGAAATGAAGACTCAGAGCGGTAGAATACCTTGCTGATGGCCACACAGCCAGAAGGCAGCAGAACTGGGTTTTATGTTGAAGACTCAGGTTACATCTGCTATTCAACATTGCAAAGCTCACCCTGGTTTCCGTTTCTCCTCTCTCTTGATGTTTTTCTTTGACTCTCTTGCTCATTCATTCACTCATTCATTCAACAAATGTTTATGGAGTGCCTACTATGTGCCTGATACCTCTTTAGGGTGTCTTAATGTCGTTTCCAGCAACAGTGACTGTGGGGCCTGAGAGAAGGAAAGATGGCGGCCAGCGCTTCCAGTTCCATTTGAGGCAATTCCTAGAGAAGAAAGGGCACCAAAGAGTCTGGAGAGGGTGCTCTCTCTTCTGTCCCCTGGCATCCTGGGGAAGCCACTTCTGCTGACACTGGCTCCCTGAGAAACAGGCAGGGGGCTTTCCTCTAGCACAACAGATGGTGAGGGGAAGCAGAGTCCCAAAACTGGCCTCAGGGGAAAGACAAAATCCATCCAAACTGTCCTGGGCCTGCTGGAACGCCCCATGGTGGGCTCAGAACAGGAAGGGAGGAAGACCTCAGGGGCCTATTTCCTGCCGGCCACAGCCAAGTGGTTGAGTAGTTGCATGGGTTCCGGTGCTCTTTCCCCAGGGATATGGCATGGCCAGGAGGCAGCTGCATTCCCTTTCAGTGAGGTGTCCCTGAGCACAAAAACCTCCCATGTGCAAGCCTCTGCACTGGGCTCGATATGACCAGCCTAATCACAGCATATCTCTACATTTGAAATGTTGCCACCAGATAGGCTCTGCCATCCTTTGAATGCTAGGGGATTGAAGTGCAAAGGAGACACTGTGCCAGGCAGCACTGTCAGCCTGGCACCTGGGAGTGAAGCGTAGTAGCACCCACTGTCTTCTCTTCTTTGTCCTCAAGGGAATGAGGGCTGCCAGGCACAATGGTAGGAAATCCACACTTCAGAGGGCCTTGTCCTGGTCATGGAGGCATTTGTCCAAGGCCACACAGTGGAGAATAGCTCTTTCAGAGACCACTGGTATTCCAGCCAAACAACCCACAAAGCTTCCTGCATGTTAATAATCAAATAATAATAATAGTGCTGGCCAGGACTTAATGGGTACCGCGTGCCAAGCTCTGCTCTAAGTCCTTTACATATATATTTCATTTAATTCTCACAACAAATTTGTGGGGTGGGTGCTATTATTATCTCCCTTTTTACTGATGAGAAAACTGAGGCACAGAGAGGTTATTTAGATGGCCTAGGGTCACACAGCTAGGAGCCACACCACCAGAATTCAAACCCCGCCATCTGGCTCTGTATCTGTGTTCTCTGGCACCATGCTGTACTCTTTCTTGATCCATGAACTTGAGATGTCTACATAAAAAATAGAGCCAATTGATTTTCTTTTTATTATCTGGAAATGGCAGAAGGAAAGAAGGGAAGCAGGGAAGGAAAGCAAGATAAAGGGAGGAGAAATTGAAAGAGGATAGAGGAAGAAAGAGGAGATGCAGAGAGCGAGAAAGAAATAATGAGGCGAGATGGAGGAACTGGCATGCCTGAAAGTGAACCACACTCCAGGCTGCTGCTGAAATCTACATTTTCTCCTGGTTTATTTACAGATTGGGTGTTAGAGCCTAATAAACGGGAGGATTTTTAAAAGGTCCTCAGGATAGCAGAGCCAAGCTAAGCAAACGGCTCGTGTACACAGCCCAGGTGAGATGAAAGGCCCCAGCCATCAGGCGACCACTCAAGGTTCTTTATCGGTCGGCTGGGCCTCTGCGGGTTTGAGTAAACCCAAGTAGGCGGTGCTGGCGGAAAGTTCAAAGTCATTTTTTCGAGCAGATAACGCAATCAAAAGTTTGTTTATCTGTTGAAATATTTAGGAGAACAAGATATCACTTTGACCTGCCTACACCTGCGACCTTTGTGAATGCAGTTAAGATGTGTTTTAAGCTTGTTTGTAGTCTTAATCTTTAATGGGCTTCTGCATTTTTCAAAGGGTAGAATTTGGCATTAAAAAAAAAGAGAGAGAGAGAGATTTCTGTGCCATCAAGAGAGGTATGTTTGGTAACCTTAGCCGTTCCCACGCATTCTGGAAATCAAGAGAAAAAAGTGTATGGTCCGATCTCAGCCTTGGAATGGAAGCAGTGTATCTCCTTCCCTTAATCCAAAGCACCAAGACGTGGAGCTGAAGCTATCACCTGACTCCCCAGGCACTGGCCTTGTGGCCAGAACTGCACTTGAAGATCTCCTTAGAAGGGATGGGGACTCCAGAAATGGAGCTTTAAGTTAATCAGTAATTGGTTTGTGTCCTGGAGCCCTGGGTGTTTGAAGCCACATAGCACTACTTTGCACAGTCCATGGTTGATCCTGTCGAAGAAAATTCATTTTGTAATATAAACAAGGACGAGAATTTGGGACACAGAAATACTCAAATAAAAATGGAATATCCTGAGTCCTACTTTTTCCCCCAACCAGGCTTTCCCTGAGCCCACTTATTTATGGTTTTTCCAACCCTACTGGGACTGTAAGATGGAGATAATACTGTCCCCTTAACAGAGTTCTCAAGAGCTCTGAAGAGGACAGAGAATGTACATAAATGTCCACATGGTGTTTGGTATACAAAAGCAAAATATGTGGTAGGCTTCCTACTCTTTCTCCTCCTTCTCCTCATCCTCATTGTCATCTTCATCAATATCATTATCATCTGTCATCTGAATGACTCATATGTGCCTCCAAAAATATCTTCTTCCAGCTTGATTGCGGGAAGGAGGACTCAATTCTTGCCTTTCAAGATTGGTAAAGAAATCTATGGCCTTCAGGTTTCGGGGGCAGGCTGGAGGCAGGGAAGGGAGCACCTAAGATCTGTCTACAGTTGGTTCTGTGGAGACCTCATCTGCCTGGGTGTAATTCCCCTACTAGAGGGATGAACTGAGGTCGGGGTAACCAATGGCCAACTGTCATCTCCCCAAGCCACAAAAGGGAGCCCAACTTTGACTTCACATTCCTGTGTTGGGTCTAGATCCAGAGTGGGTATAAAAGTAATCCAGAAAGATGGGAAGGCTTGTTCAAGATGGCAGCCCCATTGAGCCTGCCACAGTCTTCCCATGTGTGATGACGCCAGCAACTCAGTTCTGAGTCACAGGCTGCTGGCCACCCCCATCATCTGCATGGGTTACATTTCTTCGGATCTAACATGTTTGCTAGTATGTTTCCAGATCCTGATCTCTCGCCTATGAAATAAAAGTAATCACTGTTTTAACTACCTCACAAGATTGCTTCATGAAATAGTCATAATCATAACTAACGTGAATGGAATCCTTTCTATGTGCCAGCCACTGTGATAAGCAGTATTACTTTGTGTGATCTCATTTCAACTTTGTTTATAAGCAAATCAATGCAAATTAAAACTGCTAGGAGATACCATAACATTCCCATCAACATTTGGGAGAGTGTGAAATTGCACAACCATTTTTGGAAAAGAGTTTGGCAATATCTAATCAAATAGAGAAGTGTCTAAGTGAATCAGCTACTCTTTCTCTATTATACACACTAAAAATCCTCTCATGTATGTGCCCCAGGAGATACATACTAGAATTTTCATAAAGCACTGATTGTGACAGCAAGAAAGTTGAAAAAAAATATAAATATTCATCATAAAATGGAATATTCTGTGGCAATGAAAATAACTACTTAGCACTACACATATCAACATAGATAAAGAAAGGCAGGGCTGGGTGTGGTGGCTCACACCCGTAATCCCAGCACTTTGGGAGGCCAAGGTGGGAGGACAGCTTGAGGCCAGCAGTTTGAGACCAGCCTGGGCAACATAGCAAGATCTCCTCTTTACAAAAAAGGGGGAAAAAAAAAAGAAAAAAAGGAAGGGACAGAAGAGTATAGAAAATCTTGTGTAGGGAAATATAATAAGTAGCTAAAGTTTACGTTTAAGAAGAAATACCTGGGAATGGCAAGGCAGTCTTACTCTCTGAGGAATGGGTTGGGGGGTGGAATTTGACAGAGAAGCATACATAGAAGGGGCCTCCTACTATATTTGTAATATTTTATTTCTTAAGGTGGGTGGTGGCTACATGGGTGTTTATTATATGACTTTTAGACCTCTTTGGGTGTTGTAAATATTTCCTAATTCATTGGTAAAAATAAATCAACTTTATTAAAATAAAATAAGCAAATGAAATTGAATCCAAACCTTGTGGAAGTCAGAACCCACTGGAAAAGACCTCTGGTCCCCCCTGGGACAGGCCAGTGGGACAGGAAGTCTGCCGGCTCCAGTTCCAGCCATGGGCCTCCGCAGAAGCACCCTGCACACAGCCTCGCGCTGTGGCATGAATTCCAGGCGAAGGAAGGGTCAAGATGACGGGACAAGAGCAGACGGGGATCACGAAGCCCCTGGATCAACCGAGGTCCCATCATGAGGTGGGAGAAATGATGGATTTATATATTTAATGAAAGGGTAACTCTGGAAGAGTAATAAAAATATGGTCAAGTAGGCAGGTATGTTTGGCGCTTTTTTTTTTTTTTTTTTTTTAAATCTACACTCTGGAGCTCTCACTCTGGTACAATTCTTTTGTTAGATCAGGTAATATTTTTGAAAAACAGCATTACAAAAGGTTAAATGTAGAACAGATGTAAGTTATAAAATACAAGCTGATCAAAGCTGAGATTTTGAGACAGATATGTTAGCAAATGATGATAAATCCGTCCCAGTAGGACTGTAAGAAGCAGACAAATGTAACTATGGGAGAGTGAAAGTCAAGGGTTGAAACTGGGGGAAGGGGAGAAAGAGTGAAAACAAATGTTGAAGTTAATTCTGGTGAACTCACGCAGAACATCAATGAATCTATGCCGAGATAGGACAGTCAGAACGGACACAATATGCTCCATTTTCCTGAAAAGATTCATCAGATTCCTGGGTTTTGAATAATCCAATTATGGATTCAGATCCCCAAATCTCAGGGATCTCTCTTTATACCAGTTTCTGACTCTAGATTTCAACCTTTTCAAGAGACAGAGCCTGGGTTCTGGCTTAAAGCTTTAAAAATCGGCTTTAGAGTTTGGGTGTCTAAACTTCTCATTAAAAAGCCAGATAATTTATAGTCATATCATTAAACCGCTTCCTCAGCCTACCGTGATAAACTTATCATTTTGGGGGGGGTAGATTTCAACAAAACATTATGAAGACTCCTTTCTTGGAAGGCGGCAGAGAAACAAAATTAAATAAATCAAGCCTCTCTGTGTCAATAAATGAAGCCCATGAGAAGTAAACTATTTACTGAGGCTTAAGTGAAACAGAAAACATTTAAAGATCAAGAAAAAAGGAGGTAATTGTTCAGCCTGTCAGCAGGGGACCGCTGTGATAATTTGATCTGAACTCTGCTAACAAATGACCGAGCCGTTCTTCCAACTTTAGTATCTGTTTATGCTCCTACAAATTGAAACCCCACAGCTCAGCTGCACAGAACAGGGCCCAGTACAATAGCACATTGGCCCGACGATTAGTTCAAGCTGGGGATGGATTAGCTGTCCATCCCAGGCCTCCAAACCCTCCAGAATATTTTGTCTTCCCTGCTGAGGTAAAAGGGTGCAGACATATGCAACTAATAAAGAAACAGGCTTCTATGGACTGGAGGTTGAGTGGAAGGAATGCAGAACAAAACTATAAAATAATAATAGACAAAGGGGCAGTGAGGACTGGGGAACTCAATACCCCCTCTGCTTACCCAGGCAGGACCGTAGCACCCACATCCCCGCAAGTTTTCAAAACGGAAGGGGCCTGGTGCATGTGTGATCTCCCAGCACATGGTTGTGGGCCTGGCGTGCCAACGTTCAGGGCTGACATGAGATCAAAAGCCTGATAAATGAGAGGAAAGGGAATGTTTGACCCACTAAACCATATTCTACAAGAATCTTGGGCTTTTAAAGTAATAAGAAGGGCTATAAATTACAATGTCTTGGGTATATTCTGATGCACATGAATGTTACTCACATGTAATGTTTTTAGAGAGATTCATGAGCAATTGAATGCTTAAGAATCCAGTCCCCTTTGACAATTCTGCATCTCCAGTCAGAGTCCACATTTGGGGAAAAGCAACTTATCATCTCTCTGGAGTTTCAGAAACTGAAAATCATAATTAGGTAAAAAAAATTCTTTAAATAAACAGGAGCAAATTCCAAGTGACACGAGACATCCATATAGTGCTTCCTTAGACCAATAATGTGTCACATTTAGAAAGGAAACCTCATGATTGAATGAAAGAAAAGATGAATAAATGAATGTAACAGGATAGCATAGGATTAGAAATACAGGCTATGAGTTTGAGGGCTTTCTCCCTCATCACAAGCTGTGTGATCAATTACTTCATTTAGCCTCTTCAAGTCTCAATTTCCTCATGTGTTAATAATAGTAATAGCCTCTGTGTCATACAGCTATTGAGAAGGAAAAGGAGGTTGTGTGCATAGGCACAGTGATTAGTACATTGTTAATTAAGGGTTCAGTAAACATTAGGTACGGTTCTGTTGATGTGGTTATTATAATTATCCACCAAAGACTGGATGAGTTTATAGATGGAAAGATGGAAAGGAAGTTTGGGTTAATCTACAAATAATAATAATAAGCTCTGCTGAGAGATCAGAATACATGTAAAAACAATGACTTAATACAAAGGAAGCCATCGCAAAATTTTCCTAATATTTGGATTGTTAAAACAACCCAGACTTCTGGTGTTTTCTAAATTTTCAAACCATTTGACCCAGCCTACTCTGAGGCAATGCTGACAAACCTTCCAGCAGAGGGCACTGGCCCCATTGAAAGATAGGGAGACCATTTTGAAAATGGCTGCCTTCGCTATTCCAAAGAAAACACTCACGCTAGCCACGAGGACAAAAAGCATTTATTTTTGTCTGGGCAAATTTGCCTTCAGACCAAAAGCTTCTCAAGATGGCAAATGTTCTGCCTGCTAGGATGTTGCCAGATAAAACAATTACTTACTAGAGTCAAAATAACTCCAAAAGCTATGCACTGAAGAAGGCAATGAACAATGAAAAGGGGTCAGGCGTGGTGGCTCACGCCTATAATTCCAACACTTTGGGAGGCTGAGGCCAGAGGGCGGCTTGAGTCCAGGAGTTCAAGGCTGCAGTGAGCTATGATTGCACCACTGCACTTCAGCCTGGGTGTCAGAGCGAGACCCTGTCTCTAAATATATAAATTAAAAAGAATGAAAAGAATACTTCACCTCAGACCTCAGCCTTTCATCCTTCAGCTGGTGAGTAGTTCTCTACCAAGAGGGATTTTACTCCTCAGGGGACATTTGGCAATGTCTGGAGATATTTTTGATTGTCACAATTCGGGGTAGGGGTGGTGAGAGGTGGTTGCTACTGGCATTTGGTAGGTAGAGGCCATGGATACTGCTAAACAGTCAATAGGATGGGAATATGTTTAAGACAGCCCCCACAACAAAAAAACTGTCCTGCCCAAAATGTCAATAACGACACAGTTGGTAAACCCTGATTTAGACAGAGGCACAATACTGATTTTCCACTTGGCTCAGCTTGGCTGGGGTACACATTAATTCTAAAGATGTGATGCTGTTGAGTCGAAGTCTCAGCAAATTTAAAATACTACTACTACTAATAATAATGATGAACAAAAGCGGCTCTTGGCTGACTAAGCTTCAATTAGGAAGTAGAGAAAACAGGTGCTGAGAACACAACTTCAATTTCCTAGCCCTAAACTTCAGAGAAATCAGCAGAATCAGAAAATTGTCCATCTCTTGATATCTTCCCAAAGTGGAGAAAGCCAATGGTTAGAGACTGAATACTCGCAGCTGTATTTAGAATCCCTAAGGGATGCTGAACATGCTGGAATTAAGCAGAGGTGGTAGGTAAGTGGATTGAGGGAGACGGGAGCCCAGAACCTAGTCAGTCCAATTTGTTCTGTCATTTGGCCAAGTTAGGTAACTTCTCTGGGTCTCAGTTTCTCATCTGCAAATCAAGGCTACCTCCATCTGCCTTGCAAGGCTGTGGTGAGGATTAAGATAAACAGTGTATCTAAGTGATATTTGTAATTTCAGGAATGAAATCCATACCCTAAAATGGCCAGGATATTTTACATTAAGTTCTAAAGTTAACCAACATTGATTTGGCATTCCCTAGATACCAGGATTCAAACGGGTTACCTCACTGTAGCCTTCTGTTATTATCCCCATTTTACAGACATAGCAACTGAGGCTCAGTTGTTACATAGCTACTTAGCAGCAGAGGCAAGGTTTGAACCCTAAGTAGTCTAATGTTAGTCTACAGTTTCAACCACTACCTTACCCCACCTACCACATTTAGAGGTGAGGGCTGGAAGAAACATTAGAGATCATTTGGACAACCCTTCTAATTTCTCAGATGTATAACTGAGTCCCACAGGGACTAAGCAGTTTGCTTGTGATAAAGCTGGCATGGAAACTGGGGGTGGGGTGGGGTCCTGACTCCCATTTCTTCCAACAAAGAACGGCTTTGCATTTTTTTTTTTCAAAATCAGATACTATTTTCCCAGCACAGGGTAAACACAGGACAAATCACTTAGCATGTGTATCTTAATAACCCGACTTGACTGAGATGAATGAATTCACATTCAGTCATCATATAAGCCTATTAAATATTCTGGGAGGCTGCTGTATACATTTTAATGGATGTTGAAACACCTAGCGTGTGTTTATGGCTCTTTTAATCTTGCCAGTTTTACTAATATGATTAGTTCAGGGACCATTTCACATTGAGACTTAGGTGTCAAAACAGAACACAGAAGTTTCTAGAATGTTTTCTTTCTTGATTTTTGTTTTTTTTTTTTTTAGAATGGAATATTTGGATCTCACCTATGAGCTCAATAAGAAAAGAAAAACACAAATGACTGAAAGCAGGACTTCAGCAGCCCTGAGAAATCATGGACGGGAATCCACCTTTGTTTACTACAAAACACCCTGCTTCACGGTTTCTCATTGTGCTACCTTCCTTCGGGGGAACCCCAGGATTTCACAGGCTGATATCCCCAGCTACATCCAAGTTTCCAGAAATGAGGATCCATAGGCACAAAGTGAGGTGTCCCCAACCCTCCCTTTTTACAGCCCATGCCTGATATTTATCGGAACGTCCACAAGGCGATGGTGAACGGTGGCCAAATGAGAAGCTCAGTGTCTGGGAAAATGATTGAAAATGGCCAAGTGCCACAGTGAGAGTTGTTTGTTCTGGGAATGGAAGGAGGAAATTGTCAGAGGAAGTGAAATAGGAAATGAAGAGATCAAAGGGAGGAGGAAATAAGATTGAATTGAGCCCTTTTTGGATTCAACTTTGCACTCTTAACCCATGTGAGGCAAAAAGATTAGCCTTTAAACAGCTGGAGTTGGGGAGAAACACTTTCCAACGGGTGCATCCTGGCGACTGTTAGCTCCCACATCCCACCCCACAAATGGACTGCAGCAGGGGAGCTGAGGGAAGCCAGATCCGTTTCCTACAGAAAATCCAGTGGTGAGTGCCCCCAGGCAATCCGCAAATGCTCATTTAACCCATAACACTCTAATATGTACAACCTGAGCTCAGACACTTGCCCCCAGAAAGAAGTGGGGCTCCTCTAGAACCACCCACTTTTGCAGCACTGATGGTGGGAAATGGGCCTTCCAAAAGGCAGAGTTTGTGATGGAAGAGTTAACAACTGGGATGAAGCTCCAGGGGGTGATGTGGTGATGAGCTAAGGGAACCAAGCCCTAAGAAAGATCCTTTGTCCAGGCTTGAATCTCTGGTCATCTGGGGGCCTGTCTCCTTCCAATCTTAGGGTTAGTACCTGTATTTTCCAATTGGGGTTTTGTTCCCTCAGCCCATGGGGGGACAAGTCTTTCAATAATAAATAGTTATTGATCACCTAGAGGGAGCCAGATACTGTCCTAGATGCTAGGAATATGGAAGTAAACAAAACAGACAAATATCTCCACTCTCACAGAGCAGATATTCTAATGAGCAGCAGGCCAATCAAGTCAGATCAATAAGTTAAATATATGGAGTTTTTAATGGTGATGAGGATTAAGAAAACTAAACCAGGGAAGTGAGAAAGGGAGTGTTTTAGGAAGGAGGCCCAGAGAGGGACCCTGAGGAGATGATATGTGAGCAGGCCCTGAGGGAGGTGAGTTAGGGAGCCTGGGGGAACATCTGGGAAGACAGCTTCTCTCCTACCATCCCCTCCTTGCAATGCGCCCGCATCCACATGGTTTTCTAAGAGGTTTTACTTCTAGCAAACAGAGAGAACTTGTAAGACAAAAACAACAAAAACAAAAATAGGTTTTCTCCTGTCTTCCCAAAGGTCCACCAAGATATTAAAGATGGGACTTGGGTGTCCATCTCTAAAACACTAAAACCAGACCAATCTGCATTGTAGAGACTCCAACCAGTGTCTTCAATTCCAAGCACTTTGCCTGAGGGAGAGGTTGGGCAGTGGGCAGGGATGGAGATGGATGAGTGGGAACAGCCGTGGGCTTGGAGGATTGTCCATGGGGTTGGAGGTGGGGTCTGTCCTTGCTCCACTACTTCTGCCAGGCCTCTGCAGACCCTATTGGGTTGGCGAGATGGTGAGACTTGGGGCCTGGGGTAGGGAGGGGATTATTCCAAGTGGTGGAGAAATTCCAAAAGGCAGAGCTGGAGATAGGAGGGTGATTCCCAGGGCCACTATTCTGGGGGGACCTTACACATATAAAATCAAAGGAATGAGTCTCTGGGTCACCAATGTCTACTATCCCTGTTCTAGGGATTCAAACAGCTGCTTTTAGACACCCAGTTTTTACTCTACAGCCGTATACATTAACCAGGAGGAGATTTGTGACATCAACAAGCAATGCTAAGATAACACACACATGGGCACGCACACACACATGCTGGATCCGAGAGATCTGACAGTCATTACCAAAAGCTGACAATTAGTTTGGTATCCAGCATGCAACTGGGGTCTGTAATTTCCAGGTCCAGAACTCTGCCATCTCTTGGTTTCTTGGCACCTGAATACCAGGTAAGGTTCAGACTTTGTCTGACACCCCCATTCCTTGTCTGAGGACAGCTTGCAACTTGACCTTTTTGATTATTTCTATTTCTCTCTGGAAATTCAAACAGATGTTGGCTCAGGTCTTGCACACTTGAAGAACTAGATCACGTTGTTCTATCTCTCAGCCCACACACTTTACCAAGAACACTGTCCTTCCGGGGGCTGACTCCTCATGATGGCTTCTGGCACTGAGCACCTGTTGCCAGAGCATCATCTCACCACCTGGCACGTGTGGTCCCCATGCCCCATGGTTTCCAGACTCAGAAATGGAACCAGCCCCACCATGATTCTCAGTCCCACCCTACTCCCAGCACACACACGCGTACACACACACTCATCCTGTCTGTACCTAGTAGACTTTGCTGAAGGTTTGGAATGATAGAAGAGGAGGAATGGCTAGAGATTTGGATTACAGCTGTGCAGATGACTTTTCAATTGCCACGTTTTTTTGTTCTTTTGCTATAACCACTTACCATCTATGCTACTGATTACTTAATATGTTTCTTCAAAGAGACTCTCTACTTAAACAGTTTATTTTATAAGAAAACTTTATATTATGATTGTAAATAGGAAACCTGGCATAAATAGAATATAAATAGACACACAAAAATAGTGTTATTCATAGAATTAGCTAAGATATATACCTAAAACTTGCTCTTTTCTTGTTAAAAGGAAAGCTGGCAAGAATTAGCAAAGTATTAAAGGCATATGAGCACCGAACTTAGACTTTCTCTTGTCATTATGATCATAAGAAGGATCAAAAGAGTTCATTTCCTCATTAGCTCATGAATTAGTGTTGTGCCCATGTGTCACCTAAAAATCACTTGAGTGCCACTGGAACTTTGGGAAATGCTAAACTAACCACTAATCAATAGTTATGCCCTTATATTTAATTTGCTCACTTTTTTTTCTCTAGACTGAAAGTCCCTCAAATGCAAACAATAGACTTGTATTTCTTAACAGTTTCACCCAAGAACCAGCAATTTTAGAGCTCATAATAGGCACTCAATAAATGTTTGTTGCCCTGGTCAAATCTAGCTGCATCTTAGGTTTAGAACTCTTGGCAGGCTGTGTTAATATATTTCTGGAGTTTTCTGGAGTATTATCATGCTCTTAAGAATCTCTGAATGACCCTGAATCAAACTGTTAGAAATATCAACTTCTTTCTAAGAATCCTAGAGAAGATACTTTTGAAGGTATCATCTCAGTTTCCACTCAGTTCCCGGGGTGCTCAAACTATACTATTTCTTTCTCTTTAAGAGTTCAAGGAGACAGATCAGCTCTGTGATACTGCCCTCACAAGACATGATCAGACAATCCAATTTTTTTCCTATGATGAAATTGATCTATAAAATGGCTCTCACACTCATGATGACAAATACTGAAATTTTGAATTAGCTCTTGAGCTCAATTTTCTTTTCCATGAGTATTTTATAGTGAGATCAACTTTCAGAGGAGAAGGTGCACAAAGACTCGTGAGTAACTTTGTCTCATTAACAACCTGGAGAAATCCCAAGCTTCTCTTCATTGTCCTTCCTGGTTTGTTTAGTGGCCTGAATGGATGGGTGGGGGTGGGGGAGGAAGAAAGAAAAATTGGTATTGAAAATTATACTTGAGAACATAAATCCTTTTTGTGAAGCAAAAGAAGAGCATGTTGATCTGTTCCAAAGATAGGTTTCTAGACTTCTTGGACTATGAATCCTTTTTTAAAAAATTAGCCTCATATTTAACATGTAAGGACAATGCCATATATTGCTATAGTTAAGGCCTGAGTAGAATCTCAATGAATCCCCAACAGAAGTGATTTGTTAGCAGGCACTTCAGATCACCAGCGACAATTCATTTCTGTAAAATAATGTAAACTAATTATCTACAATGCGGAAGCAAAGACTGCGCCTGCATGATAAATTGCAGAATATTGCATTATAAAAAGAAATATTAATTCACATAACATAAAATTAAAATTGATGACAAACTTTTTCCTCTTTTAATTGTTTAATTTTTTAATTACTATTGTCTTGCAGCAGCAGACATCACATACCTCAAGAGGCACACAAATGTATTTGCCTGAAAGCACATTCTTTGCAGAAAAAAATGTTTATTCAGAAAATGAGTGTTTATTAGTTCTTTCTTTTATTTCATGAAAATTTATTTTCTCTCCTGGGAAATAAATTTTAATGTGCTGTCTTTTTTTTTTGCAGTGGGAGGATTTTTTCCTAGCACACGAGTACATTTTTTATCAGAAAAAATCTTAAACTTTTAATAAAATGAAGGAAGCAAAACCATCAAGATAAACACAAAATTTTAAGAATTAACATTCTGGCTGGAGGGTTGCACTTTATACTTTCTCTCAACCACAAATTGTTATTTGCCACCATTTTCTCTCCTGAGCACTTAAGATAAACCCGAAAACCTGATGGAGAGATTCCTACCACTTAGTTCTCCTTATAGATGCAACAGGAAAATGCCTAAGTTATTTGTTTCTTTGCTGTTCCAAATGAAATTAAAAATATAGATCTTGCTAAGAATGCCAATCAAGCAGGTGGCTCTTAGGGCATTACATGATATGGTTTGGCTCTGTGTCCCCACCCAAATCTCCTGCTAAATTGTGATCCCAAGTGCTGGAGGTGGAGGCTAGTGCAAGGTGATTGGATCATGGCGGTGGTTTCTAATGGTTTAGCACCATGGGGGTGTTGTCTTGTGATAGAGTTCTAACGAGATCTGGTTGTCTGAAAGTGTGTAGCACCTACCTTTCTCTGTTTCTTCCTCCTGCTCCACCACGTAAAGAAGGCGCTTGCTTCCCCTTCACCCTTCTGCCATGATTGTAAGTTTCCTGAGGCTTCCCCAACCATGCTTCCTGTACAGCCTGTGGAACTGTGAGCCAACTAAACCTTTTTTCTTCATAAATTACCCAGTCCCAAGTAGTTCTTTATAGAAGTGTGAGAATGAATTAATACATTACACTAAGATTGGATGGTGGGAGAGACCATTTAATCAATGGGGCATTTCTAGGGCACCATCTTATTAGTGGTTCTTCATTCAAGCTACCAACCAACTTATCCCCGATCACTCCACAGCTTTCACTTCAGTGGCATCTGGAAATTTGGAGGATTTGAGTATTTAGACCCACAGCTCTGAATGAGTGGCCATGGGCCATGTGACTCTGCTCCCTTCCCTTCACAGCCAAGGCTGACTGGCCCAGAGGTCCTGACCCAAAAGTAACAGTTCTTTAGATAGCTGAGGACAAGTCTGGTACCAAGAGCTCTGCCTAAATCAAGGTGAGAGGGTCAATCAGAGTCCTCTCCTGGGAATATGAGCTGAGAGGCTGAGTTAGTTAGGGTTGTATAGATGGGCTGTGCTGTGTTGTAGACTGGTGGCCATCTTGAGTCAGATGGAAATCAAGAGGAGACAGACATAATCAGAACAAGAAAAAGCAGATACAATACATGGGGGTAGACCTTGAAGGAAATATGAAGAGTATTGATTCTTTAGCTTGTGACCATACTTGGCTCTATTGTTTTTGGATTCTAGACCTTAGCATCCTTGCAATAATACCCTCTTTTTATTTGCACTAGCTTGAGTGGGTTTCTGTGCCTTGCAAGCAAAATTGCCATGACCAGCATATCCTTTGAGGAAGCACATTGGCTGCTTCTCAATAGCCACCTCCTCTCACCTCTGGATCTTTACACGTCTTTTACACTCTGTCTGCCTGGAGCACCTTTCTTCTGCTTTCCTTTGCTGAATCAACAATTGCCTTTCCCTTATATCTGATGCAGAGACCCCCTCACCTCCCCAGATGACTTTGCAACCCTCCACAAGTTGGGTGGTCTTCTCCTGTTCCCACAGTCTCTCTGCTGTGGTCTTCACCACTGTGAAGTAATCAACATCTTATATGTCTGACTTTGAGCTCTGCAAAGCAAATGGAAAGACCATAACTTTCCATCTCTTTATTCTATGAAAACAGGACACCTTTTTTGTTGCAAGATGGAAAGCCTACAAATCAACAGATAATCTTGCAGATACGTTCTTTGACCTCGCATTCGAAATTCCTTCTCACCTATTTCTCACTACTGAGCCTCATATTCTATTCCATTCAGTAAAACAAAGATCTCAAAAGCCTACATGCAGGTACAAAAAAAAATAGAAAGAATGAAAGATCTAGTATTTGGTAGCAAAACAGAGTGACTATACTCAATAATAATTTAATTGTACATTTAAAATAACTCAAGGAGTATAATTGGATTGTTTGTAACACAAAGTATAAATGCTTGGGGTGACGGATACCCCATTTACCCTGATGTGATTATTATGCATTGTATGCCTGTATCAAAATAACCTATAGACCCCATAAATATATACATCTACTATGTACTCACAAAAATTAAAAGTTAAAAATTTCAAAAAGAGCCTACTTACGATGTGAAAAACACATGGTTGCCGATCTAGATGTCTGCTGTTCTTGAATCTTCCGCAGTAATTTCTTCACTTCAAGCCTTTGCTTGCAGAATTATTTCTATCATCAATGTCTCTCCTCATCCATCTCCAATTCTCAAAATCCTACGTCTCCCTCAGAACCCAGTGTAGGAACAAGCTCCTTCTCAAGGTCATCTCTGGTTTGCTTAATCGCCTCCTGTCTCCAGCAGAGAGGGGAATTGCCTTTCCAGGACCCCCTTGGCACTGTATGCCACCAGTCTTAAAACAGTCAGAACGGTCTGACCTGGATCCTGTCCCATGCCCCTCATTAAAATTATAATCTCCTCTAGGCCAGGAGCCCTGTCTTGTTCAGGGCACACCTGCCTTCCCCACTCCCCCATTAAATAAAGGATTTTTACCACTTAAAGTATCTTTGGGCTAGAAAAACCTTAATCTTCCAGGATATTTTCATCTTATCAGAGAGAAGCAAATGATAATAAAATAACATTGTGGGTTAAGGAAAAAAAGTCCCAAATTAATGCCTTGGATGTTCTTCCTCGTACCTGTTCTTCATCCACAGATTAGAAGGATAAAGGCCACAGTTTACAAATGATATATCTTAGATCACTCAGTTTTTCAGCCTCCATGAGAAATTTCAACTATGGTCACACTAGGTGTGATTAAGTGGACTGATCTGTCCTAGGAAATATTTCAGCAGCTATCAGACCAAAAAAGGTATTTTGATTTACTTAACCAGGATATTGATTACTGAAGTATGATACCTGCTGATCTATTGAAGTTTTATGGAAGTTAAGAAAAACTGGAGAGAAAAGATTTTTTTCCTTGCTCAGCTTTTTTATGTCTAAGCATTAGCACTTACTACTACTTATGCCTCAGAGACAGAATGGGCATCATCTCTGCAAAACAAAATAAAACAAAACAGGCTCGGTATGGTGGTGCATGTTTATAGTCCCAGCTACTTGGGAGGCTGAGGCAGGAAGATCACCTGAGCCCAGGAGTTCAAGGCCAGTATGGAGAATGTGGTGAGCCCCCGTCTCTCAAAATAAAAAAAAAATTAAAAATAAAAAAGCCAGAACTACCATAACATGTTACCATAAAACACTTATTGAACACCTACTATGTGTCAGGTATTGTTCAAAGAGCTAGGATCCCTGAGAAGTAGGAACTGTCATGTCCCCACTTTGTAGATAAGTAAAATGAGGCACAGAAGGATAAATGACTTGTCCAATACCAGACAGCTGGTATATGACGGAGCTGAGACTTGAATACCACCCGGCTGGGCCATTAAGCTGTTACTCTCAACTGTTGTGCTCTACTCTACAGAGTACATAGGGGATCAGGGTTGCCTGCAGGAGGGATTTTAATTTATACCTTCATCTGCTAATAACTAATCACTTGGCTTTGTATTATTGCAATGTAGGAATTTCAAAAGTGAATTTCCTTCATCTTACCTGTTCACTAATGAAATAAATCATGAAACAGAGCAGGTAGAGGATATTTGACTCATGGCACAAGTAGGGTAGGCTCTCAAAAGTCAATCCCTTTTCCTAAATTTCCATTTCACCCTTCTCTATATACTTTGGCAGGATCTCTCAAATTTCTGTGACTTCAGCCCCAGTGTTCTGTTATTTTCCATGTACCAACCCCGACTCCCCATGTACTCCCAACTCTTCTCTGACCTCTGAGGACTGCATCGTCCAGCTCTCCCTTGACTCTGGCTTCTGGCTAGGTTGTTGATAGAAGGCACCAGCAGGATGTTGGAAGGTGGAAGGAAAGAGAAGTCAGGGTATTATTTCCCTCTCCCTCCCGGCTTCCCAGTAGAGCGGCTATCTCCTGCCTCCAAAGTCCTAGTTCCCATTTGGTTCTGGGAAAACCATCCCTTCCCTCACTACTCGGCTGTAGGAGGCTAATGGCTTCTCACTGTTGCTAGTCCCTGGGTGCTGCCATTCCTGCTGGTTCTCCTAACCCCACCCACATCTGCATAACTCATCATCATTTTAACCTCTTTCCAGTTCAAACTCTTCAAGCATGCTGTTTTGCTTTATCCAATGATGACTAATTATTTACCAAATATTTTTTCCATCAATTAAATTATTTTATATTTAATTATTTACAGATATTCAATCCCTATTATAAATGGAACATCATGTTCATTTACCATAAATTGAATTACAACCATTAAAAAAAAAAAACAGGGCAAACAGGTCAATATCAGTCAACTCTAGCTAGCTGTTATTGCCTGCCTCCTCAGGCTCTGAGCCTGAGTTCTGCCCTCTCTGGTAAAAATCAACATGAACAAGAGTGAAAAAGTTGTCAGAGACATCCTACCACCAACCTGAGACTTCCCAGCTGGTACAATCAGAAGGATCGAGAGAGGACTGTAACAGGAATAACTTTCTCTTGGTGTGAATCTACGTTATTTGATACCCATCTGGAAGATAATTTGTGTCTCAGCTTTTGGGTAACACTGCCCCACAGCAACCAGTAGCAAGTAGCTATGGACTCAATTAATAGCCTCCAATTATGTCTTCGAGGTGAATCTCAAGGATCATAGAAGATACTAGATAATTCTAGAAGAGACTGGAAGATGATTCTAACGTAAGGAAGCATAGTATCCACTCATGTACTTGCATGAAACAATTAGTCCTCTCTTAACAACAACACTAACACCAACAAAGGCATATGCTTTTTGCTTCCAAGAGAAGTTGGTCTTTGCTAATACTCTTCACAAGGCAAACTGAACGAACAGGAACAAGTGGTTCGGCCTCAGAGAGTGCAGTGTCAACATGCATGTGTGCAGAGGAGCATGTTCCCATGAGGCTCTAAGTATGCGAGGAAGTTAAACTTTACCAAAGCAAACATTTTAAGATATGCACATTATGATACTTCTTATTGGCTGATGAGAATGATACAAACAACATCAACATGTTCCTCTTTCACAGTCTGATCACCATGAACTAATATTAATTCCACAATGTCAGCAGCAACAGTGTTCATCAGAGATACAGGTTGCTAGTCCCAGCTTGGTTGAAAATACTCATTTAAAGCATGTCCAGGGCCTTTTTTTTTGTTACATTCACCCAGCCCTGTTGTTCCTGCTGTGTTTTATTAGGCAAATATAAAATTAACAACACAGCAATAATTATTTCCTAAACTGGTTCCAACACAAATTTCCAATTTGAGGTCAGATGTATTGCCTAATAAAATTTTTACAGCTGCAGTCAAATCGTGGTAGTTAATTCCTGGAAAATACAATTCTTAATTCGCCAGAATTAGTTTTAAGTCTTGATTCATCCCATAAAGACGAGTGTGTATTACTGCAGTTTATACAAAATGTTCAAATAGTAATATCCAATATAATAGCTTGCATAATTTCAGCTAATTCAATGTTAGAGGTATTTGACCTACTTATACTTTCACTGAACCATACATCAGGGCTTTAAGATCATTGGGTCTGATCTTTCTAAATTGCCCTTTCCCGAACTGCGTAAGTATTGCTTAATGCCATGCAGCTAAACATGGAATCGTGTCAAAGAGGAAAGAATAATTAGAATATCCATGAAGTGGGGTTCTATTTATACTACTATTGCTACCAGCCATTTGTTACTTTAAGACCTATGCCTTAATCACAGTCTCTGAGCCACTGCTCTGAACTGCAAAATTCACACACATGTACCTGCAGAATTCAAAACTCATTTCATCTGCTCAGGGTTCCCAAAGAGTACTTATAAAACAATTAAAATAGTAAATGCAGGAATAATACTAATAGCAAATATGTTCAGCACCCATTATGTACCAGACCCTATTTTAAGTGTTTTACATATGGTAACTTTTTAATCCTTGCAACTATCCCAGGAGGCAGGTTTTATTTTACTCATTTTACAGACAAGGAAACAGGGGCAGAGATGGTAAGGAACTTCCCACATACAACAAGGTCACATGGCAAGTGACAGAGCTGGAGTTCAAATCTCGGAAATCTGGCTCTAAAGTCCCTGCTTTTACTAAATAGTATTATTACTTTATTTATTTATTACATAGAGACTGGGTCTCACTCTGTCACCCAGGCTGGAGTAAAGTGGTGCAATCACAGCTTACTGCAGCCTCAAACTCCTGGGCTCAAGCAATCCTCCCACCTCAGCTTCCCAAGTAGCTGGGACCACAGATGTGTGCTATCATGCCCAGCTAATTTTTAACAAATTTTGTGTAGAGATGGGGTCTCACTGTGTTGCCCAGGCTGAGCCCCTGTTTTTGACCATGCTACGATATTATGTAAAATAAAAAATCTTACCAAAAACAAATAAATTATCAGAATTCACCATGTATGGTAAGGATTTTTTTCTTCTATGTGCTGAGGGCAACAGAAGAGAAATTAGACTCGTGAAATATTTAAAAATAACAAAAACAAATAAGAGAATAGTGCTTGAGGTTCTGCTTCATGGGTTGTCTCATGCAAATATATTTTTTTTCTAAGTGTCTAAATCATGCTTTGGCATCAGCAAGGATCTAGAAAATTCGCCAAGGATAAAACCTACAGACTTCTGGAAGAGGCCGTCTTCTGCCAACCACATGCAGCCTGAGTTCTTAGTGAGGACCATGCAAGTTGGGTCATGCTTTCTTTGGCCTCTGGAAATAATTTGTTCCTGGACCAGAGTCTTGGCACCCGGTTGCAGGGTGGTGGAGAGGGCCAGACTTTTGTACCTTGATAGACCTGAGTTAATTCCTGTTTGGCCACTCCTTAACCATGTGCCCTAAAGCAAAGTACTTAGTGGGTTTTTGCCTTCATTTTCCACATTGTAAGTAGGGTTGTATCTTTTTTTTTTCTGTGTAGTCCATTCACCCTACTTTTAATGCTCTGATTTCTCTGGCAGTTAGAGTTCTTGAATTGCAAGCAACAGAAACCAAGTCTGGCAAACCCAAGGAAAATGAATTCACTGGAGAGACATGGAAGCCACATCGTGAAATGGAAAACCCCAGAAAGAGCTGGAGAAGGGACAAGAATGAGAGCTGCTTGGAGCTGCAGCAAAGACAGAAAGAGACAAAGCATGCCAAGTCCACGGTGTTGTGAAAGCACTCAATAAAGATTCATTCTTCCCCCTTCTGTCTCAAGCTCCCTTTCACCAAATTCTTCATCCATTCCAACACATACTGTGCGCCTACTCTGTGCAAAGCACATTGAGCAGTATGAAGAATGTAAAAATGAATAACTCAGTCCCTGCCAAAAAGTCAGCCATGCCCTCACCCAGGGTATTATTTTATGTTGTTGAGAAATACCCAAATGAATCATTCATCTCTGAAATAAATGGCTAATGTCAAAACATTTACTAATGCAGACAAAGCTGACTGAAATAAATGGTTGAATAACCCATTGTTTGGAAATCTACAAGAGTAATATATATTACAATCGGATAAATCAAAATTACAAAGGATTTTCTGCTGCTTTTCAAAATGCTTGCCAGAAGTCTGTCAAATGACAGTTGGAAGGATAATAAGTTTAATAAGTGGTTGCGGGTTACCTCCAGGGAACGAAACCAGGGAGTGGGGCTGAGGCGGGGAAGGGAGTGGCGGTCGGGGGGCAAGAAGGAAGGTCACTTCCCATTTTATAATTTCCTAAAGTGTGTGGATTTTTAAACTGAATTTATGTATTTATTTTATAATAATTAAGTAACTAGTTAAATAACAATATATTCATTAGGGTATTTTTAAAGAAATAAAAAACCAGCTTGAGCTAGCGAAGGCAAAAGAGGGAATTTAGTGGCTTAGGATGTAGGCAGGGAGGGAGTGGAGGTGAAACCAGGGCCTGGACATTCTCTCTTTATCTCTCCATCTAGGTCACTAACTCTTGTCTCTGCATTGTTCATCCATTCGCTGTTGCCGTGAACTAGAACCTCCGCTAATGGCTGTTCCTGGCCTCACATCCTCACAGCTTTGTGACTGGAAAAGAAAACAGTTTTTCCCTCTAGTTCCAGCTGGCAAATCCCCAGGAGAGGACCCGACTGACCTGGCTAAAGGCTGTTGCCTACCTATAAACTAGGGTTGAGAGAGCGTCATTAGCTCAGCGTGGGTGAGGCGATGACTCCTCACTAATCAACACAGCAGGGAGCGGGAACAATGTGGCTCTCATTTGATCCACACGCAGGGAGGAAAAGGAGCTGGGTAGAGCCAATCTAGAATGGAGGGAGTTGCTAGGAGCTGGGTGGCTCTTCCATTGTGTCCCCCGCAGTCTCTTACCTGACTCATCTGTGGACCCTGGTCCTCATACATCTCACACCAAGAGTCTTGGCTCAAAGAAGACCTCAGGAACCAGATCCTCAAGCTTGGGCAAGCCTTCTTATGAAAATGAAATAACTTGAGTGTCTGAGTCTTTTCCACTGAAGCATAAGCATTGAGTTATTAATTATTCTTGCTTTCCTTTTGAGGCAAATCCCATCAGATCAAGGACAGAACTATAAGCCCCTTGATTTCTTCTCATCTCTGCATTCCCAGCTCTTTGTATTTATACCATTAGTATTAACTGACCACTTACTATGTGCCAGGTGCTATTCTAGAGTCTGAGCATGCAATAACAGGCAAAACATGCCTTACAGAGCGTGTGTTCTAGTGGATGAGACAGCAATAAACATATATATATACACACACACACATATATATGCACACACACACACAGGCACACACACACAAACATCTTCAATCATTTCAGATTAGGATGTGGGCTATGAAGAGCCTTAAGGCAGGGTGTGGGGACAAAGAGTATTAGTGTGGAAGGAGGACATTTTAGAGATGTGGTCAAAGATGACTTCTTTGGAGAAGTGACGTTTGAACAGAGACCTGGGTGGAGTGGAGTGTTTTCCAGGAAGATTCAACAGTGTGGACAAAGGCCTAAGGTGAAAATGAACTTGACATGTTTGAGGAGCAGCAAGGTGGGCATCCCAGCCAGAGCAGAGGAAAAAGGGGGCAGATGGAGGGAATTGAGGAGGGAGAGGCTGCTGGCCCCCATCACGTGCCGCCTTCCAGGCCACAGTGAAGACTTTTCATGTTATTCTAGGTGTGATGGGGCGCCTTGGAGTGTTTCAACCCGGAGAGTGACATGATCTGATTTATGTTTATAAAGTGCCTGGCCAGTGGTAGGCTCTGAGTAAATATTTGTTAACAATTTAAAAAAAGAAAAAGAACTCAGATAAAAAAATGTTTTAATAGGCTCCTTGGCAGGAGAGAGCCCGTGCTCCCTGTTAATAATGAAAACAGACTGACATTTGTCCAGTGCTCTCTAGTTTACAAAGCTCTTTCACCCCGATGATCTCATCTGACCTCTCATTTGGAGGAAGATATATGACCGCACGACATCAAGGCTCATATGTGTCTCTACAGCTGTTAGAGAAGAGTCTAAGCTTAGGGCTCTGAAGATGCCACGGGCCTCCTCAGTGTGCTCTCCCAGATGGAGGCAGGGAGATTCTCACACTCTTCTCAGAACCATCCTGCAGGCTTAGTTTTGCCAGTCAGAGCCCCCGAGGAGACCAGATCAAGAGGAGATTATGTATGCTCTGGAAGATTTGCTTTTTTTTTCTCTCTTTTCTACTCAAACATGAGCGTTTCTTAGGTGGTTAAAAAAGAAAAATTATTTAACGTGCCCCTCAGGCCTGGGATTAAGGCCATTAGAAACCATGGCAGCAGGGGGCCCCTAAAGCACCCCTGATTTAAAGAGCTGGTGTCAAGGCCCTCAGTTACATCATGGGACCACCGTCCAGAGCAGGACTGGACAGCCACCACCCCCAGACTCATGGCGCCTCATGCCATGGCCTCAGAAATCACATCGTCCTCCTGGTCTCTCAGCTTTAGTTAAAGTCATCTTTCCTGTGCTATGCCTCCACCCAAATGGGGAAGGCGGACTTTCACCCACTTTTTCTGGGGCCGACCAAAGAGAGAGAGGGAAGGAAGAGAGGGGCTAGATTCCCCAGGTTCCCTCCCACTATTCTAACCTCTTCTCCAGGTAAGTCAGGGTGTCCGTCCCAGTTGTCTCACTGTCAATCCGTGACCTTGGGCAGAGGCAGAGGCAGCTGTCTGGTGGGGCAATAGCAGATTTGAAACTCAAGGGTTCCCGGTTCAAAGGACTGGCAAAACATTGAGCCTCTTCCAGCTCAACCCCCTTAATACAGTCCAGGGATTGGAGGCCCAGAGTTCAACAGTACTGGTCTTAGCGGCTGGCCTTTACCATTGAAATGCCATCTCTGCCACTTTAGATACAGTGCTTAAAACGTCCTTAGCCTCTGAATATTTTTAAACATTTCTTTGTGCCACCTTCAAGCTACGTCTTACAAGAATCATAAAACAGGGCCCTTAGAATTTGTGGAATGAATGCAATTGCTAACGGGCTGCCGTATAATCATCAGCAAAATACATGTCTGCGTTCTGGACGCCAATATACAGTCATAATAGAAAGAAAGTAAATCTACATTTTCTGTTGTCAATCATGTTTATTAAATTGAAAAAAAAGTCTCCTCTCCCAGGCAGTCTGAAAAGTGGGAGGAAGATGAATTTATTCTATGTTGGAGGACTAGGCTAAAAATGTAATTAACAGATGCAATTATGCATTCTGATGCAAAGCGCTCCAAGCTGACAGGGAACTTATAGTGGAGCTCCCAGGCCACAGGCTCCAAAACCTCTAACAACTTTATTCTTATACGCTGGCCTACGGTTCAATCTTGCTTCCTTTGAGTATCTTCTGCAAATAAAAGGCCCTATTCTTCAGCTTCCCCCAGCTTTATTCGGAATGAAAACACCACTTTGTGCCCACGTTGTGTTAAAATAACAGATTTGTGTTCGTTCCTGTAGGTTTCTGATGGCAGGAGGGAGGCGGTCTATCTTCACTGCGGATGGCGAGGTGCCTTTTGGAGGAGGAGGATGGAGAGAAAGGGTCTCCAACAGCGAACCTTTGTCCTGCAATGCAAATGAACCTCTGCAAAACAGGGCGCAGACAATGCCAGCCTAGTCCTCTGCGCGAAGCGATCCATCTGCAGCTATTTTGTTAACCTGATGTTTCTTACATTCTTTCTCTCATACAAAATACTTGATTTTGACAGCTGTGAATTTTAAACAACCATTCTGTGTATGTTTTTCTAATTTTGTGTATTCAGATTGTTTCTCCATATTGGGGGGGTTGGAAGCCAAGTACTTTACATTCCTTCGTTTAGAGATTTCATGCTTTTCGAAAGTCGTGGCGGTTCTGATCGCTAAACAAAGTAGAAATGAAGTGTGCTCACCAGCAGCATTGGAATGACCGGGGAGTGCAGAAGCACTTTTGAAATAAAAAAGGTTGCACAAGCGGACTGGAGGCAGGGCTCAGGAGTGACACATCACTCAGTCACACTCTGGTGGCCCCAGGAAGCTGCGTCTGCCCTCACTTACCTGTAAAATGGGGCTGCAACAACATTCTCACAAGGCAGAAAATAAAGATCTCATATATCCAGGTCCATCAACCCAGTTTTATTTCCCCTTTCCAGCTCTAGTTACATTGTTCTGGCAGCCAATCTTTCTTCTTAGGTAGCATGCAAAGGCATGGATTTGTTTTTAAGCATGAAGGAAAACAAAACGTGCTCTCAGACTGAGGCTAGCGTTGATAAGACACCACAATTGGGTGCATGGTTTTAAAACTGGTTTATTTATTTATTTATACCTTTGCCTCACCGATAGAAGGCAGTTCACCACCCAAACCACAAATGATAAAAACAAAAACTCTGGACAAGAAAAAAGGAAGCTGCAAATAGGGCAATTATAAGGCTCATTTTGTTTGCTACCACTGAGCTTTGAAATCTGACTCACAGCTTCCTGGCAGCAAGAGTGAAAAGGGGATGACGATTAATGACAAAGCCTCACTTCACTGGAGTATACAGTTCTTCAAAGGAGAGAAGAATTTTCCAGATGCTTCATTTTCAAATAAATTCTGCACTCAGGGCTCTTTATAACGGGTCAATGAGAACAGAAGTTCGCTGTCAACTGTGAGAGCAAACAGAGCTGCAAAATTGCCAGGGCCAGAGCAAAAAAGTGAAGCAAAGGGGCACCTGTCTAGTGCCCATTCCAGTTGTCTGGTGGTGGGCTCACAAAGTCTTATCTTGAGAAGGATTCAAGACCACATCTAAGCTGGGCAAAAAAGAGGCTACACTATGTTAGAGATGCCTGCCATAGGCAGAGGGCAGATGATGGCCCACACGTGTGCTGAATAACTCCTAACCTTGGCTAAATAAATACAGCACAAATGAGCAGGTTTCTGGTCTCCAACTTGATCCAAAGATAGAGCTCTAGGGGTTTAGTAGACTGGATGGCAATCAGGATTTTTAGATGTCCCTGAATAACACTTTTCTCAGCTGGGACTCTGAGAGGAGGTAGAAGGCTGATTGGAGTTTCTATCAATGCTTTGAAGGCAAAGCAAGCAGATGGTGGGCTTGACAGCCGAAACTGTAGAAGCCTGAGCTGCAAACACACCCGATTCAGGGCTGTACCACCTCCACACAGGCATGGACCAGATACTCTTTTTTTGTAATTTGTAAGATATTTTTTCCTATAGGATACACTTTAGGGAATTTCCTCTTTCTATATTTCACATTTCTCTATTATTTGAACTTATAACACAAATCAGAGAAGAGTATACTTATTTTAAATATTTAGATATTAAAATATTTAATATTAAAATAATTTAGACATTATTTTAAATTAGTCTTCCCTTTTTTCTTTCTTTCTTTTCCTTTTCTTTCTTTCTCTTTTTTCTTCTTTCTTTTCCTTTCTTTCTTTCTTTCTTTCTTTCTTTCTTTCTTTCTTTCTTTCTTTCTTTCTTCTTTCCTTCCTTCTTTCTTTCTCCCCTTCCTTCCTTTCTTACTTCCCTTCCTTCCTTCCTTTCTCCCCTTCCTTCCTTCCTTCCTTCCTTCCTGCCTTCCTTCCTTCCCTCCCTCTCTCTCTCTCTTTCTTTCTTTCTTCCTTTCTTTCTTTCCTTCACTACAAGTATGCCAACAACCTGTAAGGACTATCTTTAGAGTTCAGTAAAGCAAAAATTTGATCAATAGGAACTCATCTAATGGTTTCATTCACTCTACCCTTGGAAAGGAACAGATAATAAGAAAAGAAGCTCAGAGTCTATGGTGGCCACAGATCTTTCACAGACCCTGAAAATTCACTCCCTCTTACCCCGTCTTCAGGGTCTCTACTTGGACAGGACAACAGTCAACAGGGTATCCCGAAGGCCTGTCGTCAAGAAAACAAGTTAACAAACAACAACAACAAAACCATTCACTTCATCAATAATCAAGGCAGGAAATACAAAGTAATACCCTGGAACAAAAATGGTTCAAAAATGAAATGGGTTGTGCAGAAGGCAGAAAGTCCAGGTATCTTGGCTAGATCCAGAGGCACTGCCCTTTGTGCACCTAGACCTCAAATTCTCTTTTAGTTGCAAGACTCTGCCATCCTGAGAGTGTCTGAACACGTTTTTCAGAAGACTCTGTAACAACAGTGAATTTTTCAAAGCAGTTTTCTGGTGAGGCTTCAATTAACCAGAAAATCAGATTAATTGTGCATGAACTTCTATTTCTGGGAACAGTTTGACCCATGGAATATGCAAGTAAGACGTGTAAAAGTAAGACGTGTTAAAATGGGGCTCTCTGGTATTTGCTTTAGAGCATGGAAGAATGGGAAAACAAGACAGTGAGGGCTGGGGGCCAAAGAAAATGCTATATTTAGATGTGCAGGGCTTTGTTTGGCCCTGATACCATCGTAGACACAGTTAGTCGGGAACAAGGGGGCCATTCAATCAATCCACCTGACACGCTGTCGCCGGCCCGTGCGTTCCACAGGCACAGAGCTCAAAACCATCCTGAAAGAGGCTGTCGACTGAGAAGAGGTAACAGCTGCTCTGTGGCAATTAACCAGCAGTTTCTGTTGCTGAAGGAGATTATTTTGGATGGCGTAAAGAGATTCAAATAAAAATGTCAACGTGCCCATTATGGATGAAAGTTAGAAAAACTTAAGTGGCCCTGAATTAATCACTATTTGACAGGAAGGCACGTAAACGAGTACTAAAAATCCCCCACAAATCTATTTTCCTGCCTTTTTGGTGATTGTAAAGAAGCTCACTGGGGGTGGGGAGGGCATTTCTTGGCTGCAACCTTAATTCATCTTGGAGTGAAGATTTAATGACAAAGTTACAAGCCCTTAAAGTAGCATTTATTGAGGGGCTAATGAGAGTTCCTAAGAACTCTGAAAAAAAAAAAGAAAAAGAAAAAATAGCAGCCACTAACACAAGAGGCCTTTGAAAATACCGAAGAGAGGGGAGTTCATTAGTCTTTTTTTTCTTCCCCTTTCTCAACAATGAATGTTTCTGCTGCCAAACCTTCAGGAATAGGGTTGGTTTCCTTTCAAGTAATTGATGCAGACTTTGCTTGTGCATCGGAGTCCAGACACTCTTTCCAACAAGAAGCAGGAAATCTCACCGTCAAAGGGAAACTGTGCATTCCTTCCTCTCTGGCTGGGTCGGGGCCTTGCAAACAGTGGATTTATGCTGCCCTTGCCAAAAACACCGCCGATTTCCACGCCCTCCCATGGCTAAGATAACGAATGCTGCCTTCGGCCTCTGAGAGCTGCACTTATTTAAAACTCCAGCTATGCTGTAACAAAACCGGCTGCTGTCACCCCAAATCGAGCAAATGAGCCCCTGTCCTACAGCATAAAGGCTAAGAGAGTTATTGAATGTCCCCTGCGGAGAAGGCCCCATTTGCCCCTGCCGTCCCTTAGCATTCCCCCTCACCCCTCTTCTCGGCCCTCTCGCCTCCACTCCTCCATTCCAGGAGCACAGGAAGGAATAGCTGTGGCTGGTCTGTTCCGAAAGGATCGAGTTTTCTTAAGTCAGAATTTTTTTCTTTTAAAGAAAAAGCAGAAGTGGAAAGGAATGTTGTGAAGAAAATGGAAGCTGGCAAAGTGTTTTAACTTCAAATAATCTTCCCGTCAATGCTGACACCCAAACGTAATGCTCTTTTGTAAATGTAAATATAACTGAACAGTTATAGGAAGTGGAGAAGGAAGGAGAGGGGCTGTAAACCGCCAAATGTAAAACAGGTATCGTGACTTCTGGTCGCTCAAGACAGAGAGAAGCATTGCTTTTGGAGCTATTATCCCCAAGGAGTCTCAAAAATGATCTACAACATGTAATTAAACTGACATGCAGAAAACATGTGTATTTAGAAAATGCTCTCACTGTTGTTTATGCCTAACCAAAACATTCCATTTCTCTCAGGATACAAAAGGAAGGTTTTGCAATAAAAGTGCCTCCATTTGGAGAATACATTTATTAAAATGCTATTTTCCACGTCTGCATTAATCTGAGATCTGGGAGATGATTCCTATTTGTACAATACCCTCCTGCTTGGGAAGGTTTATGCCTCGTGGCACAATATCAATGGTTTAGTAGCCAGATTGCCTAATTCTCAAAGAACTGTTTGCTTGACATCACCTAGGGAGGAACTCAGACTAATTCACCCCTCATTGGGACACGTGCATATTTCTGAGAACATCTCTTTAAATACAGTCACACCCTGAAGGCTGCACATCATACGTTTTAATTCCTAAGGGTGACAAAATTCAGCACAGCTTAAATGGATTTTTTTCAGCTGCATATAAATAGTCTTCAGTTCCAAGGGTGAAGCTAGGTGCCAACTGTTGGCTAAAATCACAAGGGAGAAAACACACCTTGCTGTCTTCAGGACTCGTGCTGTTGGGACTGAGAATACTAAGGGTGACTATAATAAGAAGAATATTAATAGTAACCATACATAATGTTATTATCATAGTAGCTTTCATCTATGTACCAAATAACGGGGGAATACTTTGTATTCATTTTCTCAGTTAAATCAGGCAACATCCTTTCAAGACTGGTAGTATTAGCTTCACTGTAAAGATGAGAATTCAGGAGCTCAGAGAAGTTAATTAATGGCCCATGTTCACACAGTGAGTAGATGGAAGAAGGAGAATTCAAACCAGAACTGGCCTAAATACAAAGCTTTCTTTCGAATCACTACCCTAGTCTGTTCTTTCCACAGCTACCTGCGTGCACATATGACTGACTTTGTAGCCATCCTTTCTTCCTTATAAACTCTGGTCTGCCCAACATATAACCCTGTGCTTCACAAGGGAGGCTGTGTAATCTAGTGATTAAGAGTGCATGGACCAGTGTTAGATTGCTTGGCTCTGAAACCTGATTCTATCACTTACCAGCTGGGTGATCTTGTGCAAATTTCCCAGCCTGTGTCTTTACCTCTAAAATGGGAATATCAAACATTCTTATATAATATGGTTGGTTGTCGTAAAAATAAAATGGGATAATGTACTTAAATGTAGCATAATTTCTAGCACATACTAATTACTCGCTTAGTGTTCGGAGAGAAGAAAAGAAAGAAAGAAAAAGGAAAAAAGGAAGGAAGGAGAAAAGATAAAGGAAAAGAATAGAAAGAGGGAGAAAAAAAGAAGGAAGAGAAAAAGAAAGGAAGAGAGAGGAGAAAAAAAGAAAGGAAGGAAGAAGGAAGAAAAAACAAAAGCAAACCAGAGGAAGGGGACACGTTCTCACAGCCACAGAGGGAAACCATTACCAACAGGGGATGCTGGAATACAGACAGCACCTCAAGGCTTCAGACAAGCCTAGTGGGCAGGACCCAGGGCCAGTCATACTATTTATTGGCTCTACTTCCTTGGTGTTGGCTCTATTCAAAGGCTGACTCATCCCAGCAGGCTCCCAAGACTATGCTTACAGTTTTCCAGCTTCCCAGGAAGTGAAACCTGCAGGAGAAGTGAAACCACCTTGCCCCAGCATTCTCAACTTTGATCAGGTCACATGCTCACTTCTCAGCCAATCTCCAAAGCTTGTGGAATGCCACATGCTGATTGGCTTTCTCCCATCACATGCTTCTCTTCCGGCTCAGGAAACAGAGTCCAGTGTACCAGAAGCCCAGAGATGGAAAATGGAAGAAGAAATCATTTCCTAGAGGGAAATGGGGGTGCAATTACCAGGAAAAGAATAAATGCAGAAATGACAAGCTGATGTCTACCACAAGCAAAATTTGCCTTCCGAGTGCATAACCTCTTCTTGGCATTGCTTGTGTCAGTTGAGTCGGTGTGGTCAAGAACTAGTGTTCTAAGATCTGTTGACTTTGGCTTGAGCCCTGGCTCCATTATTTACTAGCTGTATGACCCTTGGCAGGTTAACCCAGCTCTCTCTGCTTCAGTTTCTTCATTTGTAAATGTGGTTAATAATATTACTCTTCTCATGGTTTGCTAAGTATTATATATGTATATATAAAGCACATAACATGATAACAGTACATGCTAAGCCCCCCAAATTTTAGGCATTTAACATTCAACAGATATTTGTTGAGCACCTACTACATGCCAACTACGTGTTAAGTACTTGGAATACACTGGTGAACCAAACAAAAGGATAACAACAAAAATCCCCTGACTTTGTGGAGTTAACATTCTAGTGTAGAAAGACAAATAATAAAAAATAAACAAAATAAGAAAATATATGGTATGTTAAGTGAAAACAGTGTAAAACAAAAGTAAGTCAGTGTAGAGGGGATTAAAGTAGTGGTGGTAAGAAAGGACAGGGTAGTCAGGGTAGGACCCGTTAAACTGGTGACATTAAAGCAAAGATTTGGAGGGGTCGAGTGAATTAGACAATAGGATATGTGGCGGGAGGGTGTTCCAAGCAGAAGGGCTAGGCAGTGCCAAGTCCCAAGGTGGGAACACACCTACAGTGTCCCAGGAGCAGCAAGGGACCAGTGTGGCTGGAAGGTTAGAGGTGACATCAGCAAGATAAGACAAGGCCAGATCAGGAAGAATATGGGAACCCCATGAAGACTTTGAATTTGACTCTGAGGGACATGGGAGGAGGGTTTACCTGAAATGACTTATTTTGTGCAAGGGCACTGTGTGTCAAAAAATAGAGTAACTCCTGATGATGATGATGACATATGCATTCACCTGTTAAAGAAGCAAGTGCGTTGCAAAGCTTACTGTGAAATACACCCAGAGCAAATGCCACCGGTGTGCTGTTTGGTTCCTACCTGAAGGTGAAGATGCACCTGAGGTGCTCCTGTGGCACATCTTCTTTTCCGCCAAAGCGATAAGTCACCGAGATTTGCAGATTCTTGACATTTCGTTTGCACTTGCTATTGTAAATGACCCCTTGGAAGAGGTCTCCTCTGTTCAAGCAAAACTTCTGTCAGGAACACCACTGGTCTCACGGAAACCATGGTTTTCTGAATCAAGAGCCACAGTGAGAGCTTGTTGAAGATTTAAATGGCTTCTGATTTCGGCCCAGTAATTCCATTTTAACGTAGGTATCTGGCAGTTTTGGCATTCAGCTTGTTTAGCATACCTTACAGCATCAGAAATTCTAAGAACTGCCAGGTGGAGCCTAACAAATAAGTCCCAGCAAGTAGATGAAGAGTGTCTATGGTGATTCTCAGGAGTGGATGGACTGTGTTTCAGAGGGGTGGGGCCAGATGGAAGGTGATTTATATGACAGGTTGTTTTAGGTAATTTAATGCAATCTCTTAGAAACTTCATGCTGCCTTGGTAAGGTTTGGGCTTTCTTTGCAGAGATGAAGAGAGAAGTTTCCCTCTATTAAACACCTAGCTAGAAGCATAGGACACAGTGACTGTAATCCTAGTTAGACTTGTAGATAGTTCACTGTGCTGTAAGGATGAGAGATCCCAGGAGACCATTCAATGGAGAAAGATGCCTATTCAAGTGTTTAGTATCCCCAGTCTCTTAGAAGCCATTAAGAAATCTCATTTGCGAATTGTCTAAAACCTTTTGGGATCCACTGAAGCTTTCAGTTAGTATTGTCTGTAAGACTAATAATTTCCTATGTTTGTTTGTCTACCTTTCGGTCTTTTTAAAAAGCTTTTTATTAAAGTACACCATTTATATAGAAATGTGCACAAATAGCATTGTACAGGTAGACGAATTTCCACAAAGTGAACATCCTGGTGTAACCAATGCCTGGAACAAAGAGAACATTGCAGGTCACATGCTTTCCAATGGAAACCACTTTTTGGACTTCTAACACCAAAGAGTAGGTGGGGCTGAGTCTTTAAAACTCTATATAGGCCTGGTGCGGTGGCTCACACCTGCAATCCCAGCACCTTGGGAGGCCGAGGCGGGCAGATCACAAGGTCAAGAGTTTGAGACCAGGCTGACCAACATGGTGAAACCCCGTCTCTAATAAAAATACAAAAATTAGCTGGGCCTGGTGGTGTGTGCCTATAATCCCAGCTACTCAGGAGGCTGAGGCAGGAGAATCACTTGAACCTGGGAGGCGGAGGTTGCAGTGAGCCGAGATCGTGCTATTGCACTCTAGCCTAGGCGACAGAGCAAGACTCTGTTAAAAAAAAAAAAAAAAAAAACAACTCTATATAAATGAAATGAAATGCTACTGTGTATCTTTTGTATCTGACTTTTTTCCTTCACTATTATGTTTGTGAAATTCATCCATATTGTTATCTGTAGCAATAGTTTATTTTTATTGCTATATTCCACTTTATGAATATACTACAATTTCTACGTCCAATTTACTAATGGATTTTTGAGTTGTTTCTAATTTTTTACCATTATAAATGAAGCTTCTATACATATGCTTGGAAAACAGGTATTTATTCCTCTTGGATATATACCTAGGATGCAAATTGCTGGGTCATAGGTGATGCATGGGGTGAGTAGCTATTGCCAAACAGTTTTTCTAAGTGGTTCTACCAATTTTTCCATGAAAGTTCCACTTACTTCACATCCTTGACAACTTTGGCATTTTCAGTCTTTTTCACATTAGCCATCTGGTGGGTGTGAAGTGGTAACTCACTGTGACTTTAATTGTAAACTATTATCTTGAAAATCAACTATTAAGCATTTTTGGATTCCTGCTCTGTGCTAGGTACTACATTAGACATCTGAACATACTTTACTTCATTCTTATGAAAACTTTAGCAGGCTCTGAGGCTTTATCTGATTTAGTAAGATCACACATAGGATGACCAATTATCCCAATTTGACCAGGACACAGAAC
Organism: Homo sapiens; assembly: GCF_000001405.40. Taxonomy (NCBI): domain Eukaryota; kingdom Metazoa; phylum Chordata; class Mammalia; order Primates; family Hominidae; genus Homo; species Homo sapiens. The sequence continues at coordinate 54,660,841 of NC_000016.10, forward strand.
ATTCAGTGCCACAACTAGGAGAGTGTCAGAAAACTAGGATGGTTAATAAGCTTACAGGTAGGAAATGCCAGAGCAAATAATTAAACAAAGATTTCCTCACTTTTAGTCTCTCATTCTCTCTCTCTCTCTTTTTTTTTTTTTTTAGATAGGTTCTCACTGTCTCACCTAAGCTGGAGTGCAGTGGCTTGATCATGGTTCACTGCAGCCTTGACATCCTGGGTTCAAGTGATCCTCCCGCCTCAGCCTCCCAAGTAGCTGGGACCACAGGCATGCACCACCTCACCCAGCTAATTTGTAAAATGTTGTTTGTAGGGATGGGGTCTTGCCATGTTGCCCAGGCTGGCCTTGAACTGGGCTCAAGAGATCCTCCTGCTGCAGCCTCCCAAAGTGCTGGGATTACAGCCAAGTTTGAGGACAAGCGCTCTTATCAATATCATGCATCCTCAGGTGGTATCTTCTCAGGATTTATTAGCAAGTTTGTGTTCACCTTTATTGCATAGTTTAAAGCATTTAAAGATTTAGATAGATCAAAGATGGCCGAATAGGAACAGCTCCAGTCTGCAGCTCTCACTGAGTTCAATGCAGAAGGTGCGCTATTTCTGCATTCCCAACTGAGGTACCTGGTTCATCTCACTGGGACTGGTTAGACAGTGGGTGCAGGCCACAGAGGGTGAGCAGAAGCAGGGTGGAATGTCATCTCACCTGGGAAGCACAAGGGATCAGGGAACTCTCTCCCCTAGCAAAGGGAAGCCATGAGGGACCGTGCTGTAAGGGATGGTGCTGTCCAGCCCAGATACTATGCTTTTCCCACGGTCTTCATAACCTGCAGACCAGGAGATTCCCTTAGGTGCCTACACCACCAGGGCCCTAGGTTTCAAGCACAAAACTGGTCAGCCATTTGGGCAGACATCAAGCTAGCTGCAGGAGTTTTTTCCCATACCCCAGTGGTGCCTGGAATGCCAGTGAGACAGAATCATTCACTCCCCTGGAAAGGGGGCTGAAGCCAGGGAGCCAAGTGGTCTTGCTCAGCAGATCCCATCCCCACAGAGCCCAGCAAGCTAAGATCCACTGGCTTGAAATTCTCGCTGCCAGCGCAGCAGTCTGAAGCTGACCTGAGATGCTCGAGCTTGGTGCGGGGAGGGGTGTCCACCATTACTGAGGCTTGGATAGACAGTTTTCCCCTCACAGTATAAACAAAGCCTCTGGGAAGTTAGAACTGGGGGGACCCCACTGCAGCATGGCAAAGCCACGGTAGTCAGACTGCCTCTCTAGATTCCTCCTCTCTGGGCAGGTCATCTCTGAAAGAGGCAGCAGCCCCAGTCAGGGGCTTATAGATAAAACTCCCATCTTCCTGGGACAGAGCACCTGGGGGAAGGGGAGGCTGTGGGCACAGCTTCAGCAGACATAAATGTTCCTGCCTGCTGGCTCTGAAGAGAGCAGTGGATCTCCCAGCACAGCACTCGAGCTCTCCTAAGGGGCAGACTGCCTCCTCAAGTGGGTCCCTGACGCCTGTGCTTCCTGACCGGGAGACACCTCTCAGCATGTGTCAACAGATACCTTATACAGGAGAGCTCCAGCTGGCATCTGGTGGGTGCCCCTCTGGGACAAAGCTTCCAGAGGAAGGAGCAGGCAGCAATCTTTGCTGTTCTGCAGCCTCCACTGGTGATACCCAGGCAAACAGGGTCTGGAATGGACCTCCAGCAAACTCCAGCAGACCTGCAGGAGAGGAGGCTGACTGTTAGAAGGAAAACTAACAAACATAAAGCAATAACATTAACATCAACAAAAAGGATGTCCACGCAAAAACCCCATCCGAAGGTCACCAATATCAAAGATCAAAGTGAGATAAATCCACAAAGAAGAGGAAATACCAGTGCAAAAATGCTGAAAATTCCAAAAACCAGAATGCTTCTTCTCCTCAAAAGGATCACAACTACTTACCAGCAAGGGAACAAAACTGGATGGAGAATGTGTTTGAAAAATTGACAGAAGTAGACTTCAGAAAGTGGGTAATAACAAACTCCTCTGAGCTAAATGAGCATGTTCTAACCCAATGCAAAGAAGCTAAGAACCTTGATAACAGGTTACAGGAACTGCCAACTAGAATAACCAGTTTAGAGAAGAATATAAATGACCTGATGGAGCTGAAAAACACAGCACGAGAACTTCGTGAAGCATACACAAGTATCGATAGCCGAATTGATCAAGCAGAAGAAAAAATATCAGAGATTGAAGATCAACTTAATGAAATAAAGCGTGAAGAGAAGATTAGAGAAGAAAGAATGAAAAGGAATGAACAAAGCCTCCAAGAAATACGGGACTATGTGAAAAGACCAAACCTACATTTGACTGGTGTACCTGAAAGTGACTGGGAGAATGGAACCAATTTGGAAAACACAATTCAGGATATTATCCAGGAGAACTTCCCCAACATAGCAAGACAGGCCAACATTCAAATTCAGAAAATTCGGAGAACATCACAAAGACACTTCTTGAGAAGAGCAAGACACATAATCATCAGATTCACCAAGGTTGAAATGAAGGAAAAAATGTTAAGGGCAGCCAGAAAGAAAGGTCAGGTTACCCACAAAGGGAAGTCCATTAGGCTATCAGCAGATTTCTCTGCAGAGACCCTACAAGCCAGAAGAGAGTGGGGACCAATATTCAACATTCTTAAAGAAAAGAATTTTCAACCCAAAATTTCATATCCAGCCAAACTAAGCTTCATAAGTGAAGAAGAAATAACATCCTTTACAGACAAGCAAACGCTAAGGGATTTTGTCACCACTAGGCCTGCCTTACAAGAGCTCCTGAAGGAAGCAGTGAATATGGAAAGGAAAAACCAGTACCAGCCACTGCAAAAACATACCAAAATGTAAAGGCCATTGACACTATGAAGAAACCGCATCAACTAATGTGCAAAATAACCACCTAGCATCGTAATGACAGGATCAAATTCACACATAACAATATTAACCTTAAATGTAAATGGGCTAAATGCCCCCATCAAAAGACACAGACTGGCAAATTGGATAGAGTCAAGACCCATCAGTGTGCTATATTCAGGAGACCCATCTCACGTGCAAAGACACACGCAGGCTCAAAATAAAGGGATGGAGGAATATTTACCAAGCAAATGGAAAGCAAAAAGAAAGTAGGGGTTGCAATCCCAGTCTCTGATAAAACAGACTTTAAACAAAGATAAAAAAAAAAAAAAGACAAAGAAGGGCCTTACATATGGTAAAGGCATCAATGCAACAAGAAGAGCTAAGTATCCTAAATATATATGCACCCAATACAGGAGCACCCAGATTCATAAGGCAAGTTCTTAGAGACCTACAAAGAAACTTAGACTCCCACACAATAATAGTGGGAGACTTTAACACTCCACTGTCAATATTAGACAGATCAACAAGACAGAAAGTTAACAAGGATATTCAGGACTTGAACTCAGCTCTGAACCAAGTGAACCTGATAGATGTCTACAGAACTCTCCACCCCAAATCAACAGAATATGCATTCTTCTCAGCACCACATTGCACTTATTCTAAAATTGACCACATAACTGGAAATAAAACACTCCTCAGCAAATGCAAAAGAACAGAAATCATAACAAACAGTCTCTCAGGCCACAGTGCAATCAAATTAGAACTCAGAATTAAGAAACTCACTAAAAACTGCACAATTACATGCAAACTGAACAATCTGCTCCTGAATGACTACTGGGTAAATAACGAAATTAAGGCAGGAATAAGTAAGTTCTTTGAAACCAATGAGAACAAAGACAAAATGTACCAGAATATCTGGGACACAGGTAAAGCAGTGTTTAGAAGGAAATTTATAGCACAAAGTGCCCACATGAGAAAGCGGGAAAGATCTAAAATCGACACCCTAACATCACATTTAAAAGAACTAGAGAAGCAAGAGCAAACAAATTCAAAAGCTAGCAGAAGACAAGGAACAACTAAGATCAGAGCAGAACTGAAGGAGATAGAGATACGAAAGACCCCTCAAAAAATCAATGAATCCAGGAGGTGTTTTTTTGAAAAGATTAACAAAATAGACCGCTAGCCAGACTAACAAAGAAAAGACAGAAGAATCAAATAGACACAATAAGAAATGATAAAGGGGATATCACCACTGATCCCACAGAAATACAAACTACCATCACATAATACTATATACACCTCTATGCAAATAAACTAGAAAATCCAGAAGAAATGGATAAATTCCTGGACACATACACCCTTCCAAGACTAAACCAGGAAGAAGTTGAATCCCTGAATAGACCAATAACAAGTTCTGAAATTGAGGCAGTAATGAATAGGCTACCAACCAAAAAAAGCCCAGCACCAGATGGATTCACAGCTGTATTCTATCAGAGATACAAAGAGGAGCTGGTACAAAAACAAGAAATGGGCAAAGGATTCCCTATTTAATAAATTGTTCTGGATTTTCTACTTTATTTTTGTAGAGGTGTATATAGTATTATGTGATGGTAGTTTGTATTTCTGTGGGATCAGTGGTGATATCCCCTTTATCATTTCTTATTGTGTCTATTTGATTCTTCTGTCTTTTCTTTGTTAGTCTGGCTAGCAGTCTATTTTGTTAATCTTTTCAAAAAAACACCTCCTGGATTCATTGATTTTTTGAGGGGTCTTTCGTATCTCTATCGCCTTCAGTTCTGCTCTGATCTTAGTTGTTTCTTGTCTTCTGCTAGCTTTTGAATTTGTTTGCTCTTGCTTCTCTAGTTCTTTTAAATGTGATGTTAGGGTGTCGATTTTAGATCTTTCCCGCTTTCTCATGTGGGCACTTTGTGCTATAAATTTCCTTCTAAACACTGCTTTACCTGTGTCCCAGATATTCTGGTACATTTTGTCTTTGTTCTCATTGGTTTCAAAGAACTTACTTATTCCTGCCTTAATTTCGTTATTTACCCAGTAGTCATTCAGGAGCAGATTGTTCAGTTTGCATGTAATTGTGCAGTTTTTAGTGAGTTTCTTAATTCTGAGTTCTAATTTGATTGCACTGTGGCCTGAGAGACTGTTATGATTTCTGTTCTTTTGCATTTGCTGAGGAGTGTTTTATTTCCAGTTATGTGGTCAATTTTAGAATAAGTTCAATGTGGTGCTGAGAAGAATGTATATTCTGTTGATTTGGGGTGGAGAGTTCTGTAGACATCTGTTAGGTTCACTTGGTTCAGAGCTGAGTTCAAGTCCTGAATATCCTTGTTAACTTTCTGTCTCGTTGATCTGTCTAATATTGACAGTGGAGTGTTAAAGTCTCCCACTATTATTGTGTGGGAGTCTAAGTCTCTTGGTAAGTCTCTAAGAACTTGCCTTATGAATCTGGGTGCTCCTGTATTGGGTGCATATATATTTAGGATACTTAGCTCTTCTTGTTGCATTGATGCCTTTACCATTATATAATGCTCTTCTTTGTCTTTTTTTTATCTTTGTTTAAAGTCTGTTTTATCAGAGACTGGGATTGCAACCTCTGCTTTTTTTTTTTTTTTTTTGCTTTCCATTTGCTTGGTAAATATTCCTCCATCCCTTTATTTTGAGCCTGCGTGTGTCTTTGCACGTGAGATGGGTCTCCTGAATATAGCACACGGATAGGTCTTGACTCTATCCAATTTGCCAGTCTGTGTCTTTTGATGGGGGCATTTAGCCCATTTACATTTAAGGTTCATATTGTTATGTGTGAATTTGATCCTGTCATTACGATGCTAGGTGGTTATTTGGCACATTAGTTGATGCGGTTTCTTCATAGTGTCAATGGTCTTTACATTTTGGATAAGAAAAAGAGGGACTCCTCCCTAACTCATTTTATGAGCCAGCATCAGGCTGATATGAAAACCTGGCAGAGACACAACTAAAAAAGAAAGTTTCAGGCCAATATCTCTGATGAACATCAATGCGAAAATCCTCAATAAAGTACTGGCAAACCAAATCCAGCAGCACATCAAAAAGCTTATTTACCACGATCAAGTTGGCTTCATCCCTGGGATGCAAGGCTTGTTCAACATATGCAAATTAACAAATGTACTCCATCACATAAACAGATCCAATGACAAAAACCACATAATTATCTCAATACATGCAGAAAAAGCCTTCAATAAAATTCAACACCCTTCATGCTAAAAATGCTCAATAAACTAGGTATTGATGGAAAGTATCTCAAAATAATAAGAGCTATTTATGACAAACCCACAGCCAATATCATACTGAATAGGCAAAAAGAACAAAGAAGCATTCCCTTTGAAAACTGGCACAAGACAAGGATGGCCTCTCTCACCACACCTATTCAACATAGTATTGGAAGTTTTGTCCAGGGCAGTCCGGCAAGAGAAATAAATAAAGAGCATTCAAATAGGAAGAGAGGAAGTCAAATTGTCTCTGTTTGCAGATGACATGATTGTATGTTTAGAAAATCTCATCATCTGAGCCCAAAAACTCCTTAAGCCGATAGGCAACTTCAGCAAAGTCTCGGGATACAAAATTAATATGCAAAAATCACAAGCATTCCTATACACCAATAACAGACAAACAGACAGACAAATCATGAGTGAACTTCCATTCACAGTTGCTACTAAGAGAATAAAATACCTAGGAATACAACTTACAAGGGATGTGAAGGACCTCTTCAAGGAGAACTACAAACCACTGCTCAGGGAAATAACAGAGGGCACAATCAAATGGAAAAACATTTGATGCTCATGGATAGGAAGAATCAGTATCATGAAAATTGCCATACTGCCCAAAGTAATTTATAGATACAATGCTTTTCCCATCCAGCTACCACTGACTTTTTTCACAGAGTTAGAAAAAATTACTTCAAATTCCATAAGGAACCAAAAAAGAGCCCATATAGCCAAGACAATCCTAAGCAAAAAGAACAAAGCTGGAGGCATCACGCTACCTGACTTCAAACTATACTACAAGGCTACAGTAACCAAAAGAGCATGGTACTGGTACCAAAACAGATATATAGACACATGGAACAGAACAGAGGCCTCAGAAATAACATCACACATCCACAGCCATATGATGTTTGACAAACCTGACAAAAACAAGAAATGGGCAAAGGATTCCCTATTTAATAAATGGCGTAGGGAAAACTGGCTAGCCATATGCAGAAAACTGAAACTGGACCCCTTCCTTATACCTTATATGAAAATTAACTCAAGATGGATTAAAGACCAAAATGTAAGGCCTAAAACCATAAAAACCCTAGAAGAAAACCTAGGCAATACCATTCAGGACATAGGCATGGGCAAAGACTTCATGACTAAAACAACAAAAGCAATTGCAACAAAAGCCAAAATTGACAAATGGTATCTAATTAAACTAATGAACTTAGGCACAGCAAAAGAAACTATAATCAGAGTGAGCAGGCAACCTACAGAATGGGAGAAAATTTTTGCAATCTATCCATCTGACAAATGTCTAATATCGAGAATCTGCAAGGAACTTAAATTTACAAAACGAAACAAAAAAAGACCCCATCAAAAAGTGAGTGAAGGATATGAACAGACACTTCTCAAAAGAAGACATTTATGTAGCCAATGAACATATGAATATAAGCTCATCATCACTGGTCACTAGAGAAATACAAATCAAAGCCACAGTGAGATACCATCTTATGCCAGTTAGAACAGGGATCATTAAAAAGTCAGGAAACAACACATGCTGGAGAGGATGTGAGAAATAGGAACGCTTTTACACTGTTGGTGAGAGTGTAAATTAGTTCAACCATTGTGGAAGAGAGTGTGGCGATTCCTCAAGGATCTAGAACCAGAAATACCATTTGACCCAGCAATCCCATTACTGAGTATATACTCAAAATATTATAAATCATTCTACTATAAAGACATATGCACACGTTTGTTTATTGCAGCACTATTCACAATAGCAAAGATTTGGAACCAACTCAAATGCCCATCAGTGATAAACCAGATAAAGAAAATGTGGCACATACACACCATGGAATACTATGCAGACATAAAATGATGAGTTCATGTCCTTTGCAGGGACATGGATGAAGCTGAAAGACATCATTCTCAGCAAAGTAACACAGGAACAAAAACTAAACACCTCATGTTCTCACTCAAAAGTGGGAGTCGAACAATGAGAACACATGGACACAGGGAGGGGAACATCACACACCAGGGCCTGTCAGGAGGTGGGGGGCAAGGGGAGGGATAGCATTAGGAGAAATGCCTAATGTAGATGACGGGTTGATGGGTGCAGCAAACCACAATGGCACATGTATACCTATGTAACAAACCTGCATGTTCTGCACATGTATCCCAGAACTTAAAGTATTAAAAAAAAATATTTAGATAGATTATGTTCTCTTTAGACAACACTCTCCCAGTCTGAAGCATCCAGCACTGGTCTTTGCTCTCTCCTCACCCTTGTGCCCTCTAAAATCAGCCTTCTCTAATGCCATTATATCTCTCTTGAGATGATACAGAAAGGTCCTACATAGAAACAATGGCATATTCTAGACCTTCACACAATACAAATGATCATCTTGTCTGTTGCTAATGTATAAGTTCTTCCAAACCAGTGCCAGTTTTATACAGGTTTCACTGATCCTTTAGAAATTGCCAGTAAAGGTCCTGCTGCTTCCTGGGGCTGAAGGTTCTCAATACCACCACCTGGATGCAAGCCACAGCCTGGGATGGCCTGCAGGAGCCTCCCCAGGTCTCCCCATGTACACTCTAGTGTACCCTTCCCCAGTCTCTTCTCCGCACAGTGGCCAGAGTGACCCCTTAGGAACGTAAATCAGATGATGTACTTCCCTGCTGAAAGCCTTCCAATGGCTACCATCTCACTATGAATAAAACTTTTTACCATGAATAAAGCCTTATATAATCTACCTCTAATCCCCTGTATGCCATGCTTCTTGCTCATTTTAATGCAGGATTTTTCTCGACTCCTTCACTGGACTCATAGCAGGGGCATTCCATCTACTCAGTTCACCACACTCAGTCCCTTGCAGAAGGGAGCACGTGAATGAGTGAGTGCGGGATCTGGCTGGCTGCTCCAGGTGCTGACATAAGAACAAGCTCCATGCAGGGTCCACTGGCAGACCAGGCATATCGCCTTTAGGGGAATGCACCAGTGCCCAGGTGAGGTTGCCCAGGACCCTGAAGTCCCAGTGCTCTTGTTAGAGTGCTCTTTTAGTTCCACTGTTCACAGAATGATGGACAGCAGTGTGTTAGCAGCTCAGTTGGCACCTTGTCTGGTCACGTGTGGTGGCTGCCTTTTCTGGTTACCTGTACTCAGTGGGTCCTGAGCTCTTGTCCAACATCCAAGAAGAATGAGGTCATGTGGATGATTGAAGGATGGTGAAGGCAGAGAATGTTATTGAGTGATGGAAACAGCTCTCAGCAGAGAGGGGAGCTGGAAAGGGGACAGGAAAGGCAGGTCATCTTACCCAAAGTCAGGCCATCTTCCCTTCTACTGACTGAGTCTGGGTTCTTTGTAGGCACGGGATGGGGAGTGCATGCTGATTGGCTTGTGAGTATGCAAAAAAGGTTAAAGCAAAGACACCATTCAAAGGTGGGCACAACAGCATAGAAAGCCAATTAGGAAAGGGTAGGTATATGTTAAATAGGTAAGGGGTGGGGATCCATCAGAGGAAAGCATGCCAAACAGGAAGACAAGTTCTCAATTTGGTCCGAGGATTTAACTTGTAGCTTGGCTTTCAGGCTTTAAACTGTCTTCAGCTTGGAGGTGGGGTTTCACTGGGGACTCACCCCATCTACCTAGGCATTTTGCTTCCTCCTGTCACTACCAATTTCACTGCAGTCCACATGGGCCTCCTTATTATTCCTCAACCATACCAGGCATGCCCCTGCCTCAGGACTTTGCACTGGCTTTTCCATCTTGTTGAAATGCTTTCCCTCCAGATAGACAATAGTTCACGCTTCTCTTCATCCTGGCCTTTGCTCAGACAGCAACTTCTCAGAGGGTCATGCCCTGACCACTCTGTCAAAAATGGAAACATTAGTTATTCCCTCTCCAGTCCCTTGTTTTATTTTCTTCATTTTACCTTTGACATCATTTTATATATTTAGTTTGTTATCTATCTCCTTTACCAGTCCTGAGGCCAAAGACTTTGCCCAATGACCCACAGGGTTCAGCACAGCATAGTAGATACTCAATAAATATTTGGTGGATGGCTAGATCACACTGCCCTTTCATAATGAAGAAATAGATCAGTGGCTCCTAAAATTGGGCTGTTTATGTACTGCCTTTATGATTTCTGCTATATCCATACACTCACCTGTGCTACAATTACTTAATTGCTTTCTTTAAATAGGCACGTTTTTATTTAAAAACAACAGCAATAACGAACTTACACATGGCAATAAATGGAAAAGAAGGTAAACGTTAAAAGTAAATAAAAAGCCAGGCATGCCTCTAATCCCAGCACTTTGGGAGGCCGAGGTGAGTGGATCACCTGAGGTCAGGAGTTCAAGACCAGCCTGGCCAACATGGTGAAACCCCATCTCTACTAAAAATACAAAATTAGCTGAGCATGGTGGTGCATACCTGTAGTGCCAGCCTTCAGGAGGCTGAGATAGGAGAATCGCCTGAACCTGGGAGGTGAAGGTTGCAGTGAGCTGAGACTGTGGCATTGCACTCCAGCCTGGGTGATAAGAGTGAAACTCCATCTCAAAAAATTAAATAAATAAAATTTAAAAAAAATAAATAAAAAATGGTGGCTCATGCCTGTATTCCCAGCACTTTGGGAGGCCAAGGTGGAAGGACTGCTTGGGCCCAGGAGTTTCAGACCAGCCTGGACAACAAAGTAAGACCCAATCCTTACAAAATATTTTTTAAAAAAATTAACTAGGCGTGGTGGTGCACAACTTTGGTCCCAGCTATTTGGGAGGCTAAGGCAGAAGGATCACTTGAGCCTGGGAAGTTGAGGCTGCAGTGAGCCAAGATTGCACCACTGCACTCCAGCCTAAATAGCAGAGTGAGACTCTGTCTGTAAATAAACAAATAAAAAGCAAACAAAGCAATATTATTAAATTCAAGCTAGATTCTGTTGCCTAAGGAAGACTCCTAATCTTCGGCCACTGATCCTTGGTAATGAGGCAGGTTTGCAAGTGTTGGAGGGGTGTTGAGGACATACCAGCACCCAGATGAGACTTTCTCAGATGTAAGTAGAAGGATTGATGAGGCTAAAAAAGGGAGTCACGTTATCACTACAGCAGTCTCTATTGTTTAATGCCCCACTGCAAATCATTTTACCTACCCCCAGGGGCATGCATTCTGCACTCAGAAGCAACAACACAGGTAATTCCTACTGACCTCAGGTTATATCCTGGTGTTTGAACCTCTTTTTATTAAAGTTTTATATTTACTTGCTTCATGTTGTTGCTTTGACTCTTTATTCTAAAAAGCAGGATAAAAAAGAAAACAGTGCAGCTATCTCACAATTCCAAGAGTTTAACACACTCTGAGTGCATCTTGTGGTTTAAGGAGAAAAAAAAAAGATATGAACCTATGTAACAGAAAGTCAGAACTCAGCCATACAGACATTCCCCAATACCCAGATACTTGACAGCACAGACAAAACACCCACATTATTGACCATTTCTTCTTTTCATCCTAGTGATCTAAGCTCACTTAGCTGAAACCCAATTAAAAGCAAGGTTAGGCTAACAGCAAGTGGGCCGCACTGGCTCAGGGGAACACTCACTCAGAGAGCCAGCAAATCTTTGCTTTGCAGACCACAATGATTCCACCATGGTTTAACTTTTCAGCACATGCCCTGGTTTCCATGTAAGATGATAAGGCCTCTATGTTCTTTCACATGTGGACTAAAGACATCTGAATACTTAGATGAAGAAATCAGGTCCTAGTGATGGCAAAATATTTACACACTGATTTCAGCTTGTCCATGAAATCAGGGATCAGGAACATTTCCATCAGAGAGGGGAAAAAAAATCAAAGAGATCAGAGCTATGGTGACATTTCAGCAGTATTTATTTGGGTAGAAAAGGCTTTTCCTGCTTGCTACCCCCCCTTTTTTTTTCCTTTGGATAATTTTGGGAAATCTCAAGTACCCAGTCCAAAAACAACCAGCATTGTATTAGGAAGTGAGTATGTGTGTGTGTATGGAGGGGGAGAATCCAACAGTCTGGTAGCCGTCTAAAAAGTGGAATCACATCAATTGTCTCAAGACACTTTTCCCCACACCTACAAATCTTCTCAGTCTGTGTCACATTATGATATGCTGTGATTATACAAAGGGATTTGGAATTTGACTCATTATTTGCCATTGTTTGCAAAGGCGGGTTTGTTCTATTTCAAAATAACATTGTTTTGGAACAAATTCTCTCCTGTTTAAAATTTACAATATACAGTATTTTTTAAAGACTTACAAATGCTAAGAAGAAGATTGACAGAAGCATCTTTTAGGCTTTAGTAGGAGACATTATAGTCAAGCATTACTATAAGAATTTACTATTTGTTGACATCCACCGAGTGCATACTATGATCCAAGACTGCCCTGAGTACTTTATATATATGAGCATATTTATTTCCAAAGCCTAATAATAAATGTGTTATTATTCACCCTTTACAAATAGAAAACTGAGTCATGCAGTTAATAATTGGTGGAAGCAGGATTCAAAGCTAGACTCTGGTGCCCAAGCCTGTGACTTTCTGGGTTTTGGCCCTGGAAGTCCTAAGTCCTGGGCACCCACACTGGCAAACCAGGACAGTTAGTCATCCTACCTGTAATACTACCACTATACTTGACCTCTTCCTGTAAACAACTTCTTAGACTTAGAATATATTCATATACTTGCAACCTCAAGTACTAACCTCACTGTCCAATTTGATAGGCATTTTCAACCAACAGCTATGATCAAAGACCAATGCCAGGTGCAGTAGAAATACAGAAACAAATAAAAATGTAAACCCCACTCTTAAGGCCACTCATAAGCAACCTAAGGGGAAGGAAATATATGTTATTTCATCAAGAGATCATGCGATATCTTCTCGGAAGCATTGTAACTGTAAAAACACCAAATTTCTGTGTTAATGTGTGTATAACACAAATATTGATTTTCAACTGGCAGCACAATTATTTATTATGACAGCGTAACATCTTTTGTGAGAATGCTGTGGGCCTAGGGTGCTTGGAGCTGTTCATTCATGCAAAGAATTCTTGTCAAATATTTTAATGAGAAGAAAAGCATGGCAGTCAAGATGAAAATCCAAGGTGACCTTTAGCTATGCAACGCATTATAGATGACCTTGTAGTTTTTAAAGTTTTTTTGTGTGATGATGATGATGACGATGACGATAATTTCTTTACAGAATTACTCTCTAGGTGAAAGAGAGGAAGAGAAACAGATTCCAAGAGAATCTTACAGAAAGCATCTTTGTCTCAAAATTAACCCCTCAGTCTAGTGGATATTGGGTACCCAACATCCAAAGTCTTTTTTCTTCTTGGAAGAAATCCCCATTGACTCTGTCATGGTTGGAAATAGGGCTGGCCTCATACCGTCCTCTCCTCAATTCACAGAAGGCAGAGTGGAGGCTGAGCCTTGGCCAGCCTGATGTTCCCACCCGGGACTTTGCATCCCAAATGAACATCACAAAGATGGGGGCACAGAGGGAAACTATTCACAGTAGTGATGTTCGAACTCTGCAACAATGTCCTCCACAGAAGGTGTCATGAAAGATGGTGGAGGTGTCATCCCCACTGCTTGGGTTTCTGAATGTTTCTCCAGCTGGGTACTCTGTCCTCTCACCGAGCCAGTGCTGCTATTCAGCGGGTCTGCCTAGTGAGTCCATGCCAGTGACTAAAATGTTTAAGCACTTCTGTTCCCATCAGCAAATAGCCACTGTCCCTGATTCTCAACTGTATCCACCACTGCCCTAGCTTGAGCCCCTCCGTTAGAACCTGTTCAGCTTTCCCCATCTTCCAGAAACCTAAAACATAACTCCCAGAATAGCAGGGGCCACCAGGAATCTGCTCCAGCTCCCTTCCAGCTGGACATGGCCAGGTCCTGTGAGTTAGTAACCATGTTGAGTATCAATTCTATCCACTCTCATAAATGTTAAATAAATCCCCCTTTCTACTTAAGATAAAAGAGTCCACTTCTATGTTTGCAACCGAAAGCTCCGATGGATACATCCACTTAGACATATTTAATTTTATGCAGGCTGCGTGAGAAAAAAAGAAAATCTTTTTTTCTTTGACAGGTACAGAAAAATGAGTTATAGAAAGGCATCTTTGTGAGGGATGCATTAGGTGAGAGTACTACATGTTGGCATTAAAGTGTTAAGAAATGGAATTAACTTGCTAAAACCTAACATGTATTTAATGCTTTATGGTATGCAAAGGTCTTTTACACACTGTATTCTCATTACAAAAAACTTTGTTATACATGCTCTATTTGAGTTACAGGTGACTGTGTAATATACTTTATATTAGCTCAATTTACAGTGAGAAGACAGATTCAGCAATGCTGAGTGACGCCAATCTCACAGCCATGATGGGATAGAGCAGAGGTTGCCAGCTGGGTCTCCTGATGTCAATTCCTTCCCTGTTTCCTCTCTACTTTGTTGCTTTTATAGGTGAACTGTTTTCTATGGTTGAAAAATACAGAAGGCCCCTGCCTGCCATGATCAGAAATCCCATCACTTCTCTTCTTTCTTTGAATTAAGGTGTACTCTTCAGAACATGTTTTTCAAGCTATGTTTAAACGACATGAGTCTGAAATATTTCATCAAGGATTACTTGTAAAAATTAGCTAGCTCTTGCCTGAGAAAGCAGAACATTAAGGGTATGGGGGCCACAGGGCTTTTGCACATCCTATTTCTCTGTGTGAAAACTAAAATTGGTTCATGAACTCTGTTACAGGTCAGTGAAATTCTATTGTTTTAATTGTCTTTCCCCACCTACCATCATCAGTAACACTGGCTCCAGAACTTGGTGGAAAGAGGTGGATTAAGGATCAGAGGAAAGTATCAGAGAGAGGGTATAGTTTGAAAATTCTCCCCTGATGATTTGGATAGAGAATCATTTCCTTCCTTTCCAACTGAGAAACTGTTAACTCTTCAGTCTGTAGAATATACTTGCAGAAATTTTTGGCAATGTCTAAAAGTTAGTCTCCTTGAGTGAGCCAAATTAACCACAGTTATAGAAATTAATTTCATTTTGGCCAGGTATGGTGGCTCATGCCTGGAATCCCAGCACTTTGGGAGGCCAAGGCAAGTGAATCACTTGAAGTCAGGAGTTTGAGACCAGCCTGACCAACACAGCAAAACCCCATCTCTACTAAAAATACAAAAAATTAGCTGGGCGTGGCACACGCCTGTATTCCCAGCTACTTGAGAGGCTGAGGTGAGAGAATTGCTTGAACCCTAGAGGCAGAGGTTGCAGTGAGCCGAGATCATGCCACTGCACTCCAGCCCAGGTGACAGAGTCAGGCCCTGTATCAAAAAAAGAAGAAAGAGAGAAAGAGAGAGAGAGAAAGAAAGGAAGGAAGAAAGAAAGAAGGAAGAAAGAGAGAGAGAAGGAAAGAAAAAGACAGAAAGGAAAGAAGGAAGGAAGGAAGGAAGGAAGGAAAGAAAATTAACTTCATTTGATCAAGGTGGAGTGAGAGAGGGAGGAGGAGGCGAAGCAAATCACCTAACTTGAAGTAAACCAGATTAAGACCTACAGAGATCCCAAGCCATGAAAATGTTATGATGTTCCTTTGACCTACCACATAGAGTTCACAAAATTATAAAACCATAAAACACAAAACTTACATGTATGCTGACATAAAAGTAGTTCTTTGGAATAATTTCTTAATCCAAAATTCTAGCTCAGCTAATCAAAGCTGAAATTTTTATTGCATTTCTGTTTTTCTGGTGCCATAGCTACAGGTTTTGTTGGTTTCTTGAGATCTCTGGTACTCACCAGAAGTCAGAACCTTGTGTCCTGAGTTAACCTCAACATCCTTGAACAAAGGATTCACCGTGTCTATGTGCCTCCCACAATAAGATAGGACTGTGGCAGTGCTGGCCAAATGGCAAATGGCTTTACAATGTGGGTTGCTATTAAATCTGAAAGGTTGGTGAGAAGTAGATTGCAGGGGTGTATTCAATGCTCCCGAGAGCCTGAAAAAATTAATGACTCCAAAATATGGTAATGCCTATGGGGCAATAAGTGGGGGAAACTACAAGGGATTTTTATGATGTTTTGAAGAGGGGTTAATTGCAGCCTTGACATTTGCGAGTAAGGTTAGAAAAAAAGTCATTTTCAGTATCAAAACAGCAGGTATTCCATGAACCTACAGCCAGAAGTTGGTAGGTGAGAGCCACCAAAAGTTAGAGAAAGACATAGCTCCAGGAAACAGGAACCCAACCTAATACAGACTTCTAGGAAGGCAATCTAGAGGATAGCCAGTCTGGATTGAGCAGGAGAATGAGGTGGTATTGACGTCCAGAGGATAACTCCTAGAAGAATCCAAAATGGATAAGATGTGCTTAAAAATGCTGAGAGGAGAGTGACAGTTTTGACAGGGAGCCTTCAGGTGAATTACTGAACAATACACAGAAAACAAGGCTATTAGCGGCTCCAGGGAAAACAAAAAGTTGTGCAAGAGGAAAATGTAATCATGCTACAATCAATGGCTCAGCTGTGTGTAATATTTATATGATTTAAACACTGAATATTGAACTCAATACCAATTGTGACATAACACTACTGGGAGGAAGGTGGCAAGAAGTGGGCCCATGTGTTGCAAGGCATGTGTGTGTTAGAGGCAGTAGTGGGGAAAATGCTTTAAGAGCCAGGGCCTCATATTCTACGTTAGAAGTTCACAGACAATAGCTAGATTTAAAGATCTAGGAAATGCTATACAAACATTTTGTTTAGAAACAAAGCAATAAGTGCCTAAAGGGATATCAGAAAGAAATGAGTCACTTCTAGAAAGCAGGGGCCGGGCGTGGTGGCTCATGCCTGTAATGCCAGCACTTCCGGAGGCCAAGGCAGATGGATCACCTGAGGTCAGGAGTTTGAGACCAGCCTAGCCAACATAGTGAAACCTTGTCTCTACTAAAAATACAAAATAATTTTGTATTTTTATACAGGCATGTATACCTGTAATTTGTATACCAGGCATGGTATCGTGAGCCTATAATCCCAGCTACTTGGGAGGCTGAGGTAGGAGAATTGCTTAAACCTGGAAAATGGAGGTTGCAGTGAGCTGAGATTATGCTACTGCACTACAGCCTGGGGGACACAGTGAGACACTGTCTCAAAAAAAAAAAAGAGAGAGAGAGAGAACAAGAATGGGTTGGGTTAATAGGAAGCTGAGAGACAAGTGGAAATCTTTTAGAACTAGACATATGTATAACTTTGGGGGGAGATTTTTAAATTCAAAAGTAAAAGAGGGAGAATCTGGGCCAAGATAACCAGACAAGACAGTGGTGAGCAGTCTTCAACCACAAACAAGGAGGAATGAAGGGAGAGAGAGCAGCTGTGGGATTGAGGGCCGCCAGAGCTCTGTTTTGACTCTGTCTTTGCCTGGGAATTAATAGGTTGCAATGAACATCTCTACCTGAGAAAGGCCTGGCTGGCATGCAGGTCAGCACTCCACAAACACTGACAACAGCTATAATGAAGCTGCCAGTCCCAGGGGCACACAGGGGACACATCTGCCACAGTCCAGCCTTGTGGACCGTCAACTTTCCCAAATGCAGGTTGCTGGGCCCCAGGAAGCTGTCACTTGCTCTCCTGGCGTCTGCTTGCTGCTTACTGTGACTGCTCATTTTCATGAATTAGACCCCAGTATAGGTTTTCTTTTCTTTTTTCTTCTTTTATAATGGAGAAGGTGCTACTCTGAGTTATGCCAAAATCCTAGGAGAGCTCACTTCTTAATCTGGAAATACATTCTTAATTCAGGATCTGGGGAGGAAGATCTTGGGAGTTCTATGAACCCCCTGAAAATTGGTGCAAAATTGTCTATGTATGCAGGCATGCATTTATGTTGCCAGGGCTCAGCACCTGGCTGTGCAAAGGGGTGGGGTTTGTGACTTGAAGCACTCGACTAAAACTACTGTCTACCAGGCCAGGATAAAGTGATGTCACCTTTTTAGCGCATCCCATGTATAGAGACTATGGGGAAAGGGGAAACATTTGGGGGATCCCATAGACTTCTAGATGAGTCCTAGCATGGAAGTAGGTAGACATGTGGAGGCAGGAATGTCAGCTTAATGTAGCAGGAAAGGTGCAAGGTGTCATGGTCAGCCAGGAAAAAGGCAGAGGCACAGAGCTCTTTTTTAGGGGTTACGGGGAGCCTGAGATTCATCAAACACAGGAGGCCAGTAGGGGCACAATGCAGGTATTTGTAGTGAAAGCTTCACAGCTAAGTAGAGTGATGGTTAAGAGCATTGCTATCTGAGCCACCGGACTTGGGTCCCATTTGTACCATATTAGCAGATTGACTCAGGCAAGTGACTTAACATATCTAAGCCTCAGTTTCCTCATCTGTTAAACGGGAATCATTTTACCTAATTGATAATTCTTCCCTGATGACTGTATAATGATGTTAAAACATTCGATGCTGGGTAAATGATTATTCAATAGATGGTAACTAGTATTTTTACTTTTAAAAAATGTGTAAATAAACATCACAAAATCTCACTTTTTATTTTACGGAGAATGTAATTTAACATTATATTTACAATTTTCACTCCAACAGTAATCCTACATACCTCATGATAATTACCTTTAAGTTTCTTTAGCCCAGTTGTTTTCAACTCTGGGAGGAGCTGGAATTTTGTCCCCCAGGGGACATTTGGCAATGTCTGGAGACATTTCTGGTTCTCACAACTGGAAGGGAGCTCCACTGTCACATACCGGGCAGAGGCCAGCGATGCTGCTAAGCCTCCTGCAATGCACAGGATGGTTCCCCACAAGACAGACTTGTTCCACTCCAAATGCCAATAATTCCGAGGTGCAGAAAGCCTGCTAAAGCATGCTGCTAAATGTGAAACTTGCATAAGAAAAATATATTCTAAGGACCCTATTTAGGATTCCTTTGTTCTTGGAAAAGACAGTGGCCTGATTTTAGGAGCAGCATTTCCTGCTGCCCAGCCTGCCATTTCTATCACAATGGTAGTCAGTGAGGGTGAATGTAACATTGCCGTGACTGTGAACAGGAGGTAGCCCCATGCCCCTGAGTTCTCCAACAAAGGTGCAGAGAGAGTCACTATTGTCTAAGATTTTTCAAGAAACAAGAGAGTTTTATTAGTTATGATTTTGTCATGAATTTGAACTTTTGTTGAGAAATATATATATATATTTACATATTAGTCCACTTTGTGTTGCTATAAATTAATATGAGACTCAGTAATTTATAAAGAAAAGAGGTTTATTTGGAGAGATAGGGTCTCTCTGTGTTGCCCAGGCTGGTCTCAAATTCCTAGACTCAAGCAATTCTCCTGCCTCAGCCTCCCACAGTACTAGGATTATAGGTATGAGCCATTGCACTCTGCCCAGAGGTCTTAAATAGATACTACAGTTCTGCAGTCTGTACAAGAACGGCCACCAGTATCTGCTCAACTTCTGGTGAGGCCTCAGGAAGCTTTTACTCATGGTGGAAGGCAAGTGAAGAGCAGGCATGTCACACGGTGAGAGAGGGAGCAAGAGAGATCCCAGGGGCTCTTAAACAACCAGCTCTCCTGTGAACTGGTAGAGCCCAAACTCACTCATTCTTGCAGGGAGGGCACCAAGCCATTCACAAAGGGTCCAACCCCATGACCAGAATACCTCCCACTAGGCCCCACCTCCAGCATCGGGGATCACATTTCACCATGAGATTTGGAGAGGACAAACACCCAAACAATATCAATATATGCATGAATACATCTGTTGATATGTATCCATGTTTGTACATATATGTGTACAAATATACACATATGTGTATAAATATACACATATGTGTATAAATATACACATATGTGTACAAATATACATGTATGTGTACATATATGTGTACAAATATACACATATATACACATTTATACACATATGTATATATGTGTATATATATGTGTGTATATATATACACATATATGTACATACACATAAATGTACATATTTTGGAAGCTCTATGTGTATATATATGTGTGTATATATATACACATATATGTACATACACATAAATGTACATATTTTGGAAGCTCTATGTGTATATATACACACATATATGTACACACACATAAATGTACATATTTTGGAAGCTCTATGTGTATATATACACACATATATGTACACACACATAAATGTACATATTTTGGAAGCTCCTGAAGTCATCCTGAATAGGCTCTAGTTTCTACTGAAGGAAATGCCCTCAGAGAAATTGCTTTATTGCACTTTTTGTGTGTGTTTTATTGTATTGAGCAAATTTGTTTTTTAGGAGGTAAATTAAATGTTCAGTTTCCTCTTTATATACATCAATGTATATATTCAGGACAATACTTCAGTGTTTGGGTTTTTAATAGAAGAAAAAAGTGGGGCCTAGAAAAATCCTTAAGCCCTGACATTAATTAGGTAAATGAATGCTTAAGCTTATGTTGAAAGCTCAAGAGTGAAGTTTAGCAAGTGTTACTTTTTAATATTCAAAGAATCTTTCAGGCATCATTCTAAAATTAGGCTTGCTTTGATGGAGCTTGTGGACATCAGTAATAACCATTTTCATGTCATGGTTTATAAACTGTGGACCATCCTTGCAAATTACCATCTTGGAAGCCATTGCGCATGGACCACCCCCCTCAAAAAAGGGATCAGTTAAAGGGAGCTCAATTGGGTATGCAACAACACCCTGCCAGTTTCTGATTGGGCTTTAAAAGATGGAAAGGCTAAATTATAGAAATAATAACTTATGGACCACATTTTCCTTTCTCTTTTATTATAAATCCATATTCAGATATGTTAATATAAAGATGTACAATATTACAGAAAGGGCACCCAAAGTGACACGAGGCCTCCAATGGGTGAATGGTGGGTTTTTGTCCCGGCTCCAGGAGCCAGCCATCTTCCACACCCCTTCTCAGTCTTTTGTGTGTAAGTCTTTGCTAAAAGTCAAGTCTCAACTGATAAGGGCTTGGAGACATAATCATTTTCCATTGACAGCACCGTGCAACCAATTCACAAACATTTTCATATTAATATTGAGCAATTTCCCTACATTCTAATCCATCAAAGTAGGCTATTAATCCTTCCTGTACCATTCTCTATTCAAATGCTAACAATTTTCTTCTCACAAGCTAAAACATTTGTCCGACAGCCCCTCACACAAAGACCCTGCATTGTTAGTGATGATGGATCAGAGTGTTAATATGAAGGATGCAATGTAAATTATATCATTGAAACTGTACATACATAGAGGGAAAAAAATCTTTTTAAAAGATCATTTGTATGCTAAAGATAATGAAAGTGATCCCATGGTACAGCAACCTTAATTTTCTTTCCTAAGAGAAAAAAAAAAGATTCTTCATGGTAGAGAATATGGAAATCCATCATGATTTATAATAGCATGAATGCCATCGTTTACTTCCTGAAAAAAAGATAATATACACTGTTTATTTTAAAGAACTTACTGAAATGATGCATAAGAAACCTTGTTAAAATATCTCTTAAGAATTGTGTACCTCCTGGTTACCAGGAGAACAATGTTGATAACAGGGCTCTGCTTGGGATAAAAACAGATAAATATCTCCATTTGGGGATGGCAAGGAGGGACTGACAATTTATATTCATTATCGAAAGTCATTGAATGGTCTAGAAACTTGGGGGTTGAATACACTTAGGTCCTCTACACTGAGAGATGTGTTAAGGAATAGGCTGTAACCTGTAACTGTTAATATTAACACGAGTGATGTTTGCAATAATACCTGTGTTTCACAGCATTACAAATTTCCAAGGACAAAAGCTGACTATCTACATGGAGTCGTGACTTATGCTTCCAGAATACCTGGCAAGTCAGAGGGTTTTTTTTGTTTTTTTTTTTGAGATGAGGTCTCACTCTGTTACCCAGACTGGAGTGCAGTGGCACAATCATGGTTCATTGCAGCCTTGACCTCCCAGGCCCAAGTGATCCTCTCACCTCAGCCTCCTGAGTAGCTGGAACTACAAGTGTATGCCATCACACCTGGCTAATTTTTTTAATTGTTTGTAGAGAAAGGGTCTTGCTATGTTGCCCAGGGTGGTCTCCAACTCCTAGACTCAAACAATTCTCCTGCTTTGGCCTCCCACAGTGCTAAGATTATAGGCATGAACCATTGTATGTGGCCTAGAGGCCTTAAATAGATACTAAAATAATTATTTTAATGCTTCATTCATTTATATTTACCTTCCACCTACAAGTTTGCTGGTCTTCATGGTTTTCTTTCTATGTAAACGGCTGCTCGAAGCCAGAAATCAAGAATTTATCTTTGATATCCACCTTTTCTGATCAGTTCCTGCCCCTTCTCTGCAAAATATCTTCCATATTTGTTATTGCACTAGGCACCACAAACACCTTGGGCTGAGGCACCACCATCTTTCATGTGGACCCCAGCAAAGCTGGTCTCCCTTCCCACTCTGCTCCTTTCTTCTCAGTGCAGTCCCAAGGATATTGAAATACAAATTAAAATCAAGTCCCTTTCTTGCTTTAAAAAAAGGAAATTTAAAAATTCACTGTTTTCTCTTTGTTCTCAGGATAATGCTTCAATGACTCCATGACTGGCAAAATCTTGCTAATTTGGCCTCTGCCTATCTCTTTGATCCCATCCCTACCACCTAAGATGAACAAGCTTTCAGTTCCTTCAGCCACCAAATGTCTTCCCTTCCAACAGCCCTTGTATTTGCTATTGTTTGCCTGGAAAACTTTTCTCTTGCTCTTTGCTTGGTTAAGTTGCGTATGTCTTCTTCAGACATCAGCTGGAACATCATCTCTTAAGAAAAGCTCCTGTGCCCACACCTCCTTGTACCACTCTATTCCACCTCAAATTCAAATCAAATCTCCAGGTACAATCTTCGATTTCCTTCACAGCACGTACTGTGACTTATAATAATGTATACACATGTGATTATCTGCTGAATATCTGTCTTCCACTAGATTGCATACTTCCCCAAAGGCACAGATCAGGTGGATTTTCTTTTCTTTGTACCACCCACTGCCCAGCACAGTAGTAGTTGCACATAGTAGTTGCTCAATAAATAGTTGATGAAGAGAGGAAAAAGTAAACTTAATCTTCACCGGTCATTTTTCTAGCAGTTTAAAAAATAAATACCTGCGTAAGACACAGTACCAAGAAATGATCTTTTTAAATTTGAGCACGATTTCAAAAAATAATGCAGCAGACAAATGTAAATCCCAGACCCCAGACTTGCTGCCTGATTGTATTTGATTTCCTTTAGAATTTAAATAGTTTTACATTTGAAACAGCAACTACGATGGTGGCTCTTCTTTCTGTTAAACTCCATTAAACTCTATGATTGCTGTTTAAGGATTAAAACTTGCCCCCAGGGATTAGGGACCCCTGTGCTGGGCTAAACTGGAAATTGAGTTTCTGAGTCCCTAATCCAGGGAATAACATCCACGGAGTTGCAAGTTCTTCTGGCCATGAAGGAATCAGGCCTAATACGGAAGCAGGAGAGAAAGGAGAGGAGGAAAAGGGCAGAGGAGAGTGGTGGGAAGAGAAGGCCAGAGAACAAGTGACACAAGAGGAGTCCCAAAATGGGATGCTCCGTAGGCATGTTCAGATAATGCGTTATGCCCCAGGTCATTGCCTCCTCTACTAGCTTTCCAAAGCACTCCATGTGTCACAGAGAGAAAAGGACTCCTTTGCAGAACAGAATGAGGCTTGGAAATGTTCAGGAGTAGAAAGAAAACCTCGAATGGGGCCATGGCACCCTAGATCCTCAGCCTTCAGTGTGAGCTGAGTTCCTGCTTTGATAGGGCTGCACCGGGCTTCCATGCACACAGCCCACTGGTCATCAAGCATTCTGCAAGCAGCTAAAGATTTGCCCTATATTTCTTCCAATGCTACATCCTGATACATCCCTGAAGACAACAGGGATCTACATGGTGGGACAAAAGTTCCCATTTGTCTGCACAGGGCACAAAGAGACTGTGATAGGAAGGTTCACTCTTATTTTAATTCTTAAGGAAAAGACCTGTTTGCATATGGTGTAAATGCCACCTCTGTTCCCTGCCGAAGATTTGCAGCAAACACCAATCACTGTAAAACAAGGTATGGGAAATCTGGTAGATTTGCTTTCCAGAATATCACTCTTTTGCTCATTGATTTAATCTTTGTTTTCCTCAAACAAGGTGACTCTCGAAGAAAATGTTACATAGTTGCAAGAAAACGTGGTTTTTATTTTTCTTTTCCCATCAAGTATCTGAAAAGCTCCATTTTGGAAGTTAAAATAATATAGGATTAATGGCTCAATGAGTGACTCAGAACGTTTCCTGTACCTGCTGGTTTACTCTGCAGGCTGGACTCAGTGAAGAAGTGGAGATGTTAGTGGGAAGATGTCCAACCCAGCATCGTTTAGAATAACCAAACACTGGAAACAACCTACATGTCCATTGTTAGGGGAAAGCTTATGCGCATGATGGTAGAGCTCTGTGGTCATATATTATGAAGCCATTAAAGCTTGGGGAAATGCCTTTGAGATAATGGCATGAAAATTGATAGATACAAAATTATTCATCTAGTATTACCTCAGTTATTGAAAAACACATGAAAATAAGATCCAAGTTTTCTTTAACTGGGAGACAGGATCATGAACATCCCCCTACCCCTGCACCACTGCTGTCTTCTTCTCCTTCTGCTTCTCCTCCTCTTCCCTCTTCCTCTTCCTCTTGTTGTTGTTCTTCTTCTTCTCCTTCTCCTCCTTCCCCTTCCCCTTCTTCCCCTTCCCTTTCTCCTCCTCCTTCTTCCTCTTCCTTTCCCCCTCCTCCTCTTCCTTCTTCCTCCTCCTCTTCCCCCTCCCCTCTTCCCTCCTCCTCCCTCCTGCTCCCTCCTCCTCCTTCTCCTCCTCCTCCTTCTTCCTCTTCTTCTCCCTCTTCCTCTTCCTTTTTTTCTCCTCCTCCCTCTCCTTCTCCTTCTACTCCTCCTTCTTCTCCTCCTCCCCCTTTTCTTCCTTTTTTTCCCTTTCCCTTCCCTTTCCCTTCCCTTTCACTTCCCTTCCCTTCCCTTCCCTTCCCTCCCCTCCCCTCCCCTCCCCTCCCCTCCTTCCCTTCCCTTCCCTTCCCTCCCCTCCCCTCCCCTCCCCTTCCCTTGTCTTCCCTTCCCTTCCTTCCTTTTTCTTTTTATTGAGAGAGGGTCTCACTCGGTTCCCCAGGCTGGAGTGCAGTGGCACAATTACAGCTCACTGCAGCCTCGACCTCAAGTGATCCTTCCACCTCAGTCTCCTGAGTAGCTGAGACTATAGGCATGAGCCACCACACCTGGCTAATTTTTAAATTTTTTTGTAAAGAGGAGGTTTCACTACGTTGCCCAGGCCAGTTTCAAACTCCTGGACTCAAGCAATCCTCCCATCTTGGCCTCCCAAAATGCTGGGATTACAGCTGTGAGCCACTGCGTCCAGCCACCCTGACTTTTTTTTTTTTTTTTACAGTTTCATATTCTCTAGACTTTTTACAAGGAGAAATATATTGCTTTGGTAAACAGAAAATAGATTCCTATCTATCTGTCTGTCTGTCTATCTATCGTTGATCTATCTTTTATCCATCTATTGATTATCTATCATCTATCCATCTGCCAAACTATCCATCTATCCATCATCCATCTATTACGTATCTATTATCTATCCATCTATCATCTATCCATCATCTCTCTATCATCCATCTATCTACCACCCATCTATTATCCACCTACCTACCTACCTATCTAACCTATTTATCTGTCCATGTTCTTTAGGCAAAAAAAGTGTTTTACGGCTAACACCACACATTGAACTAGATTTAAAAAGACAACATCAGCCCCAGGCCTATCTCCCCTGCTACTTCCCCCATCTCATCACAGCCCTGTGCTCCAAAAGATAGGATTTCCAACCATTTTACCCACCATCCTAAATAGTCAGAAGGATACTCCTGAGAAAGCCAGATTTTCTCTGAGTGGCCATAGTGACTAGTGGGATCCAGGCCAGTTTAAACAGCAGATATTTCACCAAGCTTTCCGAAAAAACCGGATAGCCATTTTGGAAATTGGAGCAAAAGGAAAGAATGTCAGCACTTTATCCTGAAGCTTTCACCAAGGCCTTGTGCAGCTCCACTTTGCACAATTCACACGAGAGTACTTCCTGCGAACACTCACTGGCTAAGGGCGCTCACATTGATGGTACTGTCCACACACAACCAGACAGCCTGGGGGAGCTTTTCTGTTCCTGGTGCTGAAAGCCAGTGGGTAGATACTTATTCAAGGTCAGACTTTTAGCGTTAGATGCCAGGAAAAAAGAAAAAAAAAGCAACCATTAAAGGTTAGCCAGTACTTTGCAAACACTTGTTTAAGGATTTCCTAATTACTCTAAGTGGTTCCTCCAGCCTTTGCACTTAAAAGGCTAGTGTTTTGTATGATGTCATCCTTTGCCCATTATCTCTGCAGTCAATTTGCAGTATTAGGAGAGGCAGCAAGAAAATATTTGCAAACATCAACATTCTCAAGTCTTAAAAGATAATCCCCCTTTCAACTCCCTGTGAGCATATCAGCGGCACAGTTAGGTTTTCAGATTTCTCTAAACGGTAACACCACCAGCTGGATTGTACAGAAAACCTTTCTTCTGGGGAACTCAAAGAAATTTCTAAGTGGTATCACATCAATCACTGAGCAAGTCCTCAGAGGACTGGCCAGGGAAGTAGTTAGAGGGAAATTAGAAATGCAAATTATAACTCCCTTTAAAACAGCTCCCAGAGGTGGCTCTCACCTGAGTCCACCTGGTGTAAGATTTTAGTTTCAGAATAGCTGGAGAGGTTCAATAGGTTCTGACCCACTGGGCACTGCATGAGTTCATGAATTCTTTGCAATAACAGTATTATCATCATCATCTCCATATTGCAGATGGGGAAACTGAGGTAGAAAGAGGTTAAAAAACATACAGGGGTTGGGGGGGCACTCAACTTATTAAGTGACAACCCTTGAGTTGGAACTTGATATGTTTTGGCTCTGTGTCCCCACCCAAATCTCATTTTAAATTGTACTCCCATAATTCCCATGTGTTGTGAAAGGGACCTGGTGGGAGATAATTGAATCATGGGGGTGATTTCTGCCATACTGTTCTCATGGTAGAGAATAAGTCTCACAAGATCTGATGGTTTTTATAAGAGGTTTCCGCTTTTGCTTCTCTCTCATTCTCTCTTGCCACCACCATGTAAGAAGTGCCTTTCACCTTCCACCATGATTGTGAGGCCTCCCCAAGCCATGTGGAACTGTGAGTCCATCAAACCTCTTTCTTTTATAAATTGCCCAGTCTCAGGTATGTCTTTATCGACAGCATGAAAACAGACTAATACAGAACTCAACCACATCTATTTGTCTTTTAAGGTCCAGATTCTAAAGCACACATTTTTTTCTCCCTCTTGTAGACAGAAGATTGCTGGGATTTTGACAAATACTGTGTAAAGAAGCATTCCCTTATAAGTAGAAATCTTGCTCAAGTGGAATGCTTACAAGGTGAAGAATGCTTTAAGGCCAGACTCTGGTTTCAGGTCTTGGCTCCTCCCTTCACTTATTAGTTGGCTGACCCTGGACAAATTACTTAACTTCCCTGAAGCTCTGCTTCTTTATCTGTACAATGGGAATTACAGTGGTTCTTATCTTGGAAGGTATAGTGGAGATTGACTGAGATAATGCTCACCTAATTAATTATATAATTATATAGATATATAGATATTATACATATTACATAGATACATATATATAGATACATGCAACATGAGGTGATAATGAGATGCTTAGCATAGTGCCTGGACACAGTAAATGCTCAATAAATCTCTGATTATTATTATTATTATTTGAGATGGAGTCTCACTGTGTCTCCCAGGCAGGAGTGCAGTGGTTCAATCTTGGCTCACTGCAACCACTGCCTCTTGGGTTCAAGCGATTCTCCTGCCTCAGCCTCCTGAGAAACTGGGACTACAGGCATCTGCAATGCCTAGCTAATTTTTTTGTATTTTTAGTACAGACAGGTTTTCACCATGTTGGCCAGGCTGGTCTCAAACTCATGACCTCAGGTGATCTGCCTGCCTAGGCCTCCCAAAGTGCTGGGATTACAGGCATGAGCCTCCGCACCAGCGCTGAGTATTATTATTACTAGGATTTCTATTCTATATATTATATATTAGTATAATACACACATTTATTTATTTTATATTATACATACAAATATAATAAATATTAAAATTATTAAAATATTAAAATTATATTTATATGTACAACAAATTATATACATAATAGTTAATAAATTAGCAGAATTATTATTACCATTAGAAAATATCCAGCATGTGGAAAGAAAGCTACCATTACCTCTAAACTCACACTGTGCTCTTGGAGGACCCCTGTGCAATTAATCCTCAAACTCGCAGTTCTCGCAGAAGGCCTAGTGGGCAAACTCTATCAAGGGGATCTGCTTACCCAGAGCCTTCAGCTCCTCCAAGGTAGGAGAAAAATATTCCCACATGGGTCTCCCTTCAGCCTGGTTCTCCCATTGCAATCATTGGCCAAGTACTTACTAAGCAAATCCTCAGTTGAGGAAGCGAGGAAGCTGCAGTTAATTTCATATGCAAACAGACAGCCTAGGGCTCAACATTAGTATCCTAATTTATGAAGAGAGAAATGAACTGCAGACTTGGCCAGCTGGTTTAGGTAAGAGGATAATAGAATACCAAGAAACACCAAGCAAAGTAGCTCAAATCGTAGAAAACGAAATGCAGCAATATTTAAAAGTAATTCAGCTCATTTTGAAGCTCCCAGACTTTCCAAAAACTCAGTAATAACTAAAGCACACAGTGTAATGAATAAAATGAAAATGTGACCTGGGATCTCACCGTTTATTTAGAACTGAAAAACTGAAAATTGCTCTCTCAAACCAATAGGCCTAAAGTTATTGCTTCATTCACTTAAGCATTTTACATAAGGTAATTCTCCGATGATAAATCACATTGAAATTGATTTTGGTTTAAGGATGAAAAAAAGTATATTAAAACGTGAAGCTAAAAGATTTGCAGATCTGAATTATTGGGGTGCTCATGTTAAGAATGGATGACAAATTGAAAAATAAGCGTGTACTCACTTTGAGAAAATAAATCTGGTCCTCAGAACCACCCATTATGCAAGGGAAAATAAACTGTCTCTCCTTTCATTAGGAAAACTCATTTGCATCAACATTTATACTTACATATGTAATAATGCATGGTCCCAGCCTGAATACAAGGTGGTAATTCAATCAAAAAGCTAGCTTGATATGCTATCATAAACAGCAAAAATGGAAACAGAACCTTGGGAATAAATCACCCTCTTACTATTCAGCTGGGACCATACTGGGCTATTTTACACTACATGCATTGGTGCAGTAGTTCACAAATATAAAAAAACTTCATTTTCCTTTTATTTCCTGACACGTAGCTGTTTGAACTGGCAGCTTGTGAAACTCCAGCAGGTGCTGGGATTTATCCCAGTGGTGGAATCAGACAGCAAGCAGTGAAAACAATAAGGCAATTAACATTTTTTTAATTAAACCAATTTTAATCAAAATCTTAAAAACACTTGAAATTTTAATCTGAAGCATAAGGTTTGTACACGCACCACCATTTTGAGAAGAGAAATCCTACTGAAAATTAGCATCATTTTCAAAGCAGCAATATTTTCAGTGGTTAATTTCACATCCTCTCTTGGCTAATCATATAATTTAGAAAATGGGATATATGGCATTTTACAAGGCTTTACAAGATTATTTCTTAGATACTGTTGAGTAATCTTGGTGGCTTTGTACTTGCTGTTCCCTTTGCCCAGACTACTCCCCATGTCCTCACGTGGCAGGCTCATCTTTGTCATTCAGATGTCATTCCTCACTGGGTCTTCCCTGACTCGCTATCACTAACCCTGCTCATCTTTCTATTACATCACTGTGGTTTTTAAAGATTTTTAATTAGAGAAATGTTCAAGCATTTTTTTTTTAAATGAACAGAATAACACAATGTTCTGTTCTGAGGTCCTCAGCTTCAACATCTAGGAATATTTGACCGTTGTTCCAATCTTCCCTACCCACCACAGGTCATCCTGTTATTGCATCCGAAAATATTTCAACGTGTTTCCCTAAAATATAAGAACTTAAAAAAAAACTAACCATAATACCATTATCACAATGAAAAAAGTTACAATTACTACCAGTATCATCTCATACCCAGTAAACCGTTCACATTTACTCAATTTATTTGAGTTGAGATCCAAACGAGGCCCATACTTTGCAATTTTCTATGCCACATGTCTCTTTTAACATTTGGGTGCATTCTCTCTCGCTGGCTCTTTCTTGTAAATTGCAATTTCTTGGGGGAGGGTTGTATTAGGGAAGCCAGGTCATCTGTTTTGTAGCGTCTCCCACAATCTGGATTTACTGACTGCATCCCGTGGGTCATTTAACATGCCCCTCTGTCCCTTGCATAGCCTGTAAATTCATAGTTAGGTCTAGAGGCTTGATCAGATTCAAGTTCAATATGTTTTGCAAGGTTATTTCATCAATAGCATTGTATTCTTCCATAGGGAGGTATATATAATGTCTGTTGTCTCTCTTTTCATGATACTAGTCATTGATGATTATTGCCTACATCCATTGATTCATTTGTGGTTGCAAGATATTGATGTTCCAATTCCAACATTTCTTTCTAATTTCTTAGCTAGAACATTTCTAGAAAGAAAAAAGAAACTTTCCTTCACCAACTATCAGGGTACTCTGAGGTACAGGTCATACAAGAAGGGTAGCCAGTTTTCAAAATACTAAAGGGATTCCCTAGAATTCCCCAAAGGGGTCAATAATGTCTATTTGAATTTATTTATTTAGAGACAAGGTCTCGCTCTGTCACCCAAGCTGAAGTGCAGTGGCACAATCATAGCTCACTGCAACCTTGAGCTCTCGGTCTTAAGTGATCCTCTTGCCTCAGCCTCCACAGTAGATGAGGCTACAGGCATGTACCACCATGCCTGGCTAATTTTTAAATTTTTTTTATATGGATGGAGGTCTTGCTACATAGCCCAGTCTGGTCTTGAACTCCTGGGCTCAAGGGATCCTCCTACCTCAGCCTCCCAAAGCTTTGGGATATTGGGATTACATGTGGGCATGAGCCACTGTGCCTGGCCTAATGATATCTATCTATCTATTTATCTATCATCTATCTTAGACGGGAGTGAACTTGTTTGTAAATACATTTCTACATTTCTTTAGGTAAAAATATGAGCTGAGTTAAAAAGAAAATATTAATTAAATAATAGACAGAGTGTGACTAAGATATGTCCAAACTTGGGACAGTCTGAGGTAAGTGACAGGTTTGGAAATGCTGCCTTAGACAGCCATTCTCACCAGGGTGGGAGAAGGGGCAGAGAGAACCTTGATGCAGTCAGGTCAACAACACAAACACATCTAGCCAAAGAGCTCATCCACCAAAGAAAGGAGGTAGGCTTGGAACTTGGGAAACACACAGACAAGGAGACAGCATATTGCAGGTCCAGGAAAGGAGTCGATGGGCCATATCAGTTCTAGAATTCTGATGCCCTTGCAGATTCAGTCAGTGGTGGAGACAGGGGTGCTGGACTTTCACTATCTGATGACATCAGCTTTTGGGGCCAGACACACAGCCACATATCTCAGAGTCCTCCTCTTCCTTGAGATCTCCTCTAGGATGAGAATCCATCCACCAGTTGCCCGTTAATTCTGAAAGTCATTCCCGGGCTCTACTTCTTGCCAAGCACTGGGTTAGGTGTCAGAGGCACCGTAGTAAACCAGAATCCCACCATCCACCCAACACGGAAGCCCCGGAGTGTCACATGTTATGATGGGATGAGCCCAGGCGGGAGCCCAGAGCAAGGGTACCCCCAACACCCAGGGAGGACAATCGGGATAGGCTTCTCCATGGCATCCAAGGTGAATCTCCAAGGATGAGACTGAACTAGGTGTGATGTGATCATCAGGGCTCTTCACCAAGAATCTGTTTCTCTCCTCCCAGGTCCAAAGGAAGACTGCTCTTCTCCACCCTCTTTGAGGTTAGATGTGGCCATGTGACTTCCATTGGCCAATAAAATATGAGCAAAAGCAACACTGGTGAGCAATCTCCCATGCTCTTTCCCTCCACCACTGCAATTTGCAATGTCCCAAAGGAGCCTGGTCCTCAGGGACCATGTGAACTAGAGTCCCCCATCCAACCTGCACTGGACACAGAACATTAGAAAGAAATGAATTAATATTTATGGAGTTAAGCTGTTAAGATTTGGGAATGTTTGTTACTGCAAGATAACCTAGCTTATCCTGACTGATACTGGTAGGCACAGGTGAGTGGATTGGTGATGGGAAGAATTCTCTGGAAAGGGCCGGAATCTAGCCCAGAGTTCCTCAACCTTGGCACTATTGACATTTTGGGGCCCATAATTCTTTGTCATGGGGGAGCTGTCATATACATTGTAGGACTTTTGGTAGCATCCCTAGTCTCTAATCATTAGATCTAGTAGCACCCCCTCCCCATGTTACAACAACCAAAAATGTCTCTAGGCATTGCCCAGTGTCTTCAGGTGGCAAATCACCCCCAGTTGTGAAACACTGCTCTCAACAAAACATAGCAAGCTGAGCAAATGCAACTGAGTCAGGGTGGGGCCTGGAGAGCCGGGGATGAAGGCAGATGAGGCAGGAGGAGAGGGAGGGAGTAACTCATGGCCAGCTATTTAGTCTAGGGTCAGACATTGTCAAATGTGTGCTTTGGAAAGACCATCCTGGCTGTTCTAGGATTTTTCTGAAGTTTACAGGCCTCTTGACAGTGGCCCTGAGCTTCATGAAGTGACATGTTAGGATTCTGCCTGACTCACAAGTCCTAGTTAGCATAAGCTAACATGAGTCTGGTCCAGAGAAGATCTATCACTGCTGGGTTAAAGACAAGGTTTTGGATGCTAATCTGGACTGTGGTGACTGCACCCATTTTATAGATGAGGAAGTAAAGGCTCAGAGAACAAAAGTAACTTCTCAACACAGCATGGCTGGGAAACAGTCTATGTGATAATGGGCACAAAACCCAAGACTTTTCAAACCCAGGGACTTTACCAGACTCCAGTGAGTAGAAAAAAATGAATTTTAGATTAATAGAAGAACTTTCTAACACTGAGTCATCAGAAATGATATATTTATCATACTTTTACATAGGTTTACACATAGTAGACACTTTTTAAGGAGCTTACTAAATATTCACTCATCTAATCCTCAAAAAACCATGTTTGGCAGGGACTATTATTATGCCCCTTTAAAAAATTTTTTTTTTGAGACAGGGTCTCATTCTATTGCCCAGGCTGGAGGGCAGTGGCGCAATCTTGACTCATGGTAACCTTGGCATCCCAGGTCCAAGCAATCCTCCCACCTCAGCCTCCCAAGTAGTTGGGACCACAGGCATGCACCACCATGCCCAACTAATTTTTGTATTTTTACTAGAGATGGGGTTGCACCATGTTGCCCAGACTGGTCTTGAACTCCTGGGCTCAAGTGATCCACTCACCGCAGTCTCCCAAAGTGCTGAGATTACAAGCATGAGCCACTGCGCCAGGTTGCTATTATACCCATTTTTGGATGAATAAAATGAGACAGAAAGAGTTTAAGTAATTCACTCAAGGTCATACAGTTTGTAAGCTGCAGAGCTGTGATTCAAACATGATTGGCTCATACTCTGAATCACTCTACCATGCCACCTCTTAGTACATACAGTTTGGCTTGTGAGGCATTGGGCTTCTAGCCACCAGAGTCAGGCAAATGTTGGCAATTTTGCTAGATGAGACAGGACATATGGTAACACAAAGCACAAGCTTGCTATATATAAGACCAAATGCTCAAAACACGGTGACCAACCCTCCAGGGGTGTCCAGCATGGACACATAAGAGGCCCCTGAAATCTCCCAAGGTCCCTTCCAACTGTTTTGCCATCAGCATCCCCAAAAAGGGGCAAGTGCAGGTTTGCATGCCCAAGGTCTCATCTCACCAGGAGAAAGCCAACAGCATGAACACGCACCACAGCACAGCAATGAGAACAGCTTATTTCAGGCAGCACCTGGCATGCACCTGTCCTTGTTCTGAGCATGTTGCTCACATTAACCAATCAAATCTTTCTACAGCATATGGCTCAGGTACTATTATCAATCATGGTTCATAGATGAGAAAATAGAGGCTAAGAAAATTATGCAATGTGCCCAAGTTACTTCACTGGAGGATCAGGAATTAGGTCTAATTTGTTATAAAATGATGCTGCAGCTACAGACTCAACTCCTAATCCTGAAACCACCCTTCTGGTTTAAAATACAACACAGACCAGAAGGTTATGGGTTCAAAAGAGCAACTTATTCTGGTGGAGAAAGTCAGGGTCATTCAAGACAAGTGTGTCCATCTGTCAATGAGGCAGTGAGAGGCCACTTTGAGCCAGGCTCTGCACCAGGGTCATGGGGGCTGTGGCAACAAGGAGGCTCTGTGTCTGTTTTCAAGGAGTCAAAATCCAGAAAGGCAAAAAGGAGACATGGCAAAATCTCTCAGGGAGAAAGGAGAATATAGTTGGTGCCATGAAAGAGTTCAATGGGGCTTTTCTAGAGTACAGCCACTTGGCATTTCAGAGATCCACTGTCGGTTGATTGCACTTTTCTTTTTCTAACTTTGCAAGTAGCAAGGAACAAGGCCAAAAGTCAACTCTACCAGTTGAGCTCTGAGTGGCCACAATAATGTATAGAGGCCTTGAGACCATGGAGAACAAGAAACACTCAGCTTATTTACTATGTCTTCCCCCAAACACACACATGCATGCACATTGGTACGGATGCACGCACACTTCCATCTCAGGAAGAGGAATCAGTGGCACTCCCTCTCCCTCAAGAGTTCCACCAGCCCCTGTTTGAGTACCTATGGTGTGCCATGCACAGGGATTACATTTAAAAGTAGAGGCTTAAACTAGAGGCATGTCTGAGGTGCTGCGAGAGCTCAGGGAGAAGTGACTGAGCGTGTCTCTGCGGTGCATGCTCAGTGAAGGCAGGAATCTCTTGGGTGTGTTTGCCTTGCACATCTCCCCAGGGCCCAGCTATGTCTGCTGCATAGTCAGTCAACAGCAAGAGCCTTTCGAATGGATAAAAGAAGGGATATGTGACCTTGGCCAAGGTCAGCCTCCTCCTCCTGTCATATGAGGGTCCTACAGCCACTCAGAGCCTTGTGGAAGGATGCAGGATGGAAGGCACAGGACAGGCCTTGAGGAATGCAAGGCAAGCAGCCCATTGCTAGGAAAAGAATCGCTTTCTGAAAACTTAACATATTCACCAGAGTCTCTGTGACAATCGAGGAAAAAACTCGATTTACATTTTTATTTGGAATTTTATTTGGAATTTTTGTCTTGGTTCCAGTAAGCAAGCCAAAGCTTCTTCCTTCTAGAACACCCACCTTGGGGTCTCACAAAGCGTCTCAGAGCTGGCCAAGGGCTCTGTCTGCTGCTCTGCCTGGCATGGGCCCCACGGCTGTGCCGCTTCCCTTAATTTGCTCACCTCTTCAGCAGATGCAATAAAAACCTTTCACTGGCTGACAACGAAAAGGCAGTGCTGCTCCAACTGCTGGATAATTCAGGAAGCCTCTTTCTCGTTTTAATTGGTTTCCTAATTGGACTGTTTATGGGTTGTGCAATAGCTTGGGATGAAAAGGTTGGGCGAACAATTATGTGCCTAGCATTTCTATCTGGCAGGAGTTAATAGTTTAATAACATGAAGGAGAAACCCCTAAAG
Organism: Homo sapiens; assembly: GCF_000001405.40. Taxonomy (NCBI): domain Eukaryota; kingdom Metazoa; phylum Chordata; class Mammalia; order Primates; family Hominidae; genus Homo; species Homo sapiens. Next base: position 54,696,858 of record NC_000016.10, read on the forward strand.
TTCACTGGAATGCCATGGTTTTCGTGCTCAAAAAATATCTCGCTTGGAAACAATCCTCCAAGTCTGAACTGATGTCAAGCTGTGATCACCCAGCAGCAAGTTGGTGCTTCCCTGAGAGTCTTCGGGTTCCCTTTTGATTTAAGGGAACGTGAAGTACGGGGGCTCTCTGGGGCCTGCCAGGTTTTTAACTGCTCACTCGCTCACTGGCTGGAGATAAGGAGGTAAGGAGGACCCTTGATGGGCTGATTGATTCTCTGGAAAGAAGGTTTGTCTTCCCTGGCGGGATAGATGACTTCATTCTGGTAGATGAGGTCACTCGAGTCAAAGACATAAAGCGTCTGATATTCACATGAAAGCCAGTTTTCAAAGCAGCCCATGAAGAAAAGCACCCCCTTGCCGTTTGCCTACACTCCATCAGTAAAGTCCAGGCTGCACCAGAACCCTTCTTTCCATAGTAAAATTTATCCCAGAATCCAATTCGTGCCCCCAAAGCAGACTCTGAAGCCAAATTGGATGGTTCTAATTTACAAAAATTGGTGGGGGACCCAGCGGGGGGTGCGTTGTGCAGAAAAATGTCCGGAACGACTTGGACATTTGGCTGAAATAAGCTGAGTGACTTTTCCCCAAAGGAAATCATATCCTAATTGTTGCCACATCGTTGCAACTGGGTCCTTGGTTATTTTAAACAAGCTCACTGGTCTCTTTCAGCTCTGAAAGTCCCTGGTATCAATTTTCTGGTAGAGAAACAGCAGACTTGGGAACTCGGCTTTCATCTAATCCTGTAGATTACAAGTAACTTTTTCATAATGCTACTGCACTGTGACGGCGTTATCTAAGGCAGCAACGCTAGGGGAGGTTTGGATTTGGGAACAGACAGAAACGTTGGAGTTTTTATTGCATGTTTTGTTGCAATAAAAGAATAAGATGAGCTCTGCCTATTACTGCAAATTAGAATTCTTTGCCCAAATAACAAAGTCCGTTTATGACTTGGGTCTTGGACTGATCTTATTTGTCTCCGTTTCATGTGCTTTATCTGGTTTAGCACTTGGAGCTTGATGGTGGATTTGAGCAATTAGCTAACTTCCTCAAGCTATGGTTTCCTTTACGTGAAATAGTACTGACTCCAAGAATGAATAAGGTAATCCCGTGTTTTGTAGAAACTGAGATGCCATCCATTGTAGGATGCTATATTATTTTGTCCCTCCAAAAGGAAAAAGCACTGACAATTAAACCATATCCCAAAGTTTTCTTATCATATGCTTTGTTGAAAAGTTTTTTAAAAAGATTCAAATAAGCATAGATTTTAGTTATCTATCATCCTTGGCCTGTTGTTCAGAATATTTGTTGAAAACATCTTTTTAAAGATTTCTTTAGACATAGATTTTAATCATACATCACCCTTGGCATTCATAAAAAATGGAAATGAGATGTATTGGTTAAGGTCATAACCACTGCTTACCTAGAGGCAGTTGTAAGAAGCCCTCAATTGAAAGACACTGATATCTCTGATTTCAGAAATTCAAAGGGGAAGAGGTGTACATTAGAATAGAGGAAACGTACCAGCTTGGGACATAGTAAATACTCAATAAAAGATAGTCGTTATAGCATTAATTATCATTCCTGAAAGGAATTGTAATGTGTGTAATTGCAAATTTTCTCTTTCTCCACTTTATATCCAATGGAGTTTCGATCTGTTTTGATGTCTGGGTTTCCCTAGTAAAAGGCAGCTCTTGCCAAGGCCTTACACTTGTCCTGGGTCTGACCACCTGGGGTCTCTGAATAGTTCCACCTAGGTGTCCCCCTTGACCTGGCTTAAGTCACAGGTTCATTTCTAAAGCAGGAGATTGGATGTGTTGTGGCCAGAACTGGGTCATGTGCCCACCTCTGGGTAGAGTTGGTCCACTTAAGCTACATGGCCTGGGAGTGGGGAAAGAGTGGTTTCCCGAAGAAAGATCAAGGTGATGTATTACGAAAAAGGAGAAATGGCTGTGGGGCAGTAAAAACCATGTTACTTGACTCAGTTCTCAGACAGCCACAGTTAGTTTAGCAGCTGCCTTGGGCCCAGACCAACTCAGGGATTCAGGAATCCCCTGACACCCTCAAGTCTCCACAAGGAGCTAAGCAAACTCAGAAGCAGCCTGGCAAACTATAAACAAATAACAAAATTTCTGTAAGCAGAAGCCACCTCTCCACACAGGAGTCAGAGGGCTCTTTCTGTAAGGAGCATTGCACCTCTTCTTGAATGCACATGTAAGGATGGTAGAAGGTATCTGCCAAACTCAGCAAGATCACCCAACGTGCTTGTATTTCCTCTTTCATGTTGCTGGCTACTACAAAAGTGCAGTCAAATACATCTGAAACACTTTCATCAAGGTTAAGAATTCTCAGAAAGGACAGCAGCCATCAATTGAAGAGATATCAGTGAGAAAAATTTTCAGCTACTCATTCATTAACCATTAATTCTAACTTCATCCCTTCAACAACCCCTCAAGAATTATGCTAGCTTTAGATTTTTCTAGGTTTGAAGCATCTAATTTGCAGAGAATGTGTTCCAATATTATCAAGTCTTCTGCAGCCACATTTCCCAAAATGTGGATGTAAATTATTAAGTGTGATGTGAAAAAAAATAATTCCACCATCAAATAAGTTGGAAAAATGCTGTGATTATTGTTACAGGACTTCTCAGAGCCTTTAATGACAATTTTATTACCTAGTAGTTATTGAATTCCCAACACATCTAAGTGTCCTTCATGAAATATTTTAGTTTATTCTCTCAACATTAACATCTCTATGAGGTAAGGATTCAGAACGTGATTGCTATCCTATAGTTAAGAAAAATGAGGCACATGTGTTTAGTGACTTGAACAAGGGTGTGGCCAGAATTCAAATCAATGCTAACCCCAGAGCTCGCATTTTTAAAACCCTACACCACACTGGCTCCATTCAAGTGTTGATATGAGCCTCTGAGACTGAAATTAAAACAAGCAGATTTCGTTCAACTTATTTAACACAAAACCTTCTTTTGTAGGATCTCACGAACTTCAGCTTGCACACATCCCGTGTTGGAAGATGCCAGCCTAAAACAATTGTCCATTTTTCCAAGCTCCTCTGAACCGATATGTATGGAATATAAACACCTAGCACATTCTAGATGCTATATTTGAGGGTGAGGATAGGACAAGATTCCTCCCTTAGGGAAACTCGTTGTCTAGAAGACAAGATGATAGATAGACTCTTTGGTGCTGTGATGGACATGCAAATAATGGACTGTGGACAAACCAACTCCACTTGGGGGCACCCTAGAATATCTCCAAGAGGACATGCAGCCAGGTGCAGTGGCTCCACACCTGTAATCCCAGCACTTTGGGAGGTCAAGGTAGGATGATCACTTGAGCCCAGGAGTTTGAGACTAGCCGGAGCAACATAGCAAGACCTTGTCTCTACCCCATATTTTAAAACTAGCTAGCTGTGCTGGTGCACATCTGTAGTCCCAGCTACTAGGGAAGCCGAGGTGGGAGGATTGCTTGAGCCCAGGAGGTTGAGGCTGCAGTGAGCCATGGTCGTACTACAGCACTTCAGCCTGGGCAACAGAGTGAGATCCTATCTCTATCTCTCTAAAAAAAGGATAGGTTTGAATTGTGGGCCTTAAAGGATGAATAGAGCCTGCCAAGCACACACAAAAAAGGGGCAGAGATATTGCAAGCAGAGGAGGCAGCATGGTTACCTATACCTCCCCCCAGGAGTAATGTTCCAGAAATAATTAAATGGCATGAGGTGGCCATAGATTTGCTTGTGAACTTTGCTCCCAAACTTTCTATAACCAAGAAAATGACATTACAGGAGATGCTATGAACACCTGTCTTTGTGAGAAAGAAGCTTTGCCAAAAACCTACTGTCCTTGGGTGGTTTCAAAAGATGCTGATGGAGTTTTGCAGGGTCTTGGACACCACACAGAAGCAGATCTCACAACCAACAGGGTAAGGTTGCTCCCCACAATGACCCTATGTGGCAGTTTTTAAAAAGGTTTGCAAATTATTTGGCCTTCCTCCTTCCAAAAGGTGGAGTCTAATTTCTCTCTCCTTGAATGTAGGTCAGACTTAGTGACTTATATTACTTTTCTTTTTTGAGACAGGGTCTTGCTTTGTTGGCTAGGTTGGAATGCAGTGGCACGATTATGGCTCACTGCAGCCTCGACTCCCGGGCTCGAACAATTCTCCCACCACAGCCTCTCAAGTAGCTGGGACTGTAGGTGTGCACCAGCATGCCTGGCTAAATTTTTATTTTTATTTTTGCAGAGACAGGGTCTCACTATGTTGCCCAGGCTGATCTCTAAGTCTTGGGCTCAAATAATCTTCCCACTTCAGTCTCCCAAAGTGTTGGGATTACAGGCATGAGCCATGGCATCGGGCCATGACTTACTTTTAATGAATGGAATATGACAAAAGGGATTCTCTGACTTCCGAGGTTAAGTCATAAAAAGAATACAGCTTCTGCCTAGCGTTCAGTGCTATCTTTTTCTGTTTATCTTTCTTCCTCTCCATTATCCCCATTCCTACCTCTCTCTGAACACTCACTTTTGGAACCCAGCCACCATGTTGTGAGGAAGCCCAAGCTCCCTGGAGAAACCACTTGGAAATATTTCAGCAGATGGCCGCAGCTGAGGTCTCAGCCAATGAAGTCACATGTGGAGTTCGTTATTTGTGCACTTAACTTATCCAAATTTAGCTAGACATCCTTGGTAGGTATGGTGGTCAGAGAGAAGGGAATCATTCCCCTGCCTTAAAAAAAATAAAAGCCTATTTGTGTATTTCTCTTTTTCTGTATACTCCATGGAAAGAGGAACCACAGTAAAAATGCAGAGAAGAACAGCACAATTTATATGGGGGCTTTGGGGCTTCAGAGGGCTCAGGTCCTGGAGGTTATAAGAGTCTGCCTTACAGAGATTTAAAAATATTTTTAGCAGGTACCATGTGAACTCCACTGTCTATAAAGCACCCATGCTCAAAACACAGTAATATTAAGAGTATTCAAGAGACTTGGAGATTTCCATGGCTCTACCAGGCACTCACCTGCTCTGTTCAACCTTCTAAATGGGTGAGAAGCTTCTATTTACTCAAGACCAGCCACTTCCCTCAAGGAATAATGACAAGGTAGCTCCAGTCTGTGCTGGAGAAACCCCAAAGATTTCATCTGACAATTCAGAGGCTGCTGCACACCATGCCAGGTGCTAAGTAAGATCTGGACCCAGAAGGGGAAGAGGGAAGCCATCCACCCTGCACTTAATGAACTTCCAACCAGGCCATCTTCCCGCCCACTATGGGGTAAATGCTGCCTGACGGCCTCTGCCTGGGAGGGGCACTGCAAAGCTGTCAGTTTTCAATCATAGGTTGGAAGACTCTTTCCCGGTTTTTCTCATTGGTAAAAGGCAATTGGGTGTACCCATCCTTCAGTGCTTCAACAGCCAGGGTTGAAAATTAAAAGGTTTTCTTTTTGACTATCAGTTAAAGAAAAAATGGAGTTAACTGGAAAAGGCCTAAAGCATTCTGAGTTGTTTGTTGTCCTTATAATTGGGGTGGTGGGTGGGTCTCCTGCCTCCAGGCTCTGTGGAGCTACAGCTGTGTCCAGTGGTGGAGATGGGCTGTAAATAAGTAGCCATTGGCCGGGCGCGGTGGCTCACGCCTGTAATCCCAGCACTTTGGGAGGCCGAGGCGGGCGGATCACGAGGTCAGGAGATCGAGACCATCCTGGCTAACACGGTGAAACCCCGTCTCTACTAAAAATACAAAAAATTAGCCAGGCGTGGTGGCGGGCGCCTGTAGTCCCAGCTACTCGGGAGGCTGAGGCAGGAGAATGGCGTGAACCCGGGAGGCGGAGCTTGCAGTGAGCCGAGATCGCGCCACTGCACTCCAGCCTGGGCGACAGAGTGAGATTCTGTCTCAAAAAAAAAAAAAAAAAAAAAAAAAAAAAAAAAAATAAGTAGCCATTGAAATAGTTAATTACTGCAGCAATAAATGTTACGAGAAGTAAAGGGGATTCTGAGGGTATCTGATGGGAGTGGGGGATTCCATGTTCCCTTCCATTGCTATTTCAACCTTGCTTGTGTGGGTGCAAAAGACTCCTTGTGAGACGGCTTGCTTGGAGGGAGGAAGGTTGCAGCCAGCTCCTTTTCTTATAACCAGCATCCATATCATTACCCACGGAGCGCCCTCAGCAGGTGCATGAATGCACTCCCCCACCCCCACCACAGTCCACACAAATAAAATCCTAAGAATGGCCAATATATTCTGCAGAAAGTCACAATAGCCCACAAGAAGTAATGCATAAACTCATAACTTCCAGCCCAGGCTATTTAGCATCCCATTAAAAATATTCAAAATATAAATCAAAATTCATGGGAATAAGTAATATTCAATTTAGAATTTATGGCATTTTAAAATAGGATGATTTCCTCAAATGTGCAATAAATTTGGTTTTGTGGAATTGCACTCGTCACCTTATCGTGACGGTTGCTTTATCTACACAGCCCACCAAAGCGGAGTCACTTTATAGAATCTAAATTCACAAATCAACTGTCGTCTTCACTTCACTGATTCACTGCTGATGGGCCTTTCACAAGGTAAAAAAAAAAAAAAATCCCTTCCAAGTTGACAAGAGTAATAAATGAGGAGGTTAGTGCTGCCCATCCATCCAGCTGGCCCGCTGACCTGCCTGTAGTGATACATGGCAGAATAAACTCATAAACGAGCCGCATCTTTTGACCTCTGCAGAGTAAATGGAAACAGAAGAGCATTTATGATGATCACGGTGTTTAAGGATTATGGTCTGACCAGAGAATTTTACAAAGCCAAAGGAACACCTTGAAAATAAGAACCCAGACCAGATAACTGAGTCAAAAATCCTGAAATTTTGGAGAGGTTTTCTCTTTATCCATTTTTACTGCCCCTGTGATCCTGTTGTTTAATAAGGTGAGTGAGTGCCAGTGTAGGACACATAACTGGGAAGGGGCACCTTTGAGTCTGCAGAGAAAACACCGTTGAAACACTAGGAGGAAGGAGGAAATGAAGTTTACCAAATCAAAGGTTATGCTTATGCTGCAGATGTTCTCAGAGCCGCCCATGTACAGCTTTTGTGAATGTCAAGTTCTAGCCCCAAATAAGGTAAGGAAAACCCTTACTTTGGCCAGTGCAAGAAATGACTATAATTAACAAATTCACAGCTATGAAGAGTTTTCTTAAAAATGTAAAACTATCTTTTATTAAAAAAATGACTTCATTAACTTAAGTGTGGCCTATGCTTTGCAACATGCTTTTTGTAGTTTTTTTTTTTTTAAGGTACAGCCAGGTGCAGTGGATCATGCCTGTAATCCCAGCACTTTGGGAGGCTGAGGCAGGTGGATCACCTGAGGTCAGGAGTTTGAGACAAACTGGCCAACATGGTGAAACCCTGTCTCTACTAAAAATACAAAAATTAGCCTGGCATGGTGGCATGCACCTATAGTCCCAGCTACTTGGGAGGCTGAGGCAGGAGAATCGCTTGAACCTGGGATGTCGAGGTTGCAGTAAGCCAGGATCACGCCATTGCACTCCAGCCTGGGTGACAGAGCAAGACTCCATCTCAAAATAAATAAATAAATGAATAAATAAATAAATAATGTACAGTTCTCAGAATGGAAAAGCAGTTTGCACTTCCTAATTGATGATATTCAAAGCAAAATACAACGATTAACTATGTTTGAAAGAGAAGCAAGAAACAAATTTAGTGGCATCTTAGCCATGACACATGCAAGCACGTAGATTTCAATTTTCTGAACTCAACTCTGGGGCAGAAAGAATACCTAAGAACTCAAAATACTAACATGATTTTGAATATCAGCCGGTATCCAGAAATGAATTTCTGCTTTTAGAAATCCTCAACAGTAGTGACATATTTAAGCAAAGGCTAATTCTGACCTCATATTCAAAGTTTTTACACAGATGCTCTTTCGGGAAGATAAATGTTTTAAGGAACTATTTTAAATAATAAAAAATAATACAACATAATTATAGAAAAGTTGGAAGAAGAAAAAGATCAGATTATCTGCAATAAAGTCACCCTAATGCAACTATTTTTATGTGTTCACTTTTACTTTTACATATGTGCTCTTGCACATATATAATTTTATATATTTTTTATTTCATGTTTTATTTTACTGTTTTTTCATGCTAATTTTAATTTAAATGACTATGTAATTATCTATCACATGGATACACTGTAATTTAGCTTATAATTTTTTAACGTTTAGGCAGCTTCCAAATTTTCTTTTCTTTTTTTTTGAGACAGAGTCTTGCTCTGTTGCCCAGGCTGGAGTGCAGTGGCATGGTGTCAGCTCACGGCAACCTCCGCTTCCTGGGTTCAAGTGATTCTCCTGTCTCATCCTCCCAAGTAGCTGGGATTACAGGCAACTGCCACCATGCCTGGCTACTATTTACATTTTTAATAGAGAAGGGGTTTCACCATGTTGGCCAGGCTGGTCTTGAACTCCTGACCTCAGGTGATCCACCTCCCTCTGCCTCCCAAAGTGCTGGGATTACAGTCGTGAGCCACTGCGCCTGGCCTAAATTTTTAAATTATAAATAATAGTCTGATTAATGACTTCATATTTATGAAAAATATGCTCACTGACATATACTCATGGACATATAAAATTTAAAAGACTAGTTAAATTGCAAATTAAATACCACTGAGGAGAGCACTAGTGAACCATAAGAGAGATCTGAGAAAGTTACTCAGAATAGAGTGACTCTGACTCTATCCTCTGAATCTGTCTTTCATAGGATCTATTTTTCTATGCCTCCACACTCCATTCTAAGTAACTTTCTCAGCTCACTCTTATGGCTCACTAGTGTTTTTCACAGATGAATATAGGAATAATTTCACAGATGAATATAGGAAGAATGGGGGAGGTCATCATATCTAAAGTATAGATGGAGGCTGAGAATTTCCTAGAATTGAAGAGTCATGAGTCCTCAAATAAAAGAAGCACATTAAATATTGAGAATAAATTGAAGAAATCTATATTCCTACATATGGTAATGAAAGTACAGAATACTAAAGACAGAGGAAAAATCCTGAAAGCAAAATCTTAGAAAAAAGAACTGCAATTAAAATGAAAATAGGCTTGCCTGAAGCAATCAAGGCTAGTAAATAACAGAATAATATCTTCAAGTTTTGAAGGAAACTAATATTCAAAATATACACAGTTAATTACTTAAAAGAGGATCAAATAAAAGTTGTTCAATAAAGGTAGAGTTTGCTACTCAAAGAACCTTGCTACTAAGGGATAGCTTGGGGAAAGAAAATCTATAAGTAGATCTCAAGAAGTTTGGGGAGCAAAATTGGTAAACTACATAGAGACCACATTCCACGACCATAATACAACTAAGTTATAAAAAGCCAATCTTTGCATGTATTTGGAGATTAAACAACAATAAAAACAGCCAAAACCTTCTACATAGCCATGGGTCAGGAAATAAAATATAGTAAAAATAATGAAATATTTAGAACTGAATGACAAAAGATTAGTTTTTGAAGCTTGTACTACAAAAGCAAAATGATAGTAAGTGAAATAACTGTAGCACTGAAGTTACATATTATAGAAGAATTATCAAGCTAATTATCCAACTCAAGAATTTAGGAAATGAGCAAGTCTAAAGATGGCAGGAGGAAAGATATAATAACAGAAATTAATAAAATGGGAAACAAAATAGTTTGATCAGCAAAATTAAAAGCTGTCTCTTTGAACAAATGAATAGACAAAACTCTAGCAAGATTCATTAAGAAAATAAGAGAGAAGGTCCAATGAACAATATTATCAAAAAGGAAACACAACCGTGAATGCAATAGAACTTTTAAAAATAATAAGAGAAAGGCATGAACAGCTTTATATGAATAAATGTAAAAACTCAGACGGAATGGAAAATTTGTAGAAACATGTAATAATCAAAATTGACTCAGGAAGAAATAGAAAACTTACATAGTACATTAAATAAATATGATCGGTAGTCACAAACCATTTTCCAGAAACACAAGGCTCAGATGACTTGTTAGGTGAGTGTTATCATCAAAGAACTGATAACCCCAGTTATATACAATCTATATTCCAGAACAGAAAAAGACGGTTTTCCAACTGACATCAAAACAAGACAAGGACGCTATTTAAAAGTAAAACCACGGAAATATCCTACTCGTGAATTTAGGTTTAATTTTCAGTGGAATTTTATTTCTCCATTTATTATGATTATGCTTGTTTTTTTAATGTTAGTGTGTTGAATTACATTAATGCATTCAGAATAATAAGTGCAGAAAGAAATGCAGAAAGAAAATAATAAATGCAGAAAGAAAATTCCAGTTCAACTCAATTCTTATTCATGACAAAAGCAATTGCAAACAGCAAATAGAAGGGATTTTCTCACCTTGATAAACCATATGTACCAAAAACTCATAGCAAACACCGTATGTTATGGTAAAACTTGAGGGGTATTACATTCAAAGTCAGTAATAAGAAACAAATGATCTCTATTTCCATTTTTATTCATCATTGTTCTGGTGGTTCTAGAAAGTGTAATAAAATAAATCAAATAGGAAAGTAAAATAATTTTAAAGGCAGAAATAACATCACATTACTCATGTGCATTATTAATATAATTGTCTACATAGAAAATCCAAAAGAACTCTTATAATAAATTATAAGAAAGTACAAAAAGAGCAATATAAAAGCAGTGAGATGTCTATAGAACTATCAAAAATGTAATTTTAAAAAACCTCATTTGTAATAGCAACATAAATTTCTAAGTACCCAGAATTAAATATATCCCAACATGTATAAGTCCTTTACAATGAAAATTATAAAATTTTATAGAAGATCATAAAATAATGTCTAAATAAATTCAAAATGTTTTTGGAAGGAAGGTTCAATATCGTAAATGTAGCAATCACTCTTAAATAAATCTATAAATTCAATACAATTCCAAGAAAAATTCTAACAGCTCTTTCTCAGAAGGTGACAAGCTGATCCTAAAATTTATATGGTATAACAAGAGTTGAAAAACATTCAGGTGAGCACTCAATAAACTTTTAGGTACTGTCATCATTTCCATCACCACCACCATCATCATCATCATCATCATCATTTTGACAAAGAACTTCATGTCTCTCTAGTGATACTCAATTTCTGCTGTGATTTTCTTCTGAATAAATGCAACTTGGAAAATGTAATTGCCATTTCATCAGCTGCTGGAAAGAAGTGTCCCATGACATTGCTTCGCCAGCACAAAGACATTTATTTACTGGAAACATCTAGTAGTTGTTGACTTCCAAGGCTCTGTGAGGCCCTTACAAATGACACTTTCTTACTCAAAAAGGATGCCTCACCTGACAAGGTAATGCCAGGAGACAAAAAGACACCATTTGAGTTTGAATTGAGAACAGGGGTCTCTTTGGAATGAAGCCACACACATAGAGCAAGCATGATCTTGCTATTTTCTCGGGAATTCAGACTGTCCCATGATTTCTGTGTTTGTGACATTTGGTACTCCGCATGTTTTTCCACATGGAAATACTTTTCTAAGGATGAAGGCTGGAGTATTTCACTCAGTTATTAGGACTATAATTTTATCTACCCACTTCATGAATATTTATTGAACATTTACTATGTGCCAGTCAGGGCTCTAAATGTTAGAGATACAGCAGTAAACAAAACTGACAGAAAGGCCTTGACCTCAAGGAGCTTAGATTCTTATTAGAGGAAGCAGACATAAACAAGGTAATTAAGTAAAAATACACAGTGTGTTACGTAGGGATAAATGCTTAGGAGAAAAACAAAGCAGGAAAAGGGAAAGCAGTAAATGTGAGGTGACAGTGGCTCAGGACAGAGGGAGGCAGACGGCCGAGAGTGGCCATATTGATAGCTAGGGGAGCAGAGTTCTGCAAAGAGGTAACAGCATGTGCACAGTGTCTGAAGTAAGAGTGTGCTTGGCTCATTCAAGAGACATCAAGAGGGCCATTGCAGCTAAAATAAAGTGAGCACAAGGGCAGAGAAAGAGAAGCGGTCAGAGAAGCAATGGGGTGGAGCCCCGTTGGTGTTGGGCCTTATGCATCCTTGTAAGGAATTGGCTTTTGCTTAGAGAGCAATAGGGAGCTACAGAAGGGTTTTGCTCAGGAGAGTGACAAGATCTAACATATGTGGTTAAAGGATCCCTCTGGCTGCTGAGTTGTGTGCAAACCGTTCAGGGGCTTTGGTGGAAGCTATTGCACTACATCCACTAATAGATGCTGGTGCTTGGAGACCAAGGAGGTGGCACAGAAGCACAACTGAAAATGTCCAAGGTATACTCTTCCCAAGAAGCACAGAAGTTGGAGGAATGCAAGCCTCTCAGATGCCTTCTGTGGCCCCCCTCAGCACACTGTGAGGGGAAATCACATTATTTCAGGGTGAGCTTCATCAGAAGTACATGGGGACAATAGTCATATGAGGTGGTCACATCTAGGAGTGTGGAATGAGCTCTATTTTGCCCGACCTTAGTTTAAACACAGTCCCCTAGTAGACTCCTCTCCAGAGCAAGGACTAGAAGGCCAGACCACCAATCTTTTATAGTAACCTTGGAAAGAAGACTTTTATGATGTGGTTGACATCTCCTCCAAATGTTTCAGTTCTCATGAACGCTCTGGAATAACTGCAGTTCAGTGATTCTGACATCCTACCTTAGATAACAGATATATAGATGTAGACAGATGTAGACAAAAAGAGATGCAATGATAAATCCTTGTTTATTCGTTACCATTTATTTATTGACCAGCTACTATGTGCCAGACACTCCATTAAGCCTTTAACATAAATTATCCTATTTAATCCCCTAAAACAGCTCAGCATGGGAGGTATAAATAGCCCACTTTTACAGGTGGAGAATTGGGACTTAGAAAAAAAGATACAACTTACTCACATCTGTACAACTATTAACTGGTGGAGTTAATATTTACACCTGGCCTGGCCTCAAAGCGTTTTCTTCTTTCTACCATCCCATGCTGCCTTGAATTGGGTTATGAAGATTGTTCTTTCTGTCAGTGGATTCTGGCTGACTTCAATGGAAGGTTTTTTTGAACACAAACTTTATCTGAGCAGTCCCCATGACTTATTTTTCCTCTTAAGTAAATAGTATAGAGCAGGGGTTGATATGTTTTTTATTAAAGGGTCAGATAGTCAATACTTGGGGCTTTGTGGTCGTGTGGTATCTGTTGCAACTGCTCAAGTCAGGTTGTAGCAGGAAAGTAGCTTTGGACAATATGCAAATGAATGGGTGGGGCTGTGTTCCAATACAACTTGCTTTACAAAAACAGGTTGGATTTGGCCCTTGAGGCATCGTTTGTGGACCCCTGATGTCAAGGCTGAAAGAATGGCTTTAGGATCTAAGCCGACTGCATTCAAATATTCTACCACATACTGGACATGCAAATTTCAAGTTATTTAACCTCACTATGTAAAATTGGGATAATAGATTATAGGGTTGTAGTGAGAATTAAATAACTGAACTTTTTTTTTTTTAGAAATTCACAAATAAAAAGTATTATTGTGTGTCCACGTCTACTTCAAAATTCTTTAATTAAAACCAAGATTGACTTATGGCAGACACCAGTCAAGGCAAGCCAGCTGACTTTAAGATCTCCAAAGAAAGAGCATAATGTTTTGGGTAAGATCAGATAAATTCTCTGAACATACTCTTTATGTGTTCACCCAGCACATATTTACTGAGCACCTACTATGTGCTAGACACACAGCAAGGCTAGAAGGTGTTAATGCCCTGCTGTGCTCTATGCTAATGTTTGAGCTTAGGGGAACACTTATTTTGGTTATCAATGAAAAAGAAAAGAACTTTCAAACAAAACAATTGTTATAATTTAGTGCTGTAGTATTTCAAAACCAATCCACTAAGCAGTGACCCTGAGGTCGGTAAGTACAATTCACATCTGGATTTGACTCCAATTGAGTTTAGTCATTACAGTTTAACCACCAGGGTATTAATTGAAGCACTAGAAAATATCTCTGATCAGTTTCATTATCTAATGGCATTTGGGTTTTCTAACGCATCTTAATAAGGGCTGCTGCATATGCATAGACTAGCCTGGATTTTATGTGGAACAGCTTACTTTGATTAAAAAAAAACCAAAAACTAGTCACATTATTCTTAGGCTTACAAGTACGCTTATTTTTCTTATTAACTTTTCAAAATAATGTCTGGATTTCATTTAAAGCCATTAGTACTTTTTGTTTATTAAATTAATTGCCATAAAAATTCTCTCCTGTTTTGATTTCCATATCGGAATTGAGTTCCCTAATATTACTGAGTACAAGAGATATATTCTTTCAAGTGTTAAATAATCTCTCAAAAAGGAGTAGCTTTATGCTAGACATAAGATCTCATTTTCTTTAACCTGACTTATTTTGAGAATTAAGTGTACCATTTGCTAATTAAATTACTCAGTACTGACACTAAAACTTTCTGTTTAAAACCTGATTTGAAAAAAAATTCATTTGAAATGTTAGTGTACATTGTTCTCTCAGAGTATGGGAATGCAGCTATTCCATGCTTGATACATGATCTGGATTCTGCAAGGTTTTGTTTCTGTTTGAAAGTCTACTGAAAGCATATTTTAAAATAAAAATATTTTACCTGCAATCATATCAGTTTATTAACTACTGACTGGGTTTAAGTCAAATTTGGGGATGGAGGGGGGAATGAAACAAGAAATAACAGAGTCCTAACCTAATAGAAAGGGATTGTAAAAAGACCACTTTTCTCGAAGTTGGCGCTTGTTCAAGCTACATATGGTCACATAATCTTTTAAAAAGCACAATTCAAGTCTCAATTTAATTATGTAATAGCGTAAATGGAATTATACTACTGATGAAGTTTAGTGCTTCAGCTCAAGCACACACCCACTGGGTTGGCAGAGTGACTGTGACTCAGTTCACTCGGCCATCATAGCAGCCCAGGATGCCTGCCCTGCTCAATTTCCTTGAACTAAATCGCAGTGGCTGGGCTGGATGGGCTCCTCCACACTGATGGATCATCAATGCAAGGTTAGTAACTGTTTTACAGGAATACATTATGTGCTCTGTCTCTCTTCTTCACATTGTTTTGGGTAACAGGGATCAGCTCATGGAAACCCTTTCTCTTCTTCACATTGTTTTGGGTAACAGGGATCAGCTCATGGAAACCCTTTGGATCTTGTAGAAGAGATCCAGGGTGGATGGAGACTGGGTGAACTTCCTAACATTCTAGTCTTCCTGGGTGATGTAATTCTCTCATATCTATCTTGCAGCTTCCACGTGGCTAATCATCTGCAGGAACCCAAATGACCTTTAGATCAGGCCTCCTTCCTTCTATAGATGAAGCAACTAAAAATACAGATGAATACCTTTGGCCTGGGAAGCTAGGAAAAAGGAGTCGGAGCCTGGCTCTTTTGATTCCAGTCCTGATCATTGGGTTAACAGCGCCCGCCACTGTGCAGATGGCCAAGCTGGACCCCCTCCTTCTAGGGTAAAGTCAGCACATGCTTCCATCATGGCACATGCCACAGTAGACTTGGAGTTCTTCAAGGAATTGTATTTTATTCCCTCTGTACTCTCAACACCTAGAACAGGGCCTATCACCTATTTATAAATGAAACTATGACGTGAGAACAGTTTCTATACACGGACATCGAGGATCTTGAAGGCTTATGAATATTAGCTCAGAAAGACTTGTTTCTCAGATGAGAAAATAGAGATTCAACAAAATTAGATTATTTGTCCAGGGTCTCATGACCAATAAGTGGCAAAAGGGGATGTGGACCCAAGTTTGTCTCCAAAACCCAACCTCTTTGTATCATATCCAGAAATAATGTAAGATGGAGAGAATGGTAAGTTCTTGCAGGAATCATATTTGAGATTTGGAGAAGGGGTCACCATTGGCCAGGAAAATGCCTTGGCACAGCTACCTTTCAAGGATCTTAAATAACAGCTGAGCCCAAGAGCTTTCTCCCCTGCTGATTTTCCCATGGGAGTTGGCCCATAGCCCTACCTTTCTGCTATTAGACCTGAAAGCCACAACAGATTAGTCTCGGGAATTTCAGCAAAGGAAGAGAACATGGTGGCTTGGATAAGCAGCGAGCTTGCCAAAGTACTTTCAATAAGCCCCAAAGAGCTGTGCTAATGCAGGGCAGGCCACAGCTCATGAGCCACTTAGCAAATTGAGCTTCAGCCTTTCAGTGGTGGGGAAAGCCAACCATGGTTTCTGCAGAGAGCTCCCTGACAGAAAGCCACTTACTTGTTGGTAGCACTGATGTCCCCTACTTCCCAGCCTATCTTATTCTCTCTTCTCAAAATCACAGACTGCCCCTGAAAGTTGTGAAGCCAGTGTTTGATCACTCAGCCCCATTCTTGCTAAGTAGGTACTTATCACTCATTACACAACACCAACGTAACATTGTCTATGAAAAAACTAGATTTGTGGTGATATTTCTGGCCTTTGAGACTGACATCCTAAGACAGATGTTTTCTCACACTTGATAATTTGCTCCTATCAGACCTAAAACTTCTGGTCAAATGAACCAGGTAACGTACAGAGTAACTCTTTTTGTGTTTCATACTCTGTAACCTTAATTTTTTTTTTAACCCCTATGATTGTATTCACTTTCTGACTCTCGCAAAAAAAAAAAAAAAAAAAAAAAATCCTCCTAGGAATTAAAGATCTTCTCTTTTTTATTTTAAATAAGATAATAAGAGGTAATAACTCACTTCTCTTTTTGCTTGGATTGCCAGGAAGCTCAGAGCCAAAATTTGTTTTTAGTTGCAAACATTTTCCCTTGGATTAGCTCAAACCGCCATAATCATTACCCATCACCCTTGTATGTCTCAGCTTTGGTTTTTTTATGTTCTTTTACGTTTCTGTCCTTTTGGTCAGGGGCGGGGTTAAGCTACCTTCATTCCTTTTTTGCAAGGCAGAGGGGTATAAATAATTGAATCATTCTTAACCTCAATACACACTGCAGATAAACGTAGCCTTTCAAAAATGATCCTTCTCTTCACTCTGCCAGTCTCAAATTCCCACCGGCGCATACTTCATCTGCGCAGAGAAGCTCTGGCTGTTTCTGTACCTTCTATTTGGCCTGCAGCCTAGACCGCAGACACAGAAGCTGAGTTAGGGCCCCCTCCCTAAGTGCTAAGGAGGATCAATGTTATTGCCACTGGCAGCTCCCTGGCCCCTGCCGAAGCCTCCTTCCAACAGGTTATAGGCTCAAGATATTTTGATGGTTGTTATCACTTATTATGGTTGACATATAACCATCTGAGGATAGCATCTATTTTAATGTCTGAATTATTTTTTTCTAAAATTAATGGGCCACATCCTAAAACTCTCCCTGTTACAAAAGACAATTTGATTAATCACAAATAAAACCCCTCTGAGCATAAACGAATAAGGTTTGAGCCACTTCAAGTTATTTTTGCTCTCTGATAGAACCATTATCACATTTACAGCTTTTACAATGCCGAACCACATTCCTTTGATCATCTTATAAAATTAATTGATCTTGCTTATCTATTGTTCTATTTTAAATCATTTAATTGAGGATATTAAGAGAAGTAATGGTAACAACGAAAGCATTTATTAGTCACTGATGTTTAAACTTGCAGTGTGATTTCCATCATCTAAATTTCTCTATCACCAAACTCTATTCTTGTGGGAATTTACATATAGAGCACCTCCAGCCACAAATAATTTGCTATTGCTTAACGTCCTGAAGGACAGCCATACACTGTGGCAAATCACCGCAGTTATACTTAATTTTAATTATTCTTTTAAATCAGATAGATACCCTGCAGTGAAATTCTTATAATTAAATAGAAATTAAAAGTTTCTAAAAGCCTTAACTTCAAATTTAAATGCAAATGAATGCACCGGAATCAAAAAGATCCCCCTCTCCCCCACTCCAAAATTACAAGGGATTGTCTAAGACCTTAGACCAATCATGAAACTTTATTTTGGCACCAAAGAGATCCTTGGGGCCTAAATTTATTCCATTTTGCAACACCTGGCCAGTGCCACCTGCTAGATAACTCTGGAAGACCCTGTTTTTCCAAGTGACAGGTGTTTAAGATAATTATTTTGGTTTGGGTTCCCCTAGAAGTAGGCACCAAGATGAGGATTCATGTGCAGATTGTAGGGAAGTGGCCCCAGAAAACAGGATGGTAAATGGAGGAGTAAAACAGGGAAAGGAAAGTAGCCAATAAAGAGTGTTATCAAGCAAATCAAACTGGGGCTCAGCACTGGTGGGGAACACTGGGAGCAAGTATAGAATGCATACACTTCTTGGAACTGTCCTGTCCAAGAGGGGAGGGAGCTGGGGTATTTGTCCACCAACTTTCATCATTCATGAATGTGGGCTGCTTCCAAAGAGCATCATTTCCCTGCATGTGAGCCCAGTCAGTGCTGCAGCCTGAGAAAGACCCCAGGCAAAGGGATGCAGGAGCTTAGACTTCCTGAAGGCCCTGAAGTGACAAGGCCTGAGGGGCACCAACAGTGTCTGCTACAAAAATCTAGCCTAGATGTTTCAGACTAGCAGCTCACTGCCTGAATGCAGCATGTGGGTGTGTTTTATTTAACCCATGCAAAGTTTACTTTAAAAAAAATGGGAAAGTTTTGCCTAAGAATTGGGATTTCTGCATCCTCTTGAAAAATTTGACCTAACCAATCTAAGGTAGGAATGGGGTCTTTAAATCAAACCAACTAGCAAATATTTGGTGAGTAAGTTGTATGTGCCAAGTATTTTATTTACCTTGTAGTAAGTACGAAAGACCCTAAGATTAGGTCCTTTTCTTCCAGAAAGTGGCAGACCCTTTGTGGCAACAAAATTGTATCAAGGTCTTACCTGCAGCTCAGAGGGAGTATCGGATCCCAGAATTCTAGATAACTGTATGAAGCTTCATTCTCCATCTGCTCCCAAGACAAATCTGCCCTCCACATCTACCGACAGTCCGGCCCTGGTGATAGCAGCAAGCACTTATAGAGCACTATGGTGTTCCATGAACTCTTTTTTGTGTAGCGCATGCATTTAGATTCGTCGAATTTTCACAGCAACCTACAGGGTAGGAACTGTCTTTCACAAAAGGAAATTGATGCTCGGCAAAGGTAAGTGACCTGTCCAGGGTAACACAGTAAGAGGCAAAGTGGGATTTGAATGCAGACAGTCTGATTCCTGGGTTTCAGCCTCTAATGCTTAGAAAGCAGGTTTTCCAAATGCCCGCCAGGTGCAGTGCCAATGCCGAGCTCCTCCCTCTTGTCCCTGTTGTCCTCCGCTCATGCACTCCTGTGCTGTCCTGGCAATTCAGAACCCAGCTTCCTTCCTCCCTGAAGCCTCTTCCTAAAACTGTGGCCCACTCCAGTCTCAAAGTTCTGCTGAATTCTGCAACACTTTTCATTTGAACTCTGCAACCTGATACTGAGTCCCACATGGTGGATCATCTGTCACTGACAGGGGTTACAGTGTTGAGGGTGGGGGAAAAAACATGACAGGTACAACCGCAGCTGGCAAGGTCAAATTCTCATCCAAAAATAATAAAAATGGCATTAAACATATTTAAAAAAATTCAAATCAAAATTTTAGAAGGTATCTATTTCTGAAACAAATCAGCTTCTTTGCCATTAAAAAAACTCTCTGGAAGTTAACATTGGCTGTGACCTCAAGGTGCTCCAAGGAATGTTTGCCCTCTGATTTTGTGTCATAGATCCTTATGAAAGTTTTCAAGCTTGCTCTTACTGATTTGAAAATTTAATGTCACACATACCTGAAATCATGCTGGTTTTCTTTATCCTCAAAAAAATGATCAAAGTCCTTAAGGATACATTTTTCTACATTGTCTCAGACCCAAAACTCACATGGACAGAACTTAACAGACCTCTTCTCCTTACACAACAGCCTAGATCTCCCAGCAGAAAACTTGAAAGTCTTCAGGGGTGGGTGGGTCGTAAGAGTAAGTAAAATGAGTCAATTAAGGACTGGAACAAATTGGGGTGCACATGCCTCATCTCACGGGGACATCAGCTTCTCAGCTCCAGCCAGCTATTGCCCGACAGGAAAATGGGTGCCTTTCGATTATTGAGGGAAAGCCAGAAATTCATATTTTAATATAAAATCTCCCAGCTTTTAAATGTTGGTAACTAATTTAATTATATTTTAAATGGCCAAATTCACATGTGTGAGTTGCAAAAACCCAGCTGTGGGCCACCAGATTGTGGAGTGTGATCAGAAGGGTCAGGATAATCGCTTCATTGTTGTGTTGTTTAAGAGCAGGAACTTGTCCTGTATGAATGATGGCAGAGTTTAAAGTTTTGGAAACGACACATAAAACCAAGGCTGTAATTGCAGAGGGATTATGCTTTTTTTAATCGAGGTGTTCATAATTAGTTCTTGTGCATTACATCTTTTCCCTTTCCAATATTGTAAGCACCCAATGGCGTCTTGTGCCTGTCCAATGGGTGACAAAAATCTATAGGCATCTACTCTGTGCCAGCCACTGCTCTAGACACTGGAGAAATGACAGTTAACAAAAAGGCTGAAATTCTCTGCCTTCGTGGAACTCACCTCTTAATTGGGAAGATGACGTCCACCACACTTGGGATACAAAGATTCAAGGGAAGGCACTGAATATAGACACATGGAAAGAACGGATGTCCCTTGGTCTAAGCTCAATGTGGCCCAGCTCTGCCAGCTGCACAGCATGCTGTTCTTTCATGCATTAAAATCGAGACCCTCATAGTCATCTTTAGAACCGCATTTTCGCCTACATGTAGCTATAACCCAAGCTAGATTGAATATAAACTCCAGCACTTTTCTTGCTTCATCCCTGCCAGCTTTGATTGTTTCAGCGAAAACCATTTAGCAGACAAAATATCTCCCTTCCAAGAATGATCATCTCTTAACCTGTCCTTTCAGGCTGAAGTCACTGGGAGATACTGAAGGGCCGTGCATGTTATTTGACAAGTGTCACATCTGTTACAAAAGTGGAGATGCAACCTTACAGCATTGCATGGTGCCATTTTGAACCTGGCGTGCTGGCAAGGTGCCATTAGAGGGTGACAGGAAACCTGATAGCTCAGAGCTGAAACACAAGATACAAAGTAGTTATTTGCTGTGATTATGATCATAACCCTAACATCAGACTCACACACTCATTTTGCTCCAGACATGTGCACATGCGGTGCAGGAATTTCTGAGCTGCTCTGTGGCTGACAGAACTAAGACATTTCAACAACATATAGCATTTCAGAGTGAGCCTTCCCCTCACCCCAACTCCCATCCTTGCAGAAATAACACAAACTCATGGACCCACACGATAGATCAGGGACAGGAAGCCAAGGAGCAGTGTCCTTACTAAAAGGAATTCAATAAATTGTTGGTAAAAGCAAGTCTTCCTTTCTCACATACATAAGTGGACATAGTGCTGGAGTAGAATTAAAAATCTGGGTTCCAGTTTTAGCTCCAACTAAGTTGCATTAACAGAAGGTAGTTTTATTAGTTGCGCCGTGTTGGTTTTTTCCCGAGTTGCCACAGGGCTGCCCATGTGTTATTCTCTCTGCAGAATACTGCGGGAGCCCTTGCCGCGAGAAGAAGCTTAGTAAACATCTGCGTTGAGAGGCTTATTTTATCGATTAGTGGACAGAGGCCCAGCAAAGCTAAGCGCCTTCCTCAAAGCCACACATCAAGCATCTCCTCGGTGCCAGGCGGTGCCCTAAGTAGTGGAACTCACAGATGACTGAGACCAGGGTCTAGGGAGGAAGCATGGCACTTCACTACTACACGGATCAGAGCAATGGGTAAGGTGCTGGGGAAGCTACAGCTGAGTGACACCAACTCCAGGACACTGATCACAGATCCAGTCCTCCCTGCCTGCACCAGAATCCCATTCTCCTTTTAAAATAATGACTTACTGTTACTTGAAGAGCCATTTAGATTCACTAATCTATCTAACATCAACACTGGAGAAAATACAGAGTGTGTATAGATTCTTGGGATTTAGGGCGCATCAGTCAGGAGTTTATTGATTGTGAGTGACAGAAAACACAACTGTAACTGCTTAGCAAAAATAATTATTTTAAAATGTATTCTTATAAATAAAAAATTAAGATATCTGCCTTCAGGCATGGCTTGATCCAAGGGCTTTAACATCATCATCAGGACTCAGTTTCTCACCACCTCTGCATTCTGCTTCACTCTGTTGGCTTTATTCTCAGACAGCCTTTCTCTGTGGTCACCCCTGGTAGCTCCAGACTCACTCCGCCTAGCTCCACGTCCCACAGAAATAGAGTGTTTCTCTTCCTCATGAGCGTAAACAAAATTCCTATGCTTGACTCTCATTGGCCCAAATTGAGTCACATGTTTATCTCTGAACCAATCACTGTGGCCAGAAGGATGGGATTATCTGATTGGCCCAACCAAAACACAGGTGAGGGTGGAGTCAACACCACCCAAACTACTTGACTTTGATATGAGAGGTAGTTAACCCTGAAGGAAAATTGAGAGGATTGTCAGATGGATGATTAAGTGAAAGAAACAAAAGCTAACTACCAAAGGAGGTCAGACCTTGGAGAGAAAGCTGGGAGTGTGGGGAACCCCCAGATTGGTGGTAGAACTGGAGAAAGGTGAAGAGGAAGTTTCCAAAACCTCTTGTAGTTCATTCAGGGAAACGTGTGTAATGTTAATTCCAAAGAATTAACCAGATTTAGCAATTTCCTGAATTTGTATTCTGAAAAACGATGCCAGCCAAACACCAGGCACTTTCAAATTTGCTTCCTATTGCTAGCATGCTGACAAATTGCCAATATACATGCAGCAGGCGTTGTTAAGCCCCTCACATATTTATGCTGACTTCACGGGAGCAATAGATTCCACGGCGGAGACACTCTTGCATATTTATTGGAAAGGTGCTCCGCAAGGCATGCTAGATGTTGGCTTACTGCCTCTCCATCTCTATTTCCAGGCGTCGTTAGTATTGATTTGAATAAAATCATAATTGCAACAGAAGCCTTTGTGACTTAACTAGAAGCAATACACTCTACAGTATTCGACGTACCATTTGATGTCATTCTAGACTGTTCTTGACTCCAGGTGACTGATAATGTTCTAGATTGCTTTACTTTCTCCCCTTGCAGATGCCAGATGGAATGACACAGATTAAGAGGTCAGGAGTGATCAGTGTTTACAGCTGAACAGAAGGTGGGAGCACACGCTACATCAGGCCCACGTTTGCTTGTAGAATTTTAACCCCTTTGCAGCCATTTCTTTCATATAACCAGGGAGAAGACGGGGGTGGCCCTTATTCTCAGTTCCTCCTATTGTAGAGAAAAAAGGTGGAGGAGTGGGAGTAGGAGAAAATCCAGAGTCCAACTGTGTGAGAGCATGTTTCAGTTTCACAGTTTCCCACAAGGCTTGACAAAATCAACAGCATTTGGGCATGAATCACCCTGCCATCAGCCCCCAGAGCTGGGTCTTCTGATGGATTCATCCTTCCCCAAACAAAGACATACACTGTTCTCTGGTTCTAAAGATGATGGACTGTTCATGGGGCACGAGTCTGGGCATGTATCCCCAGGCTTGGAAAATCTGTTTTCCCTGACTGTGGGCCCCTCATGACCAACCACATGGGTCTATGAGAAGTCTGGCCAGGGCAGGGCATGTGGAGTTTGAGTGTGAGAGTGACTGGGTGAGGAAAGGACAGAACCCATGATTCTGGTTCCTCCCCAGAAGTGGCCAAGGAAAGGGAGACCAGGATCCTTCAGTGTTCCCCATGTGCAGGCATGGATGGCAGGGAACAGGACACAGACCAGGAGTTACAAACAGAAAAAAAAAAAGAAAGAAAAGAGGTTGTTTACCAATGAGACAGCAGGGGGATGGTCATGTGCAACATTTTCTAGATAGTCAAAGCTACCCCAAAACCAAAAGTTAGTTATCTAGATGGACTTATTCACCACTTACATGTATAAACTTCCCAGGGGTACAGTTGGAGAAGAAATGCCTCTTCTGAAGGTGTGAATTTCCCGGGCATTTCTGTCCTTCCCTTTCGACAGTGAACCGGGGTTTCCTGAATGCAGGTCTGAGCTCCGTTTGGATCTGCACCTCCTCTCCCACCTCTCCCTGACACCAGCTTCACATCCTGAAGTTTAAACAAGGAGACAGCATTACACGCACTCCAGCAGCTTCATAGAGGGGCTTTTGGACCTGGCCTTGAATAAGAGATACAAGTAGATATTCCTTCAACCAGTTGTCTGGGAAGACACCCTCTATCCTGGGAGAGGAACTATTTAGATTCAGATGTCCTCAAATAGCTCTTGTCTCGTCTAGAGGATGACAGATGTGTAATACTATGAGAACAATTCACCTAGGTTCTAATAATAGTGCTATTTTTCAGAAGAAGACAGTGACAGTGGGGTCCTGAGAGAGAGAGATAGGCCTAAGTTGGGAGGAAGGAAGTGGTGGCAGAAAAGGTATGCATTGGTCCTTGAGACACTTGACAAATGAGGATGGCACAGGCTCACACAGCATTTTCCTCTGCCAGGAGCTGGTCCACGTGCTTCACATCTGATATGGTTTGGCTGTGTCCCCACCCAAATCTCATCTTGAATTGTAGCTCCCACAATGCCCATGTGTTGTGGGAGGAACCTCGTGGGAGGTAATTGGATCATGGGGGGACGAGTCTTTCCCTTGCTATTCTCTTGATGGTGAATAAGTCTCATGAGATCTGATGGTTCTATAAATGGGAGTTTCCCTGCATAAAGTTCTATTCTCTTGTCTGCTGCCAAGTGAGATGATCCTTTCTCCTTCCACCATGATTGTGAGGCCTCCCCAGCCACGTAGAACTGTGAGTCCATTCAACCTCTTTGTTTTGTAAATTGCCCAGTCTTGAGTATGTCTTTATGAGCAGCGTGAAATGGACAAATACAGCATCCATGACATCCTTTCATCTTTACAAGTCCATGAGGCAGGCACAGCTATTGTCCTAGATGAGGAAACTGAGGCACAGAGACAAGGCCAGGATGAGGGTGCAGCCCTAGAGTGAGTGCCTCCTTATATTCTGCACTCGAGTCCTAGCCAGCGCTGAGTGGTCAAGTCACTTGCTGAAGGTGACACAGCTAGTAAGTGGCAGAGCTGGGATCTGGAGCAAGGCAGTCTGGCTCCAGAGTCAGAGCACATAACCGAACCCTCCTGCTCCTTCACAAATGCTTATGCAGCTCCCACTGGGAACTAGGCCCCGCTGGAAGCTCTGGGTAGAATGGTGGGAAACAGATGCTGTCCCTGCCTATAGTAGAGAGGTTTACAAAAAAAGCAAATGTAACACTACAGCTGTGATAAACACTGCAAAGGCAAAGTTCATGGTGCTATGAGGATAAGAGGCTCTGATCAGTCCAGATGAGGGCAGGGGTCAGAAGAGCAAGGACAGCTTCCCTGATTGACAACCAGGCAGAGATCAGAAGCCTGAGTAGGAGTTCATTAGATGAAGGAAGGAATAGAGTGTTGCAAGTGAAGGGAATAGCACGTGCAAAGTCCCCCTGGCAGGAGGGAGCATGGCCCCTCCTGTGGCTGCAGAGGAGGAATGAATGAGTGGACACATGAAGAGGTGGGGCCAGGCGCAACCTTGAAGATTATAGCAAAGAGTTTGGTGTTTATCCTGAGGGCAATAGGGATGGGCTGGGAGGAGCTCCAGTAAAACAAACAAATTAACTAACAGATGCAGAATCCTTGTGTTTGGGAATCTGTAATTTGTCAAGGCTAGGACAGAGTGGGTTCCTTAAGTGAGGCCAGAAGGGTGGAGATTTGGGAGAGTCAAGGATTCTCAGGAGGGTATGCTCTGCCTGGCAGGCTTGGGTAACTCCCAGGTAAGGTGAAACAGGGAAGGATTTGGCCAGCTTTGCAACAGAGTGAAGAAGAATGGAGAGAGAGGAACTGGAATCAGGGAGATGGGTGAGGAAGTTGTTGCAAGGTGGAAGAGTTGTCAAAAAGCTAAGGGTGTGGCACAAAATAAAGAGACATTGAGGGGGCACAACAGCAGAGACATACAGCCACCAACTGGAGGTGGAGGATGAGGATGGCAATAACAACAGCTCTCCAACACTTTTTCAGTTTAGCCATTCTGGTGGGTGTTCGTGCAATCTCATTGTGGTTTTAATTTGTATTTCACTGATGAATAATAGTATCAAGCACCTTTCCATATTCTTACTGGGCATTCATATGTCTTCTGTGAAGTTCCAGCTCAAATCTTTTGGCTATTTTTGTATTATTTTGCCCATTAAAAAATAGGGTTGTTTGTATTTTTATTATTGATTTACAGGTGTTCTTTATATATTGTGGATATAAATGTACAATTTGTAAATATTTTCTCCCAGTCTGTGTTTGGCTTTTTAATTTTCACAACAGTTTCTTTCAATGAGAAGATTTTTTAATCTTGATGAAGTTCATTTTATCAATATCTTCTCTGTTCTTATTAGTTCTTTTTGCCTCCTGTCTCACAAATCTTGACCTCTCCCAAGATAATAAAAATATTATCTTCTTTCTGGCTTCTTGAAGAAGCCTTATGGTTTATTTTTATAAACTGTATTTTTATAAACCAGTCCCTGTTGACATTCTGGGGTGCCAGGACAATAAGTGATTGGAAAGATTTGAGCATTTATTTCTCTTTTTGAATACCAGCTCTTGTCCTGCCTCCATCCACCACATAGTCAAGGACCTCGTTAACACTTGCTTTCTAATTCCTGACACTAGTAATCTGTTCAGTAATCAGGTAAGCACATTGCTCAACCTTCCAGGCTTCCAGAGGGAAGAAGCAGACATCCTGCCTCCCAGAGAGAAAGCGTGTGTGCATTTTTGGTTTGTGTTTAATCACTTATGGCACAGAGTCTGGTGCTGGTAAAATCTTACTTGCATTATCTTTATAAAATATTTAGTCTTTTAATTATGTGAACTGCCAAGATTCTGGTGCATGCTTTAGTCATTTCCCAATTGAGCCTTCAGTACAATCTCTCGGACGGCCTCTTCTGAGCATCTATCACATGCTTACAATCTCTCCAAACCCATGGATCATATTTAAATGCTTTCCATATCCCATAATTCTCCTTTTACTGCTCTATTCAGTTAATTACACTTGCTCCCTGTTCATCTGAGACATACAGTTTAGGGCTGGGATTTGGAGACAAGGAAAAAAATAAAAAACAAACTTCATAACAAAAATTCCTGCACATTTGAGAAGTTTAATCCAGGTTTGTGTTCCAGCTTGCACTTTGAATTCTTTCCCTAACCACCTCTAAGTAATTCCATCTGCCTCTGGGTTGGTTCCTATCTCTAAACCTACTGGTAGAAATCCCTTTGTATAAGGATCACCTTCAGGATTTTGTTGAAGATGTCTTCATATTTAATATGTTTCTAACACATCATCATCATCGCACTCATTCATGTCAGTGCCAGCAGGCCGTATCACTCAATTTTCTGCAAAGAGTTGAGAATGAAAAAACCTGCACAGTATAGCCAGCTGGTGGGTAGTGATGCTATTTTTTTAAAAAACAGTAAAAATAAAAAGCATTTGTAAATTGTGTGTGTGTGTGTGTATGTGTGTCTGTAATTGGGTATAATAGCTAAAGTCATGACTATAATGCTATTATGATAAGCCTAACACTGATGAGATAGAAGCAGGAAAGATTTATCCAGTGCTGGCCAACAGAAGAGAAACTTGCTATTTCATAACAGTGAAATAAAACTTAATGCAAAAGCTTTATCAAAAGCTTGATACAAATTCCAGCTGTGAAGGCAGGCAAAAGACAGAAAGCAGATGTTTCTCCTGTGGTCTCCAAGGCCTGTGTGATCAGCTCCTGGCTTTCCCTCTGGCCTCATCTCCCCCACTGCTCCTTCGTGCCCTCTGCTTTAACCACACCAGCCTCCCCACTGTTCTTCAGACACACCATGGGTATTGCTACCACAGGGCCTTTGCACTTGCACTTTCCTCTCCTGGGAATGCTTTTCCTGGACTTAGCTCCCCTACTTCCTTATGCCTGGATTCCAAAAGTCACCTTCTCAATGAGATCTTCTTTGGTCCTTTATCTAAAATTTCAAAACCACCTCTCCAAAGCATCATGAACATTCTACTTCTCCACCTTATTTTCTTGGCCTGAGCACTTGTGGCCATCAAGTATGCTATCTATTTAATTTATTTTTTTCTTATCATTTGCCTTCTACTAAAATGAAGCTCCATGAGAGAAGGGATTTTTCTTTTATTTTGCTGAGTGCCGTATTTCCAGTGCTGACATACAGCTGATTCTCAAAAGACATGAGTTAAATGAATAAACAAGTAAAATCACAAAAATGGGTAATTCTCAAAGCACAGAAACAGTGTAGCACATACCTGTGGAAGAACTGTTAATGTAAATATGGAAACTGAGGAACATCAAAGAAAGCAAAGTTGCTAAGACAAGCTCTGCTAGTTGCCAACTCATTATTCCATAATCTCTTCTTCTTTTCCATAGAGCTCTGACTGGGGGAAAGCCAACATGGCAGCCAATCAAAAACTCCATTTCCCAGCCTCCCTTGCCTGTAGGAGTGTTCTCATAACTAAGTTCTAGAAATAAGAGGACATTGTTGACTGAGGTTTCTAAGAAAGTGCCTTAAAAAGTTTACTGACTCAGCTGATGGGGGCCTTTTTGCCCTCTCTCCTTCCTCTTGTTTCTTTCTTTCCTAAAACACAGATGTGATGGTGGGTGCAGCAGGAGTCACCTTGTGATTCTGAGGTAACCTTGAAGATAGACATGGCAGCCAGAGATGGTGAAAGGGAAGGATAGAGTCTGGGGATGGGGTATGGCCATTGCATCACCAATGGGCAACTTTCCTCAAGACTTCATTTTATGAGAGAAAAACGAACCCCTGGCTGGTCAAAGTTGTTATTTGGAGTTGCAGTACTAATAGTTGAATGCAGTTACTAACAGTTACTAACTCAAATTGTTGGACACCATCAAAGCACCTGCTTTGCTTTCTTTGAGCACCCAGTGGTCATCCTGGGATGCTCTCGACATGGGCCATGCTTCAGAAAACTATGTTGTTCCCTGATTGTGAAGCATTTTCCACTCAGCGCTCCACTATTATAATGTCTTTGTTTCATGGCCATCCTACTACAATGGAGCTACATCAGATTCACCCAAATTTCAAAAAACACAGTCATTACGCAAACCCGGGCTTGTGTTGAAAGGACAGAATCCCATAATCATCAATGATGACTCCAAAGTAGCTCTCATTTCCCAAGACATGGCCTAATCAAAGGGTGCTTGAAGCAAATCACACTAATAGTAACTTAACATCATTTGAATATTTGCAAATCAGCCGCTTTCCTCTAAATTCAGAAGTTTTGGGCTGGGCACGGTGGCTCACACCTGTAATCCCAGCACTTTGGGGAATGAAGGTGGGCACAGTGCTTGAGCACAGGAGTTTGAGACCAGCCTGGGCAACAGAATGAAACCCTGCCTCTACAAAAAAAAAAAATATATATATATATATATATATATACACACACATATATATATGTACATATATATACATATATATACATATATATATACATATACATATATGTGTGTGTGTATATATATATATATATATATACTCACACAAAAATTATCTGGGCGTGGTGGCACGTGCCTGTAGTCCCAGCTACTCAGGAGGCTGAAGCAGGAGGATTGCTTGAGCCCAGGAGATGGAGGCTGCAGTGAGCAGTGATCGTGCCAGTGCATTCCAGCTTGGGAGTTAAAAAAACAGTAAAAATAAAAAGCATTTGTAAAAATGTAAAAAATATTAAAAAAACAATGTAAAAAAATGTAAAAAACAAATTTGTAAAAAAAAAAAAGACATCTCGGACTACACGTTTCAGAGGAAACTAAACATTAGTCTAGCACCCACAATCACATGTATTTCTGGGAACTGCTCCCTGCCTCTAACCACCTCCATCCACATTGTTAGGTGGATAGCATGGTCTTAGTAAATGTAACAGATGATTGGTCCAAGCTGAAGCAGCTGACCCAATGTGGGCCAATCAGAACCCTGTCCTAGGATTTTAGAAATGGAACTGTGGTCTCTCGCAGGATGGTGGAAACTGAACATATATACATTTGGGAGCTTTTGTTGGTGATATCTTACCACTCAGACTGAGAAACAGAAATCCAGAACACAGAGACAAAAAGATATTGAAGCAGAAAGACATAAAACGTGTGTGTGTTGGTGAGAGGATAGAGAGAGGGGAAGACAGATGATAGATAGATAGATTAGATAGATAGATAGATAGATAGATAGATAGATGACAGATAGATAGATGACAGATAGATAGATTTGCATTTCCCTGATAATTAGTGATGTTGAGCATTTTTTCATATGTTTGTTGGTCTTTTGTATGTCTTCCTTTGAGAAATGTCTTTTCATATCCTTTACCCACTTTTTGATGGGATTATCTGTATTTTTCTTGCTGATTTGTTTGAATTCCTTGTAGGTTCTGGATGTTAGTCCTTTGTCAAATGCATTGTTTGTGGATATTTTCCCCCATTCTATGGGTTGTCATTTTACTCTGCTGATTACTTCTTTTGCTGTACAGATGCTTTATAGTTTAATTAGGTCTCATTTATTTTTGTTTTGTTTTTGTTGCATTTGCTTTTGGGTTCTTGATCATGAATTCTTTGCTTAAGCCAATATCTAGAAGAGTTCTCGATGTTATCTTCTAGAGTTTTTATGGTTTCAGGTCTTAGATTTAAGTCTTTGATCCATCTTGAGTTGATTTTTGTATAAGATGAGAAGTGAGGATCCAGTTTCATCCTTCTACATGTGGCTTGCCAATTATGCCAGCACCATTTATTGAATAGGGTATCCTTTCCCCACTTTATGTTTTTGTTTGCTTTGTCAAAGGTCAGTTGGCTGTAAGTATTTGGCTTTATTTCTGGGTCCTCCATTCTGTTCCATTAGTTTATGTGCCTATTTTTATACCAGTACCATGCTGTTTTGGTAATTATAGCCCTGTAAAATTTGAAGTCGGGTAATGTGATGCCTCCAGATTTTTTTTTTTTTTTTTTTTTTTTTTTGCTTAGTCTTGGTTTGGCTATGTGGGCTCTTTTTTGATTCCTTATGAATTTTAGGATTTTTTTCTAGTTCTGTGAAGAATGATGATGGTATTTTGATGGGAATTGCATTGAATTTGTAGATTGCTTTTGGCAATATAGTCATTTTCACAATATTAACTCTACCCATCTATGAGCATGGGATGTGTTTCCATTTGTTTGTGTCATCGATGATTTCTTTCAGTAGTGTTTTATAGTTTTCCTTGTAAAGATCTTTCACCTCCTTGGTTAAGTATATTACTAAGTATTTTATTTTATTTTTGCAGCTGTTATATAAAGGGGATTGAGTTCTTGATTTGATTCTCAGCTTGGGGGTTGTTGGTGTATAGCAGAGCTACTGATTTGTCTACATTGATTTTGTATCCTGAAACTTTACTGAATTTATTTATCAGATCTAGACGCTTTGTGGATGAGTCTTTAGGGTTCCTCTAAGTCTCTCTGTTTCACATAATCTAGTTGGAGTCCATTTCTGTAATTTGCAGCCAAAACTTAACTACCTTTAATTAATAAACCATTAAATAATCTTTGGGAATTTGAGGAATAGTCAGTGATTTGTGTGTAGTTTCTTAAAATGATACAGCCATATATACATGTATATATGTATATGTGTATATATGTGTGTGTGTGTGTATATATATATAAAAAACATATTGGTATTTTTCATTGAATCACATTTCACTGAGCACCTACTATGGTCCCTATGGTGGGGATGAGGAAGACATATTCGCTGATCTCAAGGAGTTCATATTTCTAGCAGCAAAAACGGATATGTGCTCACCTAGCAGGTTATGATGACATTTAACCCCCATCCACTCAGTGAGATAGAAATGATTTTCACATGTAAGTAAAATAAAACTAAAATCGATAGTGGTTGGCAATGCTCTCAGGATCATGCAACCATTAATCAGCAGACTACTGGAACTCCTACTCAGATTGGCCTTACACCAAGGCCATTATTCTAATCATCACACAGTATTGTAAACAACCTATAGCATACCTCTGATAATGGACCCAGTTTTGAAAAATCACTGAAGAACCTATGGGCAAAATGGTTCATCCTGTCTAATAGGAGAGTTTCTCCCCTCTGCTACATCTGACTCTGTCTCCAAGGCTGTAAATCCCACTCCTGACCCTACACTGTTCCAGAAAACATCCCCCGTAAGCATCCAGCCTTCCCCTCACATACCCAACGTGCCATAGCTATCCCTCCTGACTGCTTTGAACAGACTCAGGTCTTGTCCATCTTCACAACCTCTCCTGCCACACTACTTCCCATCTCACTCTCTTGCTTCACCTTCACAGTCAAACTCAAAAGATTTGTCTGGACTTAATGTCTTCCTTTCTTTACCTTCAACTGTCTCATTACACACTGCAAACAGATTTCTGTATCCATCACTCTACCAAAATAACTTTGGTCGACATCACCAATGACCTCTGTGTTATTACATAGTATGAAGCCTATCCAGTACTCTTCTCTCTTGACCACTCCAGGGCCAACCCCCTCCCACTTGAGATCGATCCTTCCTTCCTTCCTTCCTTCCTTCCTTCCTTCCTTCCTTCCTTCCTTCCTTCCCCCTCTCTCTCTCTCTTTCTTTCTTTCTTAAATAAAATCCATTGAGGTAAAGTTTACATAGCATAAAACTAACCACTTACAGTGACTCAAAGGCATTTAGTACATTCACAATCTCATGCAACTACTATCTCTATCTTGTTCGAAAACATTTCCATCACTCAGTCCAAAGCAAAATCCTCTACCCATTTAACAGTTTATCCCCATTTTCCATTCTTCCCAACTCCTGGCAACCAACCACCAATTCATACTGTGTCTCTATGGATCTATCTTTTCTGAATATTTAATATAAATGGAACCTTACAATAGGTAAACTTTATGTCAGGCTTCTTTCACTTAGCAGAAGGTTTAGATGTTCATTTATGTTGTGGTATGCATTTGTACTTCATTCCTTTTTGTGGCTAAATAATATTTCACTTATGGATATATTACAGTTTGTTTATCCATTTATCTTTTGATAGATATTTGGGCTCTTTCCTTTTTTTTTCTAGTAATTATGAATAGTGTTTCTATGAACATACATGTACATGTACTTGTTTAAATACCCATTTCCAGTTTTTTTGAGTTACCTAAAAGTAGATTGTGGGGTCATATAAGAATTCTCTGTTTAACTTTTTGAGAGACTACCTGTTCTTCACAGGGGCTGAAAAACTTCACATTCTTGCTGGCAATGTATAAGAGTTCCAGTTTCTCCACATTCTCATCAACACTTATTAATTATTGTTTAAAAAGTATCACCATTCTAGTGGGTGTGAAGTTGTACCTCATTGTGGTTTTGATTTGCATTTCCTTCATGACTAATTAGTCATTCCCTAATTTCCCTAATGACTGATGATGTTGAGCATCTTTACATGTGCTTATTGGCCATTTGAATATCTTCTCAAGAGATAGACCTATCATGTTCTTTGTCCATTTTTAACTACATCATTTGCCTTTTTGCTGCTATGAGTTCTTTATATATTCTGGATACTAGATCCTTATTAGATATAGGATATGCAAACATTTTCTCCCATTCTGCAGGCTGTCTTTTCCCTTTCTTGATTATGTTTTTTGATACACTAAAATGTTTAACTTTGTTGAAGTTCAATTATGTTGCTGCCTCTGCTTTTGATGTCATGTCTAAGAATTCAAAGCTAAACCCAAGCCCATAAAGTTTTACTCCTATGCTCTCTTCTAAGACTTTTAGGGTTTTAGTTCTTATATTTAGGTTGTTGATCACTTTTGAGTTAATTTGCCTATATCATGTGAAGTGAAGTTTAAACTTAATTCTTTTTTGGGCAAATATCAAATTGTCCCAGCATCGTTTGTTAAAGAGAGAAGTATTTCCCCATTGAATAGTCTTGGCATCCTTGTCAAAAATCAATCGGCCATAAATGTCATTGAGATACTTTCTTGCATTGGCTTTGGTGACTTACTACTCACTCTGGCCACTCTTTCTATTCCCTTTGTAGGCTCAACACCCTCTACCCAGCCATTAAGGCTCAGTCTTGCATATATTACCTTTATCATTTCATTCTTGCTCTCTACACAAAGTCTACCTTTAACTACCATCTATTTGCTGACGAGTCATAAGTGTAGATTTCTAGCTCAGTCTTCTCCCCAGAGCTTCAGATCTGAATATTCAGCTGCCTACCTGCAAGTGTCCACTTGGATATCACAAAGGCGTCTAAAAATTCCCATGTCTAAAGCCAAACTATGGATCTTTCCCCCAAACTTGGCTCTCTTCTGATGTTCTTATCTGAATGAGTTACACCATCAGTTCTGTTATCCAAGCCAATAACCTGGGATTCAGTCTTTTTTTCTAACCTCTCATGACTAATCTACCAGTAAGTGCTGTGAATTGTGTATCTTAGCTCTCTCTCAAATCCATCTACTTCTCTCTCTCCACCAGCACCTCTCTCCCCTAAGCTACCTTTATTTCTCCCATGACCTCTTGAAGTAACCTTCTCTTTTGTCTACTCTCATCCCTTCTTGCCTCTTTCAAACTCTTCTCCATAATTGTAACCAGAGCAACCATTTTGAAAAACAAATATATCAACTGTTCTCAAAAGAGTTCTTAAAACTCTTCCCATTCTTCCTAGACTAAAGATGGAAGTGATTAGCATGGACTAGCGGACCCTGATAGTTTGGCCTTAGTCTCCTCACTGACCTCCTCCCCTCCAGTCCTCCTTTTGCTCTCTACACTTTAGCCACATTGTCCTTCTTCCAGTAACGCAAATGCACGATGCTGCCTCCAGTCACGTGGCTTTTAAACATGCTGTTCTTTCTGCCTGAAACACCTTTTTCATCCCATTGCCACAGTCCCTTAGTTAATGCTTATTTCTCCTTCAGTCCACTCTCACTTCCCTAGGGAAGGTTTCTCTGATCTCTCCAGCAAAGTCAATTCTCATAGGCCTTGTCACAATTATACTTTTATTTCTGGAAGTCTCTCTACTAGAGGATAAACTCCATTAGGGACGAAACCATGCTTGCTTTTGTTCACCATCGTATCATCAGCCTGGCACATAGTAGTTACTCAGTAAATATTTGCTGATTGACATATTGAATGAAATATTTATTAAAGAATAAACGAACATGGGAACAAAAGAGGTAAGTTCCATAAAGTTTATTTCAAAGTGTACTCCTAGAGGCAATTGTGAGAGTCATCATGAAGCACCTTGTACAACTGATCCTTGAGCAAAGTGGGGGTCAGGGTGCTGACTCCTCACGCAGTCAAAAATCCATGTATAACTTTTGACTCTTCTAAAACTTGACTAACAGCCTACTACTGACCTGAGCCTTACCTATAACATAAATAGCCAGAAAGAACAATATTAAGAAAATCATAATGAAAAGAAAAAAATACTTATGCTCATTAAGTGAAAGTGGATCATCACAGGTCTTCATCCTCATCATCTTCATGCCAAGTAGGCTGAGGGAGAGAAAGAAGAGGAGGGGTTGATCTTGTCTTAGGACTAGTAGAGGCAGAAGAAAATCCATGTGGAGGTGGAACTGCACAGTTTAAACCTGTGTTGTTTGAGGGTCAACTGTATTTCTATCTACTAATATCAAATGTTTTAAAATGAATTTTCCTAAATATAATTTGATATATGTCCTTTTAAAAGTGAGTTACCGTTCAATTTACTATAACAATACAAATTTGAAATACATACAGATAGGCTGGGCTTGGTGGCTCATGCCAGCAATCCTAGCACTTTGGGATTGCCTGAGGCAGGCAGATTGTCTTAGCTCAGGAGTTCGAGACCAACCTGGCCAACATGGTGAAACCCCGTCTCTACTAAAAATACAAGAATTAGCCTGGCATGGCGGTGGGCACCTGTAATCCCAGCTACTCGGGAGGCTGAGACAGGATAATCACTTGAACCTGGGAGACAGAGGTTGCAGTGAGCCAAGATCACATCAGTGCACTCCAGAGCCTAGGTGACAGAGTGAGCCTCTGTCTGAAAAAAAAAAAAATAATGAAAGAAATACAGCTAAACTTAATAGGAAAATTTAATGACTATGTGAAAACAATCATAAACATTGAGGATCACAATTTTTAAAAATAAATGAGGTGACATACCATGTCCATGGATTAGAAAGTTAATATTGGAAAAATGTTACTACTTCCCAATTATAAGTTGAATTCAATTCTGATCAAATTAATTTATGAATTTGCATAATCAAAAAATTATTGGTTAAGTACTAAGTGTTTATTGGTAAGCATTAAATGACAGGGAAGGTTTAAAATTCATCTGAAAATCAAATAGGCAAGACTATTGAAGATATTGTGAAAAAGAAGAATAAAGAATAATGAGATGACAGATACAAAAACATAAAACTGAAATTATTAAACCACTGTGTTACTGACACAAGAACAGACAGATCGGTGGAACAGAATATAGATTATAGAATTTCAAATCCTTGGGAAAATGAATGCAATAAGCAGCTTTAGGACAATCAGTTGGCCATTTGGAAAAATTGATTTTTATTTCTATCTTATAACATATAAAAATAATTCTAAATAAACACAGATGACATGAAAAAAATGAAAAGATAAATACTTGAGTAGAATATTAAATAGATATCAGTTTTCATGGTGGAAAGGAAGTTTCCAAGCCTACATGCAAATGAAAATACCATGAAGGACTTGAGTGGTAAATGTGTGTGCATAACAATAAAAGAAACATTATGATATTTTTAAAATAATTAAAATCAAAAGATAGCTGTCAAAGTAGGTGAATGCAAAATATCTTATATACAAAAGGTTAATAACTTTAAACTATAAACAGTGTTTACAAATCAGTGAGCAAAAATGAAACCCTTCTAAACAAACAGTCAAAAAATCGAAACGGCCAATTCACAAGAGAATACCAACAACCAATTAGCTAATGATAAATGTTTAATATCACTAATAATTTAAAAAGACAAATTGAAACAATTAATCACTATTTTCCTCTTATCAAATTCAAAGGGTCAGCAAGAAAGAAAAAAATATAATAGACACTTTGAAATACTGCTGGTAGAAAATTAAATGGATGTATTCTTCCTATAGTGTAATTTTGCAAAATATTTCAATCAATAGTCTTGAATATATTCTCTACTTCGAACTAGTCACTTTATTTCTAGGAATTTTCTTCAGCCTAATAAAATGGTCTGAGATGTACACAAATGTGTATATGTAAGGATCTTTATTACAATGTTTCCTGTAATAATAGCCACAAATTGAAAACAACAAGCAGGTTTTGACATGTCTAAATGCATTAGGTAAGCATATGTGATGGAATGCTAGCAGCCCTTGAATATGCTTTTAGTTAATAAAATGGAGAAATGCACACAATATAATATAGTGAAAGGAAGAGAGGGACAGATAAATATACAGGATTACAGTGTGGAAAGAAATACAAAATGTCATCACTAATTTTTCCTGAAAGGTTAGCTTATAGATGCCTTTTATTTATTTGATATTTTTTCTAGCATGCTCTTAATTATCTCCCAAAAATAGAGTATTTTTGTTTATTTTTTCTTTAAAATTTTCAACATAAATGCATTATCATTGTAAAGTAATTCAGTAATGGGTTAATTTATGGAGCCCCTCTTCTATTCACCTCCACAGAAGTAATTACAGTTCAAGGTTAGTATATATCCTTCTAGACATTTTTCTATGTATTTACATATATGAATGTACATAACTATTTTTATCATCAGAAAAAGAAAGCTATTTAATATAAAACAAAAAGAATTAAGGGAAGAAAAGGAAAGTTGGCCAGATATTTTAGCAAATTATCCAATAACTGAAACATACGCAGTGAAGTTGTTGCCTTTATTTCAAAATCATTTACCTCACCTTTTAATGACTCGAAAAAAGTCTTATGGGAAAAATTCTAAATTTGGGGTGGTGGGCAAGATAAATTAATGACGAGCTGAAATAAATGAAAAGTAAGCTCTCTTCCGGCCTTTCCTTTATATTAGAAAATGTTAACAACACACCAATTGATGATATTTCATTAAAATTTTTAAGTATGTATGGTTTGGAGGGTAAAAGCAATGTTTGCAATACAAATAAACACAAGGGAAAAAAATACCCTAGCAAAATAAGAGAGCAGACTAACCCACGTTGAGTATCTCTGCCGCCAAGACAAGCTTCTGTTTGTTCCCTAAGTGCTGATGATAGGCAGGAAGGTGAGGGCCAGGATATTAAGCGGCTCTAATCCCATTCTACTTTATGACTAGCTTGAGAAATGACCTCTAGCGAGATCTGGCCCTTGTTCTATCCAGCAACTAGATTTTTCTTACAGAAAATAAATTAAAAAGGTGTGACCTTGCTGAAGGCTTGCCGAGAAAATGAGGTACATCTTGTCACAAGCAGAGGAGCCTATTTGTTCAATTTGAAAGGCTGCCGCTTTGCTCCGATTAGAAGTTAAGATAAAGGCCGGGGATGAAAAGAGGAGAAACATTTCCAAGCGAGGAAATTAAAGAGCTACATTGGAGACCCTTTCAGCACTACAGTGGGCTTTTTGTGTGGGGTTTATCGGGCCCCATCAGCCACACCTTGTCCCTGTGCTTGAAGCTCCCTCTCCTCCGAGCACACAAAAGACTGCCATGTAGGGAGAGGATGAGAAACCCCCTCTCTGATAGCCATCAGCAGCACCCACCCCCCTTCCCTGTAGGTCGCAGCAGCAGAAAGTGACCCACCCAAATTTGATGCACTGTGCGAAAAAGACTCAAAGTCATTTCATCGCATCCACCAAAGGGGCCTGGTCTAGAAGCTTCCTACCTTCCCTGGCAATAAATGTATCACGTCTTGGAGAATTTCTCCAAAATTTGCTAGAATAAATGGGCATTGGACTATCTTTGTGTCCATAAAAGTTTCAAGCCAACAGAAATTCCTGCCCAAAGCCCCTGAAGCTAAGAAACCTTCCAACTCTTGTCATCGTTTTATAGACATCTTTTACGCACCAGCATGTCTTTCAACTTTTGAAGTAATAGCTTGTATGTGAAAGAAAGAGCTAAGAAAAAAATGCTGGGCTTTTCCACATGCTCTAAATTTACATCCAGCGTTCTATGCCCTGGTTCCCTCTATATACTAAGGTTCCAGAGAATGGCTGGGAAGGCCAGACTCCTTAACTAGAACTCGATGTCCTTGACTGTATGAAACCAACTCATCTTTCCGGTCTTATTGCTGTGCATTCCCTTCCACCTTCCAATCCCGAACATATTTTTCACTTTTCTACCTCCATGCTTTTACTCGAGCTCATAATGCTGCTAGAATTCCCTTCCTCAGCATATCTTTCTTTCTAACCCCTAGCTGTCTACACTGCCCTTTGTCTTGATTTGTTTTAAAGTTATCTTCTCAGTATCCATAGTCTACCTGTTTGGAAAGAATCCCACATCTTATAAACATTGGTGGAAGAAAGGCATTCAACCCGCTGTGAAAGGTAAAAGAGCAAGATAGTCCCTCTTCCAGTTATTGGCAATGGGCCGCCATCTGGATCTGGAGTTTTGCAGGAGCGAATCAAAGATGCACAACAGCTGAGAACCACGTTGAGCGTCCAGCAGGAGGTGTGAGATCCAGCAGCACCACCTGGGAGAGTCTGGCAGGTGGGCTGCCCCAACCACGTTGTTCCCTGGGATGAACTTGGCTGTGTTTCTCACTGTTATTTAATAGATTTCCTTTGGTCCAGCCCCAGCTTTCAACTCTCCGTGAGTCAATATATTGTTTCTAATACATTTCTTTTCTTCTCAAGTTAGCTACCGCCCATTTCTGTTGCTTGCAACCATGGATACCAGCTGATACACCCTTTTTTAAGGCACAGTTTTCCTATTGCCATATCCATATGGTTTTCTTAGGAGTATCCATTTATAATGCATCTCTCATTACTCTCTGCTCACCCAAACTTTGTCCTTTCATTTGACAACTATTTATTGGGCATCCATCAATCACGTACTAGGCCCTGTATTTGGTGCTAGGGATCAGAAGAGAGCCAAAAAACGTACATGATACTTTTCTGGGATATATGAAACATTTAAAACCCCAATATTAAGTTACTATAATGACAATTGAAGGAGAGTTAGGTACAATGGGAGTAAAATGAAAAGGAGACAGAGATAGCTGGCTGAAGCAAGCGGAGGGAGAAATGTTCAGGGAAGGGTGCCATGGGGAAGAATGAGTTTCTCTGTGAGCACTGAGCAGGAATAAGCCACAAGGAGTGGAGGGGAATAGAGGGCATGGTTGGCTGAAGCAGGCAGCATATTGTCCAGACTCTGGGACTAGGATTTGAAAAAGGCCTGAGGTCAGAAGAAGAATGGGAAGACCAAGGACTTGGGAGCAGCTGAGTAAAAGGGAGCTCAGTGAGAGATGACACTGGAGAGGCAGGCAGGGCCTTGTTAGGGCTTGGGACAGCCCTGCCCACTGCCCAGATGGTGATGGCCACCCTATCCCTGGGAGGTGCCAGCTTACGCATTTTGTTACCCTGTCACCATAACTACCTTTGAGCTCATCAGAAAATTCATGCCAATTTTTCTTTCTGATACTGTGGCCCCCATAGCTAAACTACTATTGCCCCGTGAGAGCGGGGACCATATATTCCCAGTCTCTATCATCCCCCTAGAGCCTGCAGGAGCCCATTGAATGTTTTTGGAGTGGAGTTGCCTGCCTTGCATTGACATTCCCTAGGAACAAAGACAGCAGTGTTCATGCTTCACCCATTTCTGCCTCCCGCATGAGCCCAGCATGTCTTCTCTTTCTTACTTAGCCAGCCCTCCAAGGTTTGTTTTATTGGAGTTTGCAATAATGTCCTTGAAGCAGAGCAAGATTCTCAAGTGCCTTCTGATCTATCAAGAATGCCTTAGCTTACTCCACTCAGGTTTCAGTGTTGAGTGTATAAACACTGAATTACTTGAGAATTGGTGATAGTGCAGTAGGTTACATTTATGGAAATATGTGTAGTGATAATGGGGCCAGTAATAAGGCTGTGTATTGTAGAACAGACTGTATATCGGGTCCTGGCTAGAACATTTTTCTGCACAAATGAGTTCATGTCTCTGTACCCTGTTTACCTATTTGAAATACACCCGGAAGAATGCAGTACCTCATCCTATCCAAAGATTGAGAGGAGACTGGTGTCTCATCTGAGTTTACATGGCAATGTCAAGATGATCTGGTTTAGTTTCTACTTCTTTACATAAAACTACTAAAAGAATTGGAGGGGGAGTTGACCCCTAGGCAACAATACAAAAGGTCAGCAAGTCTTGTGGCCAATAGTGTTGAGCACAGAAATATCTAATGTTCCATTTGAAGGTGGCTGCTCTTTTGTGATGCAAACACCCTCTGTCTCTTTTCTCATACTTTAGCAAAGTCTTCTATGTGAGTTTATGTGAGTGGGTATTAATGTGGAAATCATGAAGTCTAAGTTCTAGGCCAGGCATAGTGGCTCATGCCTGTCATCCCAGTGCTTTGGGAGGCCAAGTTGGGAGGATCACTGAAGCCCAGGAGTTCGAGACTAGCCTGGGCAACATAGTGAGATATTTTCTCTACTAAAAATAAAAAATAAATAAAAATGAAAAAGAAAAACTCTAAAGTCTATAGCTGAAGTATTTTGGGATACGTTCAGCACAGAAGTATGATGAGAGAATCCACGGAGTAGAACTAAGTAGAAACCAGACAAATGGAATGAAAAAACAAGCAAACAAAACAAAACAAACCCATTAGCCACTCCCTACCTTTCAGAATCCCCTGAAAGATTAGGAGGGCCATGCAGGATCTTTCCATGCTTGGGACTGGGATCATGCCAACTTATTTTGGTTCTTAAGAGACAGAAAACTTCAGCCGACATCTGGGTCAAAGTCAAATGCCACAGTTAGAAGAGTTGGTCCTTCCGGTCTTCTCTAACATGAACTTTCTGATCCAGTTTCTTCACAAACATTTAAACAATAATTGGCTAACACTTTAGTTTTGAGAACATCATTTTAAGCAAACAATCAAGCCTCTCAGCACATTTTCTTCCTAAATACCCTAAATAAATGTACTTCATAGTATGGCTTATACAGCAAAATAATTTGTCTAGTGAATGAAGCCCCAGTGTTGAAATATCAGCAAGGTGATCTCTGGGCTTGGCCTTACTTTGTTTGTATTATCAGCATTCTGAGAGTGTTGGACGTCTGGTTGCCTGCAAGAACAAGGAGGAATGCTACCAATTACCAGGAAACCCAATTGTCAGAAATGCCTTGCTCTTCAGAACTGCTGGTGACAAGGGGGAGAATTACAGCACCCACAGAATATTACTAAACATTGTTCAGAACAAATTATAGTATCCAACATTAACTGCCTCTGGCTGGGACCACAGACAGTGGTTGCATTGGGAATATTTCCCCGACAGATTTTTAGAGTCCTTCAAGTTCACCTTCTATTAAATAGAGATCCAAAGAGTATTTGTAAGACACTTGGTATACCACGCCATTTAATAACAGTGTTTATAGTGTCACTGTGTCCCAATTTGTTTACCCTATCTGTATCTGTTTATATATTTTATGTGTGACTAAAGAACCAGTTCTATTACCTTTTGCTTCTCCCTCTTGATGATAACTAATATCATTTTTAATTGCTTATTAGGTGTCCAACAATATTCAGATCAGTCTGTAAACGTTATGCCTTTTACGCTTTATCTATAATGTGTAATGATCTTATAAGCTTAGTACTGTTATTCCCCTAGTCTTACACATGAAGACAATGAAGTTAGTGAGATGAAGTGTCTCCCCAAGGTCCAGATCCCCTAGCTAGGAAGAGAGACAGATAGGATCAGATCCAGAGCTTGAGTTTTCACCATGGTCCATACTTTTTTAACTATAGTCTGACACATTATTGTGCTGCTGGCGTGAGTGAAACACAGTGTGGCTAAACCAGGTCCATGTCCAATGCCTCTGGACTTCTATTCAAACATGTTTCCACCTGTCATGGTCAACCAAACCAAGAAGCAGACCAGGATGGGCTTTAATATCCCTGCCTCACCCTAGTTCACTCACCCCCTGCTCCTCCCCTTTCCTCCCTCATGCTTTGGTAAGATCAATGTTAAAGAGATACTGGTGAGTTAAAACTATAGGCATTGAGGCTGTGCATACTGGATCATGTCTATAATCCCAGCATTTGGGGAGGCCGAGGTGGGAAGATTGCAAGAA
This sequence comes from Homo sapiens, assembly GCF_000001405.40. NCBI lineage: Eukaryota > Metazoa > Chordata > Mammalia > Primates > Hominidae > Homo > Homo sapiens. Next base: position 54,740,280 of record NC_000016.10, read on the forward strand.
GCCAGGAATCCAAGACCAGCCTGGGCAACATAGCAAGATCCCATCTCTACCAAAGCAATGCAAAACTTAGCTGAGGATGGTGGCATGTGTCTATAATCCCAGTTACTCAGGAGGCTGAGGCAGGAGGATCACTTGAGCCCAGGAGCTCAAGGTTACAGTGAGCCTGGACAGCAATGAGAGATCCTGTCTCTAAAAATTACAAACCTATAGGTATTGAATAAAAGTTTGTTTCAGTATGTATGTATAGCATGTACATTACAAAATTGAATAACACACAATGTTATAACTTTGGTTTACCTAATGAATATTTTGTTATTTGAGGGAATAAAGAGTCATTGATTACAGACCCAGGGGAGTCATTTCAAAGGGGCAATTGTGAATGATTCTAAAAGTGGGCACCAAGGCCTGATTGGGGCACAAATACTGGACAAAACAAACCCTGGACTGTTACCTCGATCAATACAAACGCCAGGGATGGTGCTGGAAAAATCCATGAGTATGGGCCAATAAAGGGCCCAAGAATACCAGAGACCAGAGAATAAGAAAGAACATTGGGAAAAATGTGACCCAGGTTGAGGAGGCCCACTCTAATAAAAAGAGTGTGGGAGCAGCTTCCCTGCTTCCATCCTTACAACAACTGTGTGTCAACTGCAGTCAGGTGGCAGCCCAGGCCTTCAGGTTCAGCTGATCTTGAACTCCAATCCCATGGCCTGTGGCAAATGTGCCAAGAAGTCTATGAGCACCTCATTCCTTTCATTTCTCTTCCTCCACATGCCTGTGGCCGCACAAGTTGCTTCCCCACATCAGCAGGAACTGGAGACTCCACCAGTGCCTTCACCAAGCATCATGGGAGTCCAGGAGTTTTACCAAAAATCTGGGGATGGGGTGTGCAGGACAATTACATTATCACCCGCAGTTTCTCATCAGATCCATGGTTTGACTTCTCCCTGGCTCCCCCCATGATAAATACCTTCTCTGCCCCACTCAAAACCTTCCACTTCTTCCTAGGGCCCTCCGGAGTCTCTGTTTCTAACCCAAGCACACTTCTAGTATTTTCACTCCAAGGAAAGTCTTCTGGCCCAAGATGAGACCTGGTGAATAACGATTTCTCCATTTCATGACCTGGGCACAATCTGAGAATTACTGGGCTATACGGAGCAACGCAGGATGAGATGGGGTGCTGTTATGAGGCCAAATGAGTCTCTGAATCAATTCTTCTGTTTCCTTAGATTTCTACCTCCCCAAAGTGAGATTTTGCTTTTTTTTTTTTTTTTTTTTGGAGATAGGGTCTTGCTCCGTTGCCCAGTGCAGTGATAGGATCATGGGTCACTGCAGACTCAACCTCCTAGGTTCAAGCAATCCTCCCATCTCAGCCTCCCAAGTAGCTGGGACTACAGGTACATGCCACCATGCCCAGCTAATATATTTTTTTTAATTGTGGAGATAGGGTCTCCCTATGTTGCCCAGGCTGGTCTCAAACTCCTGGGCTCAAGGGATCCTCCTGCCTTGGCCTCCCAAATTGCTGTGATTATAGGCATGAGTCACTGCACATGGTCAGATTTTGCTTTTTAACTTGAATTGGGCCTCTTACTGTTTAGGTTTTTGAAAAACACCACCCAAAATTAGAGGTTCAGAAAGTACCCCAACAAGCAATCCCTTGTCCCCCACTTCAAACACCTTACCTGTGACCACTTCTTCCTTCAGAAGCCTATCTCTAAGGGGACCATAGGGCTGAGATCTGCCCAGAGCTGACACATTTGATGCATGCTGGTCCTTAAATAGAACATATCAGGTACACAAGAGATCTCCCTTAGCCCACTGAAGTGTTGACCAAATTCATTTCTCTTGGACAATGGAGTTAGTGCCTTACCCCTTCATCAGCTGCTCTCACATGAAGAACTTCTCTGAGTAAGGAAGGTGTCCTTGCTCTTATTGAAAGATTGACTGAAAAGCAGCTAAGTTGTTTTCTATCCTCAGTAGTCCTTGTTGAAATTGAGTTGTAAATAACCAAAAGCTTGGAGAGGGAAAGGCGATGAAGTCAAAGAAGGGAAAAGAGAGGAGAGAAAGGCAGGAAGCTACCCTTTTTTGAGAACCTGCTACGCACCAGACACTAAAAAAACTAATTCTTAAAATTGATAGAAGCCCCTAGAAAATGGTTGGTGGTCTTTTTCCACTTGAGTTTTAATTAAGTGATTTTTCAGTTCCATACTTTGGTTTGCTATAAAAGGGCCTTTGCAACATTTTGTAATCATCCTCTTCTTTCTTAAGCTTTCCTTTCAAAACCAATTTTGTATATTCTAATTGCAAACTCTAGTTCAAGTTCCTGAAACACTTTCTTATAATTATCACCAAACAAATGCAGTGATTTCACAAAGCCCAAACATGTGTCACATTAATTCTCACAACGAAAATACTTTCATTTTTCTTGGACTCCAAGCAAAATGGACCATAAGCAAAGTGTTTGATAAAATGACAGGTGGAATTCCATCCAATTAAGACATAAATATTTTTCCAGAGGCTAAACTCACTGCAAAATAATAATCTTCACTCAACACATCTTTACATGTCTTTGGCAAAACACCTGTCTAAAACTGTTAACACTAAATATTTTGGGAGCTCTGTACTTCAAAGACATCCCTGAAAACGTCAAGCATTGTTAAAATGTTGAAGTAATTTTGGTTAAATGCTTCTGTGACAACTGTCGGACTTGATTTGTTTTAGCTGAATACATTCTGAATATTGCTTGGAATCTGTGAGTTGGTCATTTGCCAAAAGATGAGAAATGGGCTGAAGTCAAAAGAATTATATGCATCAAAGAAATGAAAAAAATGATGGGAGTCTTTGTTTTTTTAAAAAATGCAGTTTATCCTCTAAGTTGGAAGCTTCAAAAGAACATTCTTACCAGTTGATAGCCTTTGTGGTAAAATGATAAAGCATACACTAGAAGTTATTCTGATTCTTGGCCAAATTCATACATATAGAATCACACCTATAGTTCCTTATGCAGAAAAAAGAACATTTTAAAGTAGCTTGATGAAAATAGGGATTAAGTAATATAAAACTGAGTGTTTTCCTAGGAACGTCTAGTTAGTTGGTTACCAAGTACTTATGGTTCATGGAATCACAGAAGAAATCATAGAAGTAAAAACATTAGAGAGCATCTAGTCCAACAATATCCTTTCTCCCTGCACTGCCTCCATTTTCAGATGGGTAAATTGAGGCCCAGAGACCCAAAACCAGCAATAGTTGGTTAACAGATGTGCCTACTGCAAAAAGCTTAAGTTTGGGCTGAAAGGAGGGTGTGAGGGAGACACTTACAGAACACATCAACAGATGGTAAAAATGCAGCATAAATGTGAAAGAGGTACAGTGAGATCAAAAATAAGAGGAACTAATGTTAATTGGGTAATCATGATGGCCCAGGCATTATGCTGGATTATATGCGTTATCTCACTTAATTCCTGCAGTTACTTATGCACAAGGTTGCCATTATTATTCCCATATTATAAACAAAATCTCTAAGCAACTTGTCCAGGTTAGGTAGCTAGCAATTGATAAAGTCAAGACTTGGAATTGGTTCTGTCTGACTTCAAAATCATTGTTCTTAATCATTAACTCCCCTTCCAACACTTACGACTCCAACTTGTTTCTTTTCCTTAAATCCAGGTAGGCACCACAATAGCTGGAGAAACGTAGGGTGATTATAATGATTTGGAGTGTCCCGATCAGCTGCGGGTCACACCTAAGTTATTAAGTCTGGGGAAAATGTGTTATCCAAGCTAAGGGTATAATGACCATGATCTGAAATTTTCCATGAAATTCTAAATCAAATATTCTGTCACATTATCCCTATAAGAACCTTCATGCTTGATAGAGCACGTGCTCAGAACTATTTTACAGAATGTTTCAGTCCTTGACTCAATCTAAGACTCTTGGAGCCAAGAATTATGCATATCCCCGGGCTGCCAGACCATTCACCCTATATATTTTTATTGACTACCACTGACTGTAAGTCCTGCCCCCCTTAGACTTCAGCGAGACCAAAGCTGAACATGGAAGAGGTCAGTTATTTTCATTTTTTTGTCCAATAACAGGGCTTTTTCTTTTTCTTTTCTTTCTTTTTTTTTTTTTTTTTTTTTTGACTGAGCTTTGCTCTTGTTGCCCAGGCTGGAATACAATGGCGCCATCTCGGCTCACTGCAACCTCTGCCTCCCGAGTTCAAGCAATTCTCCTGTCTCAGCCTCCTGAGTAGCTGGGATTACAGGCGCCCACCACCACGCCCAGCTAATTTTTGTATTTTTAGTAGAAATGGGGTTTCACCATGTTGGCCAGGCTGGTCCTGAACTCCTGACCTCGAGTAATCCACCCGCCTTGGCCTCCCAAAGTGTTGGGATTACAGACGTGAGCCCCTGCGCCTGGCCATAACAGGGCTCTTTCTGTGGGAAGTGTCAGAAACTCAAGTCAACCTGGCAGAAGCAGAAAAGGGGAAATACCATCTCAGTGAACTGAAAACTGGAGGCAGGTCTGTTTTCAGCTATGTCTGAATCCAAGGACTAAAATAGGATCATCAACAGGACTTTATCCCACCCTCTTTCATTTCTCAGCTCTGTTTGTCTCTTTTGTCGGTGGCACTCTTGAGTGGAACCTCTCCACGTGGAAGCCAGGTGACCCTGCCTCCTCCCCAGCAGTTCCAGGCTCATGTCACTCTTGTTACCAGCATTTCCAGCACAAAGAGATTTTCTCTTTCTCAATTTTTCCAACAAAAGCCCTAGGTTGTATCTCTTAGGATTAGCTTTGTCATGTGCCTACCAATGAACCAGTCCTGGGGGTCTGAGGTTGAGGGAGCATGCTGGTTGGCCAGGCCTGGTCATATATCCACCCCTAAGGTGTGAGGCTGTGGGTCCCTGTCTGATCACGTGATTAAGAGTAGGAAAAGGCTGGTTCCCCAGAGGGAAATCTGAGACCTATTACCGGAAGTGGGAGGAACCAACATCCCTCAAACAGGCGAAATCAACGGATGTTCGCAGCACCTCCTATCTCTGGGACACTGCCGTCTAGGACAGGAAGGAGGGACTAGAGTGTATCTAGAATGGGTACAAAGAAGCTGAAAAGGGAAGGGGTTTGGGAAAGTAGAGGCAGCGTGGTTCTCAAACTTCAGCTGCAAAAGAATCATCTGGGGAGCTTTGACAGAAATGCAGGTTCCCGGTCTCTATTCCCAGACATTTTAATTCAGCAGATCTGGGGTATGAGAATTTGCATTTTCAACGAGTTCATCTAAATGATTGTGATGCCAGTGGAGGCCTGAACACTCTATTTCAAGAGACATTGGCTTAGTTCTTAGGAAGATAGGCCAGTTACTGAGTATTAAATGAGTTTCACTAAATCCCAAATAATAGCCAAAGGGAGTCTAAAACACACACAATGAATTTCAACATTGACTTTTCTGAATTTTTCTTGCTCAGTAACTGCACCTCTTACTACCTCTTGGGTAGTGCAGGTGCTTAAAAAACACTTCAGGATGAAGAAGATCTTCATCAAGGCACCTTGCGGAGGACTAGTTTGTTGACCAAATAACAGGAAGATATATGGGACTTACAAAGAGCTTTGAATGCCAGTTCAGAAACTCTGTGTAGCTTGGTAGCAAATGCACAGCCTCATAATGGGAATATCAGATTCCAATGAAAGAAAAAGGAATCTAACACCTTAAAAGAAAGAGAGAGAGGCTGGGCTTGTTGGCTCATGTCTGTAATCCCAGCACTTTGGGAGGCTGAGGCAGGTGAATTGCTTGAGCCCAGGAGTTCGAGACCAGCCGGGGCAACATAATGAGAGCTCATCTCTACAAAAAATAAAAAAGCTAGCCAGGCATGGTGGCACCTGCCTGTGGTCCCAGCTAATTGAGAGGATGAGGTGGGAGGGTTGCTTAAGCCCAGGAGCTCTAGGCTGCAGTGAGCCAAGATGGCACCACTGCACTCCAGCCTGGGTGACAGAGTAAGACTCTGTCTCAAAAAAAAAGAAAAAAAGAAAGAAATTAAAAGGAAGGAAAACATCTCCAATCTCCACATTTAGGAAAACAGTTGTATTTAAAAAGTAGAAAAGTAGAAACATGGTATCGTAATTTGAATCTTCTCTCTTCTCCGCCCCTCCCCTTCTCCTCTTTTTTAAATGCACCTTTGTTATATATCCAAGCAGGGAACTATTATGGAAGCCAAAACTCGTTTGAAAGTGCTCCCCACAAGGGTGACAGGGCAGGAATCCCACCCAGGAAAGGTCAACCTAACCAGGTCCCAGGAGAGCCTGCTCCTTGAAACCTGAACCATCCCAAGCGCTATCACTTCAAGGCCCAGAGACCTAAGAGGATTAAGGTAAGTGTTCCTCCTAAAAGCCTGAAGAAACAAAGCTTAGTTTTTAGCATCACAAAGGAACACACAATTATATAGGTTCTGAAGGACGGGAGATAGGTTAAGACTTTTGGATTGGGGGTGGAGGTGAGGAGGACGCTGGACAGAAAAGGCAGATCATCCCTAAGCCAGGGAGAGAACATTCCTGCAAGATTAGCCACTGTTTACAAAGAAGTAGACTGTAACTGAGATTTATGCAAAAGGAACAAAGAAGACATGTACGGGGAATCTTTTAGGCTTAATTTACTAAGTGTGCATTTGTGATTGAACAAAACTGTGGACTTTTCCCCCCTCACTATATAAAAAGGGTTGTGAGGATTCTTAGGATAGTGAATACTAAAGTCAATTCAGTTGTTCTTTGATATCCGTGGGGAATTGGTTCCAGGACCTTCTTTGGAATACCAAAATCCATGGATGCCCGAGTCCCCGATATAAAATGGAGTAGCATTTGCATATAAACTATGTGCATCCTTCTGTCTACTTTTATCATCTCTAGATTACTTGTAATACTTACTACAAAGTAAATGCTGTGTAAATGGCCATTATACTGTATTGCTTAAGGAACAATAACAGAAAGAAATGTCTATATGTGCAGTACAGAAACAACTTTTTTCCCTAATATTTTTGAGCTTCAGTTGGTTGAATCCATGGATGTAGAACCCATGGATACGGAGGATTGACTGGACCACAAGGGAAACTTGGTCATTTTCCAGATGACAAAACAAACTTTTAAAAATAACTTCAGGCTGGGTGCAGTGGCTCACGCCTGTAATCCCAGCACTTTGGGAGGCCGAAGCGGGCAGATCACCTGAGGTTGGGAGATCAAGACCAGCCTAACCAACATGGAAAAACCCTGTCTCTACTAAAAAAAAGAAAAATACAAAATTAGCTGGGCGTGGTGGTGCCTGCCTGTAATCCCAGCTACTTGGGAGGCTGAGGCAGGAGAAACACTTGAACCCAGGAGGCAGAGGTTGTGGTGAGCTGAGATCACACCATTGCATTCCTGCATGGGCAGCAAGAGCGAAACTCTACCTCAAAAAATAAATAAATAAATAACTTCAAAGATACTTTACTATGTGTTCTATGGTGGGGTAAATTTACTTAACCCCCGCCCCCCCCCCCCCCCGCCACAAGCCTTGGTTTATAAAGAAATTTGACTGAATTAGTAATTAAAATTTAAAAACATTTTAAAGAAGTTTGACTGAATTACTAATTAAAAATTTAAAAACATTTTGAAGGCTGTGATCCCATTTGAAAATCTAAAGGAATCTATGAACTTCAGAAAAATGCAAGTATATGCAAAATTGTGCATATAACTCACTTATTTCATTGGAAGGACATTCCCTTCATATAGTCATAAAAGAAGATCAATTTTCATAAAACATTTTGTGTCTTTCACTCCTTTTTTCCCAGACAAAAATGAATAACCACTTTCCCTGCCCTCAAAAGGAAACAGATACAGATTGCACAAATAATGCAAAAACTAAGCTTTAACTCTGCTCAAAAGTACATTTCCAATAATGACTTCTATCTGCCCCTGAACTGACAAAGATTTGCCACTGTCAACTGTACCAGTGAGGTCATTCCACCAGCACTGACCAGGTTCCACCCCATAATTCCTCTGTTCCCAAAGGCACATGTTAGCGTTTCTGAGCAAAGAAAGGGTGGCCTCTTGGAGCCCATTTGATGCGGGCAGCATCCCCTCCCTAATTAGAATTGTTATTAAAGTAATGGCATATCTTAAAATGGATTGTATCTTAAAACCAAGGAAATGTGGCTTCACCACTGGGCCCCTCATCCAGAATAAAAATATAAAAGCCAAAGGGCTTAAAGCTTTTTTTTTTCTTTTGGCAACAGCTTCCATAATAGGGATGCCAGGATCTTGCATTAGATTTATTTCATTCATTTGGTAAAAATATGGTAAGAATGCCAAGAGATAAAGAAATTCACCCTAATCTTTTTGAAAACAGACGCTTATCTTCTTCGCCAAGGTCAAATCAAGCACATTAAGACTTGCCCCTAGAAACTAGGGAACTTCAAAATATTAGGGAAAGTCTTCACAGTCAGTTTTTGTTTTCTGACAAGACCTCTGGAACAGTGGTGACTCAGGACCCTGGCTCTGACATACAGACTCTTCCCTGCAGAGGACTAGACACCTGTCAGCATTGTTGGCAGACTGTTTTGACACTAGTGAAACTGCCTGGACAAAGCAGCAAGTTAGGATCTTGAGGTTCTTTATATACCAAGTGGCAAAAGCAGATCAGATGTCAAGGTTTTCATGTGCACGGTGTGTTAGCTCGGGTTTCTCCTGAAACAGTTCCTGACATGAGGAGTTGGGTGCAAGTAGTTTATTTTGGAGATGATCCCAGGAAGCACCTGTAGAGGAGTGGGGAAGTGAGTCAGGGAATAGAAAGAAGACAGTAAAGAGTGCTTTACCAAGCAGGTTGCTGCCGTGGGCTACATGGGCTCAGTTCTGCTGGAAAATCCTGGGAGAGAGCATAGAACGTGCTGTTCAGTTGTCCTGAGCAAAGGATGAGAGGAAGCTCTGGTGCTTAAACATCAACTCCCATCCATCACTGGTTAAGGGCTGCCTCCCTGGAGATATTACCTTTTCCAGCATTTTGGGTCTGCCTGGTGCATGGGCTGAGCCTACTGCAGGAGCTGGGAAATATTCTCTGCAAGAAGCCATCAGAATGCAGGGGATAGCGAGAACCAAGGAAATCTGGGCAGGGCAGGGGCAGAGGCTGTACTGCACACATACTGTAAATTTTCTTCCAGGCAACATTTTTACTGTTTTCAAGAGGCCATTGCAGTTTGCAAAAAGAGGTTCGCAAGCAAGGAGATTTCTTTGTTAATATCATCCTCTACGTACTGGACAAAAACAGGGGGCTATACAGAGGACATCTCGAATCTCTTCCAGTTGTTTGCTGAAGGAACACAGAATGACTGGGAATTCCTTTATGATCTGCTTCAAAATAGTAGAAAACATATTGGTGATTCTTCAATAGGGATTTCTCTTAACCAGGGTAGTTCTACAACTTTATTTCTCTTCCCAAACCACACCTTAGGGCAACCATTTCCAAGGCACATGGCTTCAACAAGGCTGCCTCAACTGTGTTGGTGATTTCATCAGTGCTGGGATAAGGAATCCCATAGAATGCTTTGAAACAAGACAGGTTTTGCATGGGTACAATGTAACTTTAGGTAAAGTTCCAGCATTTTTAGAACAAGTCTACTTTTCACATAACACCATTTGATCTAGAAGATTCTCAAGGTGGACAGATGGAAGATGTTCTTTTAACTCTATTGACTTCATACTTCCATTGACCCAAACCTCGCCTCACAATAAGCATTGTTTTTTATGACTTCCTGCCACATCTAGTTCTGCAAGAAAAATGGTCTCATTTTATTTTTTTCTTTAACATTTTCCAATTTAAGTATGACCCAATGCAATCAAAGACAGATGAAAGAAGTAAAAACATTTGAGGATCTTCTCAAATCCTATCAATGGGAGAAATAGTCTCAACTATCATGATCCATACATGTTACTGTGATGATGTGAATGATTGTTTAGCACGTATTTCCTTCCCTCATTCTTGAGTTCTAGGCACTGCACGTTTCCTATCCCACTGATCTTGGGCTAGACTATGTTACCTGCTTTGATGAGTAGAAGATTGGTGGACATGAGACTAGCAGAAACCTTATGGGTCTTTTGTGCATCCTGGCTTGGCCTTTGTGCTTCTGCCTTGCGTAATGAGGTTGGGGGTAGCCATTAGTCCAAGAAGGATGTGGGGAGCACATCTGACTCCAACCCACAAGGCAAGTTGCAACCAACCCACAAACGCGTGGGTGACAAACCAATGTGCGTTATTTTAAGACACTGAGTTTTGGAGTGCCTTCTTATGTAGCGTTACCACAGCAATACTAACTAACATACTACTTTATCATGTAAAGTAACATCCTTTATCATTCACATTTTCTTGGAGTAAAAAATTTCTTAATATTGTTGATGTAAAACGTTTTTAACCCCCCAAAAACCAAATTTTGAAAAATAACAGGAAGGGCATTAAAGAAAAACATTTTTTTTTTTAGCGTGTTTTATTCTCGTTTCTGCCTCAAACCATATGATCTGTGAGAGCTAGCCTGCCATTCTACTTTTCTTCATTTTTGTGGTTGGCTTTAATTAATAGCCCATGACAACGTCATTCCCCCAGCCGACGTCTTTTGATGTGAACTTTTTCATCAAGTTCCATCTCATTGTTGTTATAACCTTACAACTTCTCACTCTGCCACAGTTTAATTTGTAATCAAAATTATGAATTAATGAAATAGCACAAGGCTTGTTTTAATAGGGTGATTTGTTTGTTTGTTTTAAAAATTATACCAATTTGCCATTTTACCAAATTCACATTTTTTAAATGAAAGCTACATCTTCACTATCACAATTTGAAATGAGACACCTTCTGAACTTGTTGCATACAATTAAACCACAACAAAAGGAAGCCGAGGCCATTTCACTTTTCATAAGGCTGTAATTATTCTTTAACTATTGGAATACAACATCCCTTAGGAGCTAATTATCGAAAAGCTCTCATCACACATAGGAAACACACAAACAAATCCTTCAAGCACAAAATAAATGTTCAACATTAAAGAGCAGCATCCAGGAAGTCATACCAATCAGTTGGTTCAGCTAATTACGAATCTGATTTTTGGAGTAGTTGCATTAGATTATTACAGTGCCTATTCATAACATGAAAAGCGCAGCCCTTGACTGACTTTAATGAAGATCTAGCTGCAAGAAAAAATGTACTAAGAACCATAATACAAAATTTACATTGCAACAAAACCTGGGAGAAGTGCGGTAGACATTTTTAAATAGGAAATATCTCAATTATTACATAATATATATATTTAATATAGCTTTCTGGGTAGGTCACATTGGAAGGCAAAGTGATGTATTCTATTCATTTGATTTCATGTGAGCCATGCAGTATTGCTTAAGCCCAGTTCAGATTTCTCAAATGTGAATTACCAAATGCTTTCCTTTTTTTTTTTTTTTTTTTTTTTTTTTTTTGAGACAGAGTCTCGCTCTGTCGCCCAGGCTGGAGTGCAGTGGTGCGATCTCGGCTCACTGCAACCTCCGCCTCCCAGGTTCACACTATTCTCCTGCCTCAGTCTCCCTAGTAGCTAGGGCTACAGGCGCCTGCCACCACACCCAGCTAATTTTCATATTTTTAGTAGAGACAGGGTTTCACCGTGTTAGCCAGGATGGTCTTGATCTCCTGACCTCGTGATCTGCCCGCCTCAGCCTCCCAAAGTGCTGGGATTACAGGCGTGAGCCACCGCGCCCGCCCCCAAATGCTTTTTTGAATCAAATGAGATTTGCATTAAATAAATTTAGCATATTAAAGATTATCATATGAATTATATTTCACAGGAATCAAAGTCAAATTTATATACATAGTATAGTGACTGTCCTACCCATTCTTAAATAATATTATTTCTATATCAGCATATTCAAATCAATCTTACATTTTAAATGGTTATAAAACTAATAAACACTCATATACTGTTGTGGGGAATGCATATTGCCACAATGTGTTCAGAGAGTAATTGGTCAATAGATAGTAAAAAACAATTTTTAAGTATATACTCTTTGACCTAACCATTTACTTTCTAAGATTTTTTATCTTGCGTGTATACTTATACTGTATTACTGCTTAAGAACAAAGACTAAGAATGTTCATGAAAACACTGGAAAAGTAGAAAGAATTGGAAATAATACATAAATAAATAAGCAAATTACCAATTAATGGGGGTTGTTTTATAATAAATCTATACCACAGGATACTAGGCAGCTACTAAAGACAGACAGAGAGAGAGAGAGAGACTTACATGCACCATTATGCAAAGATGTCCAAGATATATTAAATACAAACAAAAAGTAAGTTACGTATGTTATGTATGGAGTGATCCCATTTTTGTAACCTAAAAAGGTATGCATATACATCTCAAATAAATGTATGTAGAAATATTTTCTACTGATATGTATGTATATACATATAAATGTGTTCAAGCATGGGTGGATAGATTAGATAGATAGATAGATAGATAGATAGATAGATAGATAGAACTTTCTAGAAGGATACTCAAGAAACTATAAGCAGCTTTTTCTTCTTTGGAGGAGTGGTGCTATTGTAACAGGAAAGCAGCCATCTGGGAACTTATGAGCATCACTGCATTCCCACACAACTTTAATGGAAAAAGGCCCAGGGTGTGACCTAATGATCTAATTCCATTTCCATGGCTTTATGTACCATCTACATGCTAATGACTCCCAAGTTTCCATCTCCAACCCCAATCATACCTCTGACTACCATACTTACATTTTACCCGGCAGTCAATATTTTCACTTGGATTCTGTGGACCAAGCATCCAAGTGAAAATGTTGACTGCCAGGTAGATTGCAAGTGTGGCTTTCTAATGTCATGACACCTTTCTCTTGTACAGTTTCTTCTACCTCTAGTTTTTCAAAGACCTGAAACTGTAAAAGAAAGGTGTCACAAGAAAGGTAAAAGATGACTTAACATCAGAAGTTCGTGTGCTTACTTCCATGGTGTAATTATCTCTGAGAAGTGGCTACCTGGCCAAGGACTAGCTTTTCCACCTTCTGACTCCCTTGCATCTAAGTGGGGTTATGCTATTTTTTGCCTGTGTGCCTTTCCCATTTTCTCTTTACCATTTGTCAGTGCAATATACCCTAGAGGAGGATGGAGCTGCAAGATGGAAAGTGCCTGCATCCTTGAGTCACCATATAGAAATCCTCTCATTGCACATGAACACCTGCATTGGTCTCTTGCATGAGTGAGAAAGAAGCTTGTTTTATGCTATGGAAATATGGGGATTTATGTTGCAGTAGCTAGTATCACCCTAACTAATACATGCGTCTAACAGCAGCCAAAATTTAATGCATCCAAAATGGAAACTCTTCATTTTCACCTTCTATGCTCCTTTCTCAGCATGCTTGTCTCAGAAAATGGCACCTTTATTTACCTATTTTTCAAGCCACAAACTTAATGTGGTCTTTGACTTTTCTCTTTCTGTCATAGAGGAAATATAATCCATCAGCAAATACCTTAAAAATATACCCCAAATTATATTAGTCCGTTTTCACACTGCTATAAAGATACTACCTGAGACTGAGAAATTTATGAAGAAAAGAGGTTTAATTGACTCACAGATTTACATGGATGGGGATGTCTCAGGAAACTTACAATCATGGTGGGAGGCGAAGAGGAACCAAGGCATGTCTTACATGGCGGCAGGAGAGAGAGACAAAGAGAGAGAGAGAGAGAGAGAGAAAGGGGGAACTGCCAAACACTTTTAAAACCATCAGCTCTCATGAGAGTTCTTTCACCATCACAAGAACAGCATGGGGTATACGATTCCCATGATCCAATCACCTCCCACCAGGTCTCTCCCTCGACACCCGGGGATTACAATTTAAGATGAAATTTGGGTGGGGACACAGAGCCAAACCATATCACAAATACATGATCATTTTCTTGGCTCCACAGTTGACACCCTAATCACTATTACCACCATTGATCCCCTGGGCTATGGTAATAGCTCTTCTAAGTGATCTCCCAATTTCTACTAGAACTTTCTCCCTCCCTGTCTCTTTTTCACATCAACATTGGTGTAATCTTTTTCATACATAAATCAGATTATACCACTTCTTTAGACAAAATTCATACTGAAATGCTAGTTCAAAGCCATACATGAACTGCTCCACAACTCTCTCTCCAAATTTGTATTACATTTTAGATAATCTGATATGTTTGTATGGATGGTTAATAATTTTCTGAGATTAGGGTGGGAGCTAATTTGAATCCCTCTCCCCAACAGTTTGGCCTGAAATGTGATGAGTTGTTCAGATCTACAAATGGAAATCTTTCTAAGCTCAGGAAATTTATCTCCAACTATTCTTTGATTAATGCTTTTGTTCTAGGTTTGCTTGTTTCTTCCTCAGAAATTTGTATAATCCTTAGATTGGACCTGCATAGCTGTTTTCTAAAGTACCTCATTGTTTTAATCTCTTGGTCCTGATAGAACTATTCAAGTTTGTTCTTCATTTCATTCATTCAATCTTCTTGTTCTCATTTTGCCATTTCTTGCCTCCAATGTAGATTTAAATTTTGTCTTGCATTTTAAACTTGTTTATAATTCTTGCCTCTTTCCCACTGTATGAGATTCTGTTGTCAATGTATATCTGCTTTATACACAAAAAACAAAGGCACTGTACAAGAGAAAGGTTCACTGATATTAGAAAGCCAGCTCCTTCTTCAAAAAGATGATGTTCTTTTTTAGCATTCTATTGAGAATGCTCAGTAACTTTCTAATTTTCTGTTTCCTGCAGTAAATCATTTTCAGAGCATTTGCTGTTGGACACACTGCTTCAAAGAAAGGTCACTGGCATTAGGGTCTTCAGGATAAATATTCTTTGGTAGATTTTTATTTGTGTTATTCTTTTCCTCTGTTTATTCTTCCTTGAGTGAGGAGAACTCTATCTGTACCTAGGGTCTGCCATCAGACACACTGCCTCAAAGAGCAGCACTCATGTGATAGGGAAAGATGCTCAGGTCTCTATGGGATACAGGGCTTGACTTTGGGAACAGAGGAAGAGGGTAAGGATAGGGTAAATCATATGCCTAATTATATTTTTTTCTGGTAGCTTAACACAGATGGGCCACTGACTGTGTTTCTCAATCCAATTCCATCAGTTTTGTAGCCAGTCCTCCTAGATTCCTAATTTTTATTTATAAGGAGTCTAACTTTTGTTTTTCATCATATCCTCCATCAAATATTTTTTCTGCAGTTTCTCATTACCCAAGAAGTATTTCCTAGATGAATCTGGACTTTACTTGAGTGACTGACCGCTGGTATATATTTACTTTCTATGATAGATGATGGACCTTACCAAAGATTCTACTTATTGTTAATTACCAGGCAGTAAATATTACTGTAAATTAGGAGCTTTGCGAAAATGGGTATTGATTTCAACTCGCAGCCCCTTCTACCTCCTGTTTTTCAAAGACCTGAAACTGTGCAAGAAAGGTGTCACTGACATTAGAAAGCCAGCAATTTATTCTAAACTATATCTGGTTCTCTAGTAACCTCAATGTGAATTTCCAGCTAGTTACATTTTCACACTTTTAATGACAGTCTCCTGTCTAGTATCCCACACACATTTACTATCTGCTATGTGCTAGAATTATGCTAAGAAGTACTTGGCATATAGAGATGAAAGACAGATTCCAAGATCTCACAGTCCAGGGAGCCCAGGATGATAAATAATCATGCATGAAGGACCAAAGCTGTGACATAGGTGGTCTGAAGGGCACCTTGACCTCATACCCTCCTCCTGCTATGCTTCTGTCTCTCTCTCCTTACTCCTCAACCAAATTTCTTACAAACGGTACTCACTCTGTCGACTTCCCCACCTCCGTTCATTCCCCAGTCAATTGCAAACTGGCTTCTTTCCCCACCACTCCACTGTGGGCAACTTCAGCAAGATCTCCAAGGATCTCCTGGCCAACTACTTCAGCTGATGCTTTTTAACTCTCACTCCTTTGACCTGGTAGAGCACAGGCCCCACAATCCTCTTAAATTCAACTTGTAAAACTGAACTAATCTTATTTCCCTGCCTCACCCTTGGCCACTCTATCCCCAGCCCCACCATGTCTGCACTTCTTTCTGTGTCCCTAGTTCATGGCTGGAATGACAGCTGCCTCAGTTGCTCAAGCCAGAGACCTTGACTTTATCCTTGACTTCACCCTTTTCCTCACCATGCCCCAGCCCCATCCAATCCATCACCAAAGCTTGATTCTATGGCCTCAATGTCTCTTGACTCTGTCTCGTCCTCCCTATTTCCATAGTCTTATTCAACTCAGGCCATTTTCTCCTGTCCCTGGGTAAGTTCTGCAGCCTCTTTGTTGTCACCTTGCTGCCTGTGCTAGATGTCTCAGGTCCATCACTTACCCAGGGACCAAAATGATCCATTTAAAATACAAAGGGGCCCGCATCACTCCTTTATTTAATACCAATCAATGGCTCCCCATGACCTACCAGATGAACCCAAACTCCAGCAAGGCTCATAAGTCCTCCATGATTTGGTCCAACCTCTCTCTGAGCCTCATTTCTTGTGACACCCTGTCTCATCTCAATGTTCTAACACAGAAGTGTTTGCTGAGCGTCGCACATGGTCAGGTTGTTTTTTTTTTGCATATGTTATCCTCTCTGCCTGAAATTTCCCTACCTTCTCTCACTGCTCCGCTACTCTTTAAACACACACACACACACACACATGAACGCACACATTCTCTCTCTCTCTGTGTCTTTGTCTCTCTCCTCTCTCTCTCTTTGCCTCTCTTCTCTCTCTCTTTCTCTCTCTCTCTCTTTTTCTCTCTCTTGCACACACACGCACACACACACACTCATATAATCAAGCACAGACTGGCTTGGCCAACTGATACTAATCATTGAATATAAACTACTTACATTTCTCTAAAGAATCTGTCTCTCTCTATTACTGTCAAGACATTGCTTACCCTGGTTCCAATTCCTAGAACTAATACTGCCAGCCCCTATCATATTCCCAATTAGCTCAGTTTCTTAGGTAATTAGGATGATTCTTAGGTATCTTTCAAGGGACAGCTGATAAGGCCACCCCACCTTGAGCTCCCAAAGCACAGTTGTCACCCTCTGTGGCATTTGCCTTTTGACTAATGTCTCCCTCATTCAGGATGACCAGGTATCCTGGTGTGCCTGGAACTGTCCTGATTTCAATACCGAGTCCCATGTCTTGAGAAAGCCTTTAGTCCCAGGCAAACCAGGATGGTTGGTCACTTTTACTCCTGAGACTCTAAGCTCATCGAGGGCAAGGATTGAGCATAAGACCTAGCACACAACAGACGAGAATGGAATTGAATTAAATAAAAGAAAAGAGAGAACTGTGCCAGTATACTTGGGCATGGAAGTCTCCATTTGGTTCTTGGTCATGTAAACATTTTTAATATTATCAAAACATTATGTATTAAGATGGAAAATTTCCCAAATACAGTTAGTCAAATACACACTGCGAATTCCTAAAAACACGGGAAAGACACATTTATGTCATAAGCATTTATTAACTATTGTGTCCTGGGTACAGTGTGAGTGTTTGGGAATGGGGGTACAGGATGAGTCAGACATTGACTCCTCCCGAGGGAACCTACAGTTTAAAAGGAGCAAGAAAGCGCGTACCTAAGCAATCTTACAGTCCTAGGCCCAAACAAAGAAAATTATGGCAATAAAACCCGGGTAACATGTCTAGAGCTACCAAGAAAAGGCTTTAGGGAGGAGGTGACATTTGGGTTATGGTTTAGGCACAGAGATGAGAAAGAGCTCAGAGTGAAAAAAGACTATGATCAAAGTTTTCCCCGAGGTAGGAAAGCTTGCCTGGGTATGGATAATAACAAGTATTTGGATGTGGCTTGAGAACAGAGATGTAATAGATGAACACAAGCTCAGTGAGTTAAAGTACCACTCATTGACTGGGAGCGGTGGCTCATGCCTATAATCTCAGCACGTTGGGAGGCCGAGGTGGGAAGATCGCTTGAACCCAGGAGTTTGAAACCAGTCTGGCCAACCTAGCAAGACTCCATCTCTATAAAAAATTAAAAAATCAGCTCAGTGTGGTGGAATGCACTTGTAGTCCTAGCTACTTGGAAGGCTTAGTTGGGAGGGTTGCTTAAGCCCAAGAGGTCAATGCTGCAGTGAGCCATGATCATGCCCCTGCACTCCAGCCTGGGTGGACACAGGCTGGCTGGACACAGCCAGACCCTGTCTCAAAAAAGAAAAAAAGATACCACGTATTGATTATCTCACAGTTTCCATGGGTCAGATATCTGCATTTAGACTAGCTGGAGTCTCTGCTCAGGGTCTCATGAGGCTGAAATCAAGGTGTTGGCCAGACTGTGCTTCTTTGCGGAGCTTCTCTTCCAAGCTCCTGTGTTTGTGGGCAGATTTCATTTCCTTGCTGTTGTACAGTTGGGTTTCCTGATTTCTCATTAGTTGTTGGCCAGGGACCACGCTCAGCTCCTAGAGACCACCCCCAGGTCTTTGCCTTATAGCCCCTTCCATAAGCCCTCTAACGACAGGGCAGCTGAGGTCTTCAAGCCAGCAGGATAATCTCTCTAAGTTCGAGAAGGACCCAATCCCTCTTTTTAAAGTCTCACCTAATTGGGTCAGGCCCACCTAGAAAAACTCCTTTTTGATTGATTCCAAGTCAACTCATTAGTAACCTAATCATATTCATAGTTTCCTCCTACACTCAAGCTTCAGGGACTACCCAGGATTGATATAGTAGGGGTCAGGAATCTTGGGAACCAAACTAAAACTTTGCCTATTGCAAAGGGTGATAAACGGATTAGAAGGATGTTAGTCCTGGGATGTGAAAGTGTCAGGTGGTGGAGAATCTTGATTCCTCCACCAAGGAGCTAAGGAGTTTGGAGAGTGGGGATTCTGGAGTCGAGTAGTGGTATAAAGAGAAGGAGAACCAAAGAAAATGGTGGTAACTTCATCTGAACTCTATAAATACTTGGGTAAAGTTATTTCCCTGGCATATTAAAAACTGAAAAGTTTTAGAGCAAGGGTGGCAACTAGGTTGCATTAAGTAACAGTCACTGATCAAATAATAGTGGTTGCCTGAGGGCTGTATCCAGAGGGCTTTGAGGCCATGCCTGGGTGTAGAGGGTAGCAGTGCTAGGATCTATTTGCAGTGTCTGCTAGGGTGAGGATGGTGACGAGTGGTAGCACCAGAGTCGAGGACTGGCTGTCCTGGCAGTTGAGAGAATCATTTCAGACCTTGTACCTCTGCAGAGGAAAATAACAAGTCTATTTTCAAGGATCCTGTGTTTAATCTATCATCTTACACAGCAGATCAAAATAGCAAACGTTAAGATCTTCAAGCCTTTTTCAAATGTCAGGAGCTGGAACAAAATACAAATAAATTAATCCACTGGGAGCTTTTTCTATTCGTTCCTCTCTTACAGTAAAAACACAGCTCCAAAATTTAGGAATTTCTCATAATTCCTTGTAGTCACAAAACGACAGATCTGCTAAGCAAAGAATTCAAATGGACTTGCTTTGGACTTTGATGACGCATTCCAAGGCTGCATGGCCACACATGTAAAGAGGTGGAAATAAAGCTAATCCTCTAATAATAGGTCTGGGTCCCAGAGAGAAGTACAGATGCGGGGCCATGTGTGTGTATAGAGAGGGGAAGGACACGCACACACCTGTACCACCCCACTGCTTTGGCTAGTCCACCATCTCCCGTGGGTTTTAGGAGCAGCTTTATGTCTTCTGACTCAAATTCAAGGGCAAAACCTCAATAAACTGCACAAGCATTGCCTTCTCTATGACCCAAAGGTCTGCCTTGGGTACTTGTTAAAACTCAAAAGAGAGCACTTGAGACAGTAGGGTTTAGATCTTGGGAGCCCTAAGTGATTTTTGGCTTAACCTAAAAGTGAGGTGGTAGAGTGTATTACTGTTTGGCAGATATTCCTTCTGCCTCTCATTTCCCTTACATCCTGGGAAGGAGTGCACTTCCTCCATCCATTGATACTCGGCTTGGCCATACTGCCCATGACCTCATGGTGGGTCAGGTGTACCTCCTAGCCTGTTGACATCGGGTTTAGCCACATGGCTTCCATTGGCCAAAAGATGTTAGTGGGTATGATAGGATCAGAGGTTTAAAGGGATGATCAGGTTTTGCCTCTTGTGCTTCTGCTATCATCATGACAAAGAAATGACCGGATTAGCCACAGAGGATGAGAGGCATGCTGAAAAGATCTGAACCCAACCTCCAGCTAAAAGTCAAGCCTGTTGGAACCCGATGACATCCACAGAGCATCCCCAGCCAACAGTTGTGAAAGTAGGAATAAATGGTCTTTTTCTCAAGCTGCTGGGCTTGGAGTTGTTTGCTGCCCAGTGATTGTGGCAGTTGACTAGTGGAGTGAACACAAGGTCTTGGGACTTTCTCAGTCCCTTGGTCTCTTCATAGAGTACAAGGATGCAGTACCAGTACCTTCTCCATGGGGTTGTTGAAAATATCAATAGAGGCAAGGCACGTAAAGTGCTTATCATAGTGACTAACACAGAATAAGCAGTTGCCATCATAGTTAAGAGCATGAGCTGTGGAGCCAATTTTTTTGAATTCAAATCCTAGCTCCGACACTATGCAACTGTTTGCTGCAGATTGCTACAGAGCCAAGTGTGAGAGCAATTTCAAAACCAAGGCCATGTATGCTCTAGCAAAGGAGCCTAGCCATGGAGCTCCTCGTTCTGTTCTTGATCACTGTCGCGCACATGACTAAGGTCCTCCTATGCATAAGGTCCTGGAGTCGTACTCAGTACACAGACCTACATGGTCTCCCACCTTAGATGGGCAGGCAAGGCAGGAGGGCTGCAAGCCGTTCAAGGGGCAGGGGTGGGGTTTTGGGGGGTGCTGAGAGGAGATTTCCAAGGAGTGGCTACAGATCTGGAGCTCACTTTGCAGCCAGTTTCAGGGCTGGGCTCCAAGAGGCAAGCTGCGCTCTCTGAGGCTGTGCAGTTAGAGGGGGTGAGGACCACTAAAGATGGCAAGAAGTTGCTGGAAGTTGTATCCTGGAGAGATCAAGTCCCAGCACCAACTCAACAGCCCAGAGCAGGATCAGGGCTTGGCACTCTGAGCTGAGAATCCACAGTCAGAGGAGGAGAGTTTCCACGAGAGCAACCAGGGGGAAACGGTGAAAGTTTGAACTGAGTACTGTGAACAGCCTCAAGGCTGGACACTTATACTTCGAAGAAGCACAGTGGAGCAGGAAGAGCTTCAACTCTGCCAGACTGCCTTGAGTTCAAACCCTGGCTCTAGCACTTACTATGTAATCTTTGGCAAGTTACAGAAGATCCCTGGACCTTCTTTCCTAAGGGATATTAGGAAAATACAGATATTAATAGAACTTGGTAGGTTCTTGTGAGCATTAATAGCACAAAACATATAAAGCACTTAGAACAGTATGGACTATAGGAGTATCTATTACTATTATTATTATTATTAATTATTGGCTCATAACCCCATCACTGACTCTCTTGGGCCAGAAATGTGTTTTATAATTCAGAGTTGTTCGGCCTGTAGAAAAGAAAAATGGCGCATATATCACATATCACATAAAGTCTCAGCAGGATCTGAGGCTGCATTATGTCACCAAATATATGAATATTTATACAGTGAAATGTATGAATACTTACATCAAATAAAAACTATAAATAGCTTCATTTTAGTTTAGGTCAGTTTTTGTTACCATGTACATTTTTTCAAAAAAGCACAAAACACAAAACAAACCAAACAAAAACAAACACAAACCCCCCAGAGTTTCTGCTAAGGGATTTGGAAATGCATCTAAGGGATGTGGCTTTTTTGCTAAAGTGGCTGCAGGCTGCATACGTGTGTGGGGCAGGAGCACAGGATCAAGCAGCAAACAATGGTCTCCTCCAGCAGAACTGGCCAGGAAAGGTTGAGTGGAGGAGGTGGGCTTGAACCTGGGACCCTTAAGCATTGACCGGGCTTCAAAGGCAGGACTTCAGGCAGCAGTACAAACTGGTGACAGTGAGCAGGAAGTGGAGCCCAAGATGGGGTGCTAAGAACCTCTTAATATGTAAGCTAGGGCTGGAGTGTAAAGTAAAGAGCTTTGAATGCCAAGAAAAGAATATGACCTTTATTATATATGCAAGAGACTGATTTCTTTCCTTTTTTTTTTTTGAGATGGAGTCTTGCTTTGTCACCCAGGCTGGAATGCAGTGGTATGATCTCAGCTCACTGCAACCTCCGCCTCCCGGCTGCAAGCGATTCTCCTGCCTCCTGCGTAGTTGAGACTACAGGCACACGCTACCACGCCACCATGCCCACCTTTTTTTTTTTTTTTTAAGCTGAGATGGGATTTGGCCAGGTTGGTCTCAAACTTCTGACCTCTAGTGATCCACGCACCTCAGCCTTCCAAAGTGTTGGGATTACAGGCATGAGCCACCACGCCTGGCCTGATTTCTTTAGGATTGAATTTGGCATCTTGGGCAGTTTCTGTCTCTGGTACAGAGCCTGGCAGGTCCTTTAGAAAACGAT
The DNA here is from genome assembly GCF_000001405.40 of Homo sapiens. Taxonomy (NCBI): domain Eukaryota; kingdom Metazoa; phylum Chordata; class Mammalia; order Primates; family Hominidae; genus Homo; species Homo sapiens. The sequence continues at coordinate 54,762,882 of NC_000016.10, forward strand.
GGTCTGGAGTTATGCCCCCATGTGTGTAGGCACCTTGCTCTAGAATGCCCTTTCCTTTGCCTTTGAAGTCCTGCTCCACCACGCCACCCCTCTGTGACATACTTTGCCCATCACCACCAAGGCAGATGCTGTCAGCACCCCATCCACATCTCCTGGGTGCTCACCTGTAGGCAGGGAAGCATGCTCCCTGAGAACAGCTGTAAATCTCTGTCCCAAGGCTTTTTCCTGGCTGCTGGTGTACCCTGGGCCCATGCACAGAGTAAACTGGAGATGAGGCAGAGTTAATGCCCACAGGAGCAGCTCTGGACCAGTGGCTTTCTGATCTTTTTTGTCTTACCCTCTGTCTGTGTTTCCTGGGATTACCTCCCAAATCAACAAGGTACACTAGAATTTTTGACTCAGTGTCGTGCTTCTGGGGAAACCCAAATGGAGTCATCACAGGCAGAGGAGTGTCCTCTTCCTTAGACTGATGGCTGTGTGCTTGGTTTTATGGTTTCCACCAGGAGATGCTAAGCTTCTTGAGGACAGGAACTTTCCATTCATCTTGGAATCCCCATGGTGCACTGCAGTGGGTCGGCATCAGAAAAATGTTCTGTGGAGTGACTCGGGATATTAGATAAGTCCCAACTATTTGCAAGAGCTAAAGATCACCAGTGACTTCAGGGGTCAAAGCTTAGCTTCTGGGTTTTGGTCAATGGCTCTGCCACTTACTAGCTTGATGCTCTTGAGCAAATTGTTTAATCTAACAGTTCATCTCTATGTCTATGAAATGGGGATAATAAAGTTTTTCCTTTAGAGCTGCTGTGACAATGAAATGAGATCATGCGAGGCACTAAGCTTATTTCCTGGTTCTCAGTGTTAGTTATATATTATACCCATTCTTTTCCCAAATATCCCTGTTTCTTCCCGTTGCCTGTCTGTAACAAATTCCTCGGAGTCATGGTCATAAGCGTCTCTTAACTGCTTGTTGAAATAAGCTCAAGTCCATGTGTGTGTGATCTGCCACTTTCCATCTCCTAGACAGAAAATCTCCATCTTTAAGTGAGGACCATGCATCGATTATTCCATCTTCTATCTCCAGTCCTCAACACAGACACATGCACACAGACACACACAAACGAGTGGACCTATTCTTTCCTTTTCTTTTTATTTGTTTATTTATTTTTGAGATGAAGTTTCACTCTTGTGGCCCAGGCTGGAGTGCAGTGGCATGATCTCGGCTCACTGCAACTTCTGCCTCCCAGGTTCAAGTGATTCTCCTGCCTCAGCCTTCCAAGTAGCTGGAATTACAGGTGTCCGCCACCATGCTGGGCTAATTTTTTGCATTTTTAGTAGAGACAGGGTTTCGTCATGTTGGCCAGGCTGGTCTCAATCTCCTGACCTAAGGTGATCCACCCACCTGGGCCTCCCAAAGTGCTGGGATTACAGGCGTGAGCCACCGAGCCCAGCCTGGACATATTCTTTAAATACACTTTCTCAGCTACATTTCTTTCTCCTTCTGCAATTGCCACATGGACATCAACCAATACTCTGCCCGTTTAACCAAAATAACTTTTTTCTTTTTTATTTGAGACGGAGCCTCACTCTGTTGCTCAGGCTGGATTGCAGTGGCACAATCTGGGCTCACTGCAACCTCTACCTCCCGGATTCAAGCAATTCTCCTGCCTCAGCCTTTCAAATAGCTGGGACTACAGATGATTACCACCACACCCAGCTAATTTTTGTATTTTTAGTACAGACAGGGTTTCACCATGTTGGTCAGGCTGGTCTTGAACTCCTGACCTCAGGTGATCTGCCTGCCTCAGCCTCCCAAAGTGCTGGGATTACAGGCGTGAGCCACTGTGCCTGGCCCAAAATAACATTTATGTCACCTAGAATAAAAACATCCCTAAGCTTGGACCGTAAGAATGAGGTCTTCTCCCTCTTTATCATCATCAAGCATTTCTTCATGGCAAATATTGCCCCAGGCTAGGCCCTTGGATACCTGGAATAATCCAAGAAAGGTCACAACCATGGAGTTTCTTACTTTGTTAGTTCCCTTCTTGCAAGAAAATGCGGAGACAATGACATGAAAATGGAAAGAGCCAGGGTCCTGGTTTCCAGTCATATAGAACAGACGAGAGCTGGATGACTCTGAACATCTCAGTCGTCTCTCTGTGCCTCAGTTTCCCTACCCCTAGGAGGAAATAAGAGTAGATGTTTCCTAAGGGTCCATTTATAAAGGTCTTGGGTTTAGAAAGTTAGATTAGAGAAAAATCTGAATGCAAAAAACATGCACCCTATGGTTTCATGTTTTTTTTCTTTTTAAAACATCCAACCAAAAACTGATTTGTTGAAAGATGTCTGTGCTATTATCCCTACTGTGGTTTCTTTATGAACTTGGATAAAGAGGAGGAATTTATTTGAAAGTCAATAGACTACAGTATTTATTTACAGGTCTACTGTATGTGCTAGTTTAAATTTAACACTTTGAATGGGGTAGAAACAAATGCATCGGAATTTGACCAAGGATACATTCATATGTCAGTTTAATGCTCCAGCTGTTTAATCAAAATATGAATAAAAGGTCTAAAGCCCAACAAGCAAAAATATCATAGTTGTGGGATTCGCCGTTTGCTTCCCCATTGTCAGCCAATTACTGTGCAATTTTTCCCTGTGACTGAATAACTAACTGTTAGCAAATAATGAAAAGGCAATTACAGCGATGCTTTGTTCCTATTACTTCCTTCATTTTATCCAGGCTGTAATTATTGTCAGAGCTGGAGGTTTACTGTACCATGGAAGCAGCACCAAGAAAGAAAATGGAATGGGCTGGTGCATGGAAAATTGCAAATGTCACAGCTACCTTCATCGGCACTGTTGGACTTCTGAGAATAAAAAATCAGAGGAAAAAGCTCTCCATGTGGGTTTTACAAATTCCCTACCTCAAGCTGTTGTGGCGACTGGGGAAGAGGGGACAGCGGTAGGGGTGGGGGGCAGGCAGGAATCAGGCATGAGGTTTGTTCTTTTTGTGTGTGTGCGATTCCCAAAGGGCTGTGCATTTTCACCGCAGTCGGCCTGAAACTGATTCATGGAACTCTTCTTTAGCCTTTGCTTCTCATTAATGGTCTCCATGCTGTTTCATAATGGGGAGTGGCATATAAATGATGCATTTTATGGGGTTTGATCTTTCTTCAGAGAGAAAATATGCCACATATGGACAGATGTCTGAAAAAGAAAATGATGATCATGCCCTCTTTGTGCAGTTGCTGGGACCTATTTTTAGAAGCTGATTTTCACTGACCATATGTAACATACCTTCCTTTTTGACTTTATTTTTATTAACTAGAAACTGTAAGATAAGACAAAAGAGATAGAGGCACATTCCTAATATTTTAATCTCTTGCTTTTTCAATAACTATTTCCTGAGTAAGTACCATGTGCAAGATACTGGACTAGGCTCTGAGGAATCAAAGGTGAGTGAGACACGGTTCCTGCCCATAAAAGGCTCAGTCTTGAGGTATTTTCACACCCAAATAAACGTCTTTCTATATGAAAAGCAACTTAGCATACCTGAAAGTGTGTAAAACTATATGTTTGAAGATCTGAATTCTAATTCCAGCTCTGCCACTTACTAGCTGGTTTTTCTTGATGTATCAGTAAGCTACTGCTGTGTAACAAACTATCTTCCAAACTGGGTGGCTTAAACCCGCAATGATATATAATGGAAGGTCAAGAATCTGGAGGTCAGATGGGAGGCTCTGCTCCAGGTTGGACTTGTTTGGAGCATCTTAGCTGAAGCAGCTTTGCCCCAAGTGTCTCTTCTCTTCCTCTTTGAAATAGCTGGGCAGCCTGCATTACCCTTCTCATGGCAATATCTGAAGAGCACGAGAACATGTGGAAACATGCAGGCACACACAGCAAGTAATTTCAAGACTCAGCTTTAATCACATCTTCTAATCCTATTGGCCAAAGCAAATTACATGGTCAAACACTGAACCAAGGGTCAGGCAAGTATACCTTACCTCTCAATGGGAGAAATGGCAGAGATACATGACAAAGAGAATGCATACAGCTATAGGTAAAGAATTTGGGGAAATTAATCCAAACAACTGCACTTGAATAAAACTCTGTGCCTCAATTTGTTTGTAAAATGGAAGCTCACCTTCCCTGCTTTAGGAGATTGTTGCGAGGATCAGAGGAGATAAAGAATGTGACTATGCTTTGGCAACTATAAAAAACTATTGTTATGCATATGTTATTGCTCTTATTACTTTCTACTTATTTTTCTTTTTTTAAAAAATTTTACTTTAAGTTCTGGGATACATGTGCAAAACGTGCAGGCTTGTTACATAGGTATACATGTGCCGTGGTGGTTTGCTGCACCTATCAACCCATCATCTAGGATTTAAACCCTGCATGTGTTAGGCATTTGTCCTAATGCTATCCCTCCCCTTGGCCCCACCCCTACAGACCCCAGTGTGTGATGTTCCCCTCTTTGTGTCCATGTGTTCTTATTGTTCAACTCCCATTTATGAGTGAGAACATGCGGTGTTTGGTTTTCTGTTCCTGTGTTAGTTTGCTGAGAATGATGGCTTCCAGCTTCATCCATGTCCCTGCAAAGAACATGAATGCATTCTTTTTTAGGGCTGCATAGCATTCCATGGTGTATATGTGCCATAGTTTCTTTATCCAGTCTACCATTGATGGGCATTTGGGTTGGTTCCACATCTTTGCTATTGTAAATAGTGTGCAATAAACATACATGTGCATGTGTCTTTATAGTAGAATGATTTATAATCCTTTGGGAATATACCCAGTAATGGGATTGCTGGGTCAAATGGTATTTCTGGTTCAACATCCTTGAGGAATTGCCACACTGTCTTCCACAATGGTTGAACTAATTTACACTCCCACCAACTGTGTAAAAGTGTTCCTATTTCTCCACAGCCTCACCAGCATCTGTTGTTTCCTGACTTTTTAATAATCACCATTCTAACTGGTGTGAGATGGTATCTCATTGTGGTTTTGATTTGCATTTCTCTAATGACCAGTGATGATGAGCTTTTCTTCATATTTTTGTTGGCCACATAAATGTCTTCTTTTGAGAAGTGTCTCTTCATATCCTTTGCCCACTTTTTGATGGCATTGTTTGTTTTTTTTCTTGCAAATTTGTTTAATTCCTTGTAGATTCTGGATATTAGACCTTTGTCAGATGGGTAGATTGCAAAATTTTCTCCCATTCTGTAGGTTGCTACTTATTTTTCTATCATAAAAATATAATAATTTTTTTCCCAGGCTCAAACAGAAATTTTCTGCAAACTTCAAATTTCTGTAAGTTTATCTATCAGATATTTTTTCATTCATCAGATAAATTAAAAATGGAAAATGGAAATTACTTAGTTATAGAGTTTATTCTTTCTTGTTTTATTTGTGAAATAAGTCACTTCTCCAAGACCCTGATCTGATTTAAGGAGAGACGGAATCTCAAAGCTATTGTTCTTTATTCCTGTGGCAGCTGGCCATGCGACTCCCCAGAGTTTAAGATAGAAGAAGAAACATTTATAGGCTAACTCAGGCTTCTTTGGCAACTACTATCCTTGGGTTATTTCCATAGCAAAAGGAAAGCAGGTTAGGAGGGGTTGGTTGGTATAAATAAATAAGCAAGGATACACATTCATAAGGACGGGAAAAAGGCAGATTACTAATACCAAAGACAAGGGTGTTATTAGAAAACTCAGTCAGCCAGATGTAGGTTTGAATTCTTGTTCTACCACCCATTAACTGGTTTATTTAGCTTCCTGGAGCTGTTCCCTATTTTGTAAATTAGGGATATAATATCTAACTGATTGTATTCTTATCAGTACTAAATGAGATATAATACATACAGTCCGTAGCATAGTACCTGGTACATAATATGTACACAAGAAATTAGTTTCCTTTTTCCATCCTGACTTTTTTAAGGTTTGTTTTTTCTAAAATACATCAAGTCACAATTATTCACTTCTAATGACTAAGACTATGAAATATCTTATTTTCCTCATTTGCCATAGCTCAGGCTTAGATGGATAGCAATAATAATAGTCTCCAAAAATAAATGTGACAAACAAGCTAAAATGTATTTTGTCTGAGAAAACCTCAGTGTCTGTAGATATCAGATAACCCAAAGAACTTATCCTTCTTCTATTCCTTGACTACATGCCTAATATCATTTTCATCTGGGAAAATAATATTTGTATATATATTATGCATATTCTTCCTCCAAACCAGGACAGCCATTCTCTCTGTTTCTTGCTCTCTCTCTCACAGGTGCGCATACGCACACACACACACAGACACATACACAACTTGTCTTGAATATGGTTGGTGTCTCCTGGAGTCCAGGATTGCAGTGATTTTGAAACAAATTGGAAAGAAAAGCTCTGTTATTAGGGAGAGAAAGAGAGAACTATTTAACAACAGTATAAAAAAGAAAAAAGCCAAGTTTACTTGAGAATATAGATGTAATTATCATGAGAAAAATAGCTAGCCAAATTTATCAGTACATTTTGAAAATAACACATATGAACAAACTAAGATGTATCCCAAGAATATAAGAATATTTAATGTTAGAAAAAATCAATATAATTAAGCAAATTACGGAATTTGAGGAAAATAATCACATGACTATCTCAATAGAAATATAAATTTTTAAATGACATTAATATTTAAGATTTCTTTTAAAATATTTTTTAAAAGGATAGAACAGAACAGCTATAATCTGACAAAAGAAACCTAGAGCAAAAAGCATATTTAATTGAGGAAATTTTAACGTGCTTTTTTTTTTTTTTGAGACATAGTCTCACTCTGTCATCCAGGCTGGAGTACAGTGGCATAATCTTAGCTCACTGCAACCTCTGCCTCCCGGGTTTAAGCAATTATCATGCCTCAGCCTCCCAGGTAGCTGGGATTACAGGCATGTGGAATGTGTTTCTTTTTCAGAAACAAGTCAACAAGGCCTTCATATAAGCAATAAGAAACTAGAAGATAATAATAAAATATAAGATACTACTTATAACAGCAAGTAAAATTTTAACACAGCAAGGATGCAAATGGCCTATAAGAAGAAAAAATAATAAAAATATTTTCAAAGGGCATAAAAGAAAACCTGAGGTCATGGAAAGACATACCATATTCATGGATGGAATGGCTTAGCAATATAAAGATGTCAAATCTCTCCACATAAATCTATATATTCAATGCAATTTCTATCAACGTCCTAGCAAATTTTTTTATTTCAGCGCTATCTAACAGAGGTAGCATTACCAATGAGTGAGGAAAGTACAGAGTATTTAGTAAATGCAGAAATTGACTTATAAAACGGAGAAAAAGTTGGATTACAACCTCATACCATATACAAAAATATAAACACAAGATGAATTAGGTGAATTGAAGACAGATATATATATATATATATATATATATATATATATATATATAGTAAAACTGAAGAAATATAGTCAATAACTAAGATAAATAAATATATTTATGACCTTGGAGTAGGTAACAATTAGTCAAAACATAAAAGAATAAATTATATGGCTAAAAAAAGGAGAGAGAGATGGGAAACTAAAAGGATATGAATAGACGTATCCCTGTAGGGGATAAAAGAATAGCTGGCATATATAGTGCTCACTAGTAATAGGATAAATGCAAATTTTAAACAGATTGTGATGGCACTTCATATTAGTACTAATCAAATTGGGGAAATAATTAGACAATCATGTAATATTAAGTGATAGTGTGGATCATCATCCTTGGAAATGGGAACCTTCTTTCATACATTGCTGGTGGGAGTTTTACTACTGAAGTTAACCTGGAGATAAATCTGGGAGTAGTTAGTGAAATTAAATATGTGCAAATCATAGGACCCTAAGGCTTCCCCACTTCTGGGCCTCCACCGCAGAGACATCCTCCCAAATATTCAAAGGGAGACATGAACATAGCCCTCTCTTGAAGCATTGTTTGAATTGACAGAGTTGGAAGTGCAGAGGAGCCCATCAGAGGCAAAACAAAAGGTACTTTAGGTTCATAGTCCCTTATCTGCAATTCTGAAATACAAAAGTCTCTGAAAATATAAATTTTTAAAGAAATTTGGCACAAAATTTTTTGGAGGCAGAACTTGACCTGAGGCTAGTTAGTCTCTTCATATCCCACATAGTATGAATATTCATACATTTTGATACAGAAATAATAATTTTTTGATTATAGAATGCTGCCCAGACCATGCAGAATTACATCTGTAGTCCAATGCCACCTAATTATAGCATGCAAAACTATACAAAATCTGTTCAAAGAAACACACGTATCAACATTGATGTATGGAGGTATGGATTAAAAAAACCTCAATTAAATACACCAGCAAGGATGCATCTGTGGGGAGTCAGGGATTCAGAATGAAGATGGGGAAAATAGAAAGAGAATAAAATAAAATGAGGGAGACCTAGAATGTAGAGAAAGAAAATAAAACAAAGCCAATAGAGCATGATGAATCAGCATTCAGCTGAGAAAGTGTATTTCTATAGCAGTTTCTATGTGTGTCACGTGTTTTGTTTTTGCAAAAGTCTCATTTTCCAAAACAATAATAACATGAATTTTTTAAACCTCTGCACTCCCCACAGGTTGGGCACTCAATATTTGGGGCTTGAAAAATACGTATTAACTGGAAGTCTGCTATGGACAAATAGGGTTATTGAGGGAAGCCCCAACAATAGGATGTCCAATCAGCTCCACTTTCACTGTTACCCAACCAAGAAAAGCACTGGGTTTACGAGTAGGCCCGGCTTCAACTCTCAGCTCTGTCTATTGTGAGACCCTGGGCAAATTACTTTGCTTTTCTGAGCTTCATTTCTCTTTATCCGCTCCTTGCCCATTCTCTCTCCCAATTTACCCCTGTGATGAAGCCATTCTGGATTTCTTGCAGTTGACCAAAAGAACACCTCCTGACACCTCCATGTTTTTGCATATTTAGTTTTCTCTGCCTGAAATGTCCATCACCCCTCATCTGCCAGCAAAACTGACAATTACCTTTCAAACCAGTTCAAACCTCACTTGTCCTATGAAGCTTCCCTCCTCTCTGTTCCTATTGCATCTGGGATAGACCTCACTTACAAACTTTTTCAAATATCATTTTGATTACTTAAATGCATAGTTGTTTCCCACATAAGAATATAAACATGTAAAGGCCAGGCACTATATCTTATGCATCTTTATCATCCTGAGGTCCAAAACAATACTTAGTACATAGAAGATATTCAATAAATATTGATCATCATAAGTAGTTTTTTCTAACTGGGCAAGTATTGACAGTCATTTGACTTTCCAGAGCTTACTTTCTCCTGTGAAAAATGGGGCACATAATATTTCATGGTGCAGTTATGAGAATTAAATAAAAACAGAAAGACACATACTCTCAGAGTGGGAAGTAATATCAGAGGTCATTTGTCAAATCATGCAATAGAACCAGACACTTCATAGTAGTGCGTGCCCAGCATCTCCTAAGGTAGCTCAGTTCCATTTCTGGGCAGCTCTGGCTTTTAGAAAGGAGTAGAAATGTGTCTGGATGAATGACACATTTCATTCAGTGATTTCTAACAGAGGTAGCATTACCAATGAATGAAGAAAGTACAGTGCTACCTCTGTTAGATATCATACTGCTGGATGAATGAAGCGGGTACAGGGACACACTGGGAATGGGCTAGCTGTAATTCTCATCCTCCATCACACTATGTGTAGTCTATGCATTTACAGCAATGTTGCATTCATCTAGCACTTGGGGAAATAAGCTGATCTATAAAATATTCAGGTGTTTTTCCACTTAAATTGCGCTCTTTAATTTGTATGATTCTCATGAGAAACACTTCAAAGAATTCAACGTATTTCTCCGCCTATTGCCACAGAGGGTGTAGATTACCCTTTAACCAGGCTATAGAAATGGACGACTACATTGATTTTTAAAATAGTGATGTTCTCAGGGCTTTTGAAGTGTGTGGAAGAAGTTGTCCTTGTAATAAGTGACCCTAGTCTGCTCTATCTGCTATAATTGTGTCAGCTTCAAATAAGTCCTTCCTGTTCCTTTCTGAATGCTTTGCTTCTACTTTGCATAGGAAGCACCGCCCCAAAGATTGCTAGTAACATTGTAAAGAACAAATAGACCCAGTCTCTATGAGCAAAAGGGTTTTGTGCTATTCGGTGGCTAGATTCTCATTTTTTTCCAGTTGGCTGCTATGCTGGGCAGAAAGATTTACACAATACTTCATTGTGATGGTATGCCCCAACCCAGATCTACCTTTGCCCTTCTTTGCCTTGTTTTTATCTTGGAATTCCTAAGATCATATAGGTTCTCCTGCCAGCTGGATTTCATTTGAGTTTGGTCAATGGGAGGCACCAGGAGGATATGGGAGAATAGGAGGAGAGGGATGTTGACATGATAATATTAACTTCTTCCCTTTTCTGGGCCATGTTCCCTGGCAAGGGCTCTATCCTCCATGACCACAGTTCCTGCCAGGTGGCCCCACTTCCAGGGCTTCAGGTCTCATTGGCTCTGTTCATACCATTCCTTCTGTTAGTCCTTTTAAGCTCTGGCATGGTAACGGCTTCCCAGTGTTGCTAGTATCTGGGTGCCTCATCATCCTTTCTTTGTTCTTTAAGTGCTACCCACATCTGTGAAGTCAGCTCTCCATCAAAGACTCTTGAACCATCTGAGTGGATTCTGTTTTCTGCTAGCCTCTGGCTGAATCACTCAACCATTCAAGCATTATTTTTTGGGCATATTCTATGGGCTCAATATTGGTGACATGGTAGTGAACAAGGCAGATATGAGTCTTGCCTTTATGCAGCCTAGGTCTAGCGAAGGAAGAGAGACACTGACCCAGTAGTTGTGAGTGTGATGAGCATTTTAAGAGGGAGTGTACAGAGCTTTGGGGGTTTATAGTTGAGCAAACAGGATTCGGGTGGGAAAATGTAGTCATCTATTTATACAACCGAAATAAAGTCATTCTTCCCCAGTTTTCTCTTGCCATGGCTCTCCACAGACATAGAGTTTCCATCTTCCAGGTCAAATATTAACACAGGAAAATATTTTCCAGGACACTGTCACCTCAAGTTCCAGAGACGTGTAACCTAGGTCTTATAGGTGACAGCAAGGGAAGAGGGCAGGACACATGTGTCCTGAAGGGAGCAGGGGAGACCAAGATGAATTAAAACTAGAAAAGGCCTGAAGTTTTTCCATCCCAAATTAGATGTCATTAGGTTCTTCCAAACACTTCCTATCATTTCTCTCCTGCTCCCAAGAGAACACTCCATGTAACATAAAATAATAATACTAAATCTAAAGGTAAAAGGAAAGACATCATTACCAGATTAATACATCATGAAAAAAAATTCACATTTCTGATAGATACTTAACAATGCATTGGTGATTAAATTAATTGTACGTGGCGAGCAGAAAGATAGCTCTTTAATGCATATTAAATATTAACAATTTGAGATAATAGGAGTCTACATGTCTCCCCTTTACAGCTTCCTTTGTCAATGAAATGTACTTTTGTGCAAAAGAAAAAGATAGTTTGGAATGTGATAGTCTTATGCAATGAGGGCTGGTGCAGTTTGCCGCAATACCAGAGCCACCGGCAATCAGCCTAATCATAAATGACCGGAACCAAATGGATTCAGGCAGCCATGCTGACTACTGAGTTAAAAAGTTTTCTGTGTCAAGAGTCTGAATGCCAACTAAATCAAAACCTTTCAAGGCAAATCAAAGGGCCAGCAGCTCTCTCCCTGCTTCTGCCAAAGGCTTTGTTTTGCCATTTCCTCCCGGTGCCGTCAGGAGGTGGCGGCTGCTGTAGTTAAGTTGGGCCCCATCTGGGGACATCCATCCATGTTCCATTATCCCCAGAAAGTCAGCCCATCACCTTTACATTAAGAGGATTGGGGTGGTGGGGTGGGGTGGGGGCAAAAAGAAGCAAAACAAACTGATTGCCAAGCCAGCTATGATGTCAGCATGAATTAATGTTTCCCACAGGCATGCTAATCAGCTCCATGACATAATAACGGCTTCTATTACACCGGTGGGACTTCAAAGTTATTCCAAAGATAACATAACACAACACTTGAAGCCCCAGGAAACTTCCACCATGCTTTCAGATGTTTTATAAAGTTACCGATCTTTTCATTGCTGGGGAAACAAAAAACCTGAAAGGAAACAGAATATTGAATTTGGGATGAATCAGGGTTGGAAAGTGATTTCATTACAAATTCCAAATGTCCAAAGAGATAGTGGCAATTAAAAAGCTGCCAGGGGTCGCCATTTAAAAGCAGCTCTGTGGCAAGCTTTTCTCAAGCAGGCAGATGGGCATAATTTCCAGTGTGGAAAAAAATTAACATATAAGTCAGTATGGAAGGTATTGTGCCGAATAGTGAACAAATGAACTCATAAAAAGTGTGTAGGCAGGAGGGCGTGGCCATCAAGATTTGCTTCTTTCTTATGACCTGTACTAGATATTTGTCTTTGGGCCAATTATTTTACTGAGACTCAATCCCTTGTCTACAAAATGGGAATACTGATACCCTCCTCAATAGTAGAGTTGAGGGAACTAAATCAGGGAATGTATTCACAGCACAGTGTCCAACTGGGCAGCCAGTAAACACACCTATTACTGTTATGATCATTCAATATTTGGTATTATTGGGCAAAAATATGCTATTGCTACAAATAGTAACACTCTTCACTGCATGAGTCCATGTTGTCCCAAGGGATTCACACATATTACCCTTTTAAATGCACCCAATCCTGTGTGCTAGGTACTATTATGCCTAATTTACAGATTATGAAATTGAGGCCCAGAGATGCTAAAGCTACCTGCTGAAGATCACACAGACAAAAATCACAGAGCTGGAACTGGAATCGTGCCGTGAGGCTCTGGTCTGCATTCCTTTTTTTTTTTTTTTTTTTTGAGACAGTCTTGCTTTGTCGCCCCAGCTGGAGTACAGTGGCACAAACTCTGCTCACTGCAACCTCTGCCTCCCAGGTTTAAGCCATTCTCCTGCCTCAGCCTCCCGAGTAGCTGGGATTACAGGTGCCTGCCACCACACTCAGCTAATTGTTGCATTTTTAGTAGAGACGGGGGTCTCACCATGTTGGCCAGGCTGGTCTTGAACTCCTGACCTCAGGCGATCCACCCACCTTGGTCACCCAAAGTGCTGGGATTACAGGCGTGAGCCACTGCACCCGGCCTGGTCTCACTCTTAACCACTACTTTCTATATACATATACACAGAGAGAATGCACACACATACCTTCACACACAGGCACACAACACACTCACACAGATACGCACTTGCACACAGGCACACGCATACACACACGTACTCACGCACAGCCTGGAACAAATCCTATGGTTCTGTAACCCTCTGCTGTGATGATGTTGCAGTTGGACCTACCTGGATGTGAGGACCAACAACTCCACTTACTCAAGATGACCTTGGGTAAGTCATGTAACCTGTGTGGGACTCAGTCTTTGATATGTGTCACAGGTATATTCATAGAACTGACCCCTCAAAATGTTGTTGCAAAGATTAAATGAGGTGATACAATACCTATAAAGCACTTAACACAGTGCTTGAAATACCTGATAAATTTACCTATGATTATTATTACAAACACATTAGGCATTGAAAGAGCATCTCTCTGTCTCTGTCTCCCTCTCTCTCTCATGCACACACACAGACACACACACACACACTCACACTCACACAGAGTGCAGTGGTCATCTTAAGCATGTCCAGGATGGTTATTTCTAGAAGCAGACTTACCAGGCACAGCATTTGTGCCAACGAGGATTCCCTCATAGCATTTGACAGTTACTGAGAAAGGAGTGAAGATAGACTGCCACCCTTTGTGGTCCCAAATGTCCCTCTGGCTCTCAGAGCCTCTCCATGTCCCTGTCTTGGCAGCCTCCAGCCCCCACAGTGTGGGAACGGTTCTCAGGGATGCCCCACAGGCAGGTTCCAGCAGCGAGGTACAGCCCTTGACTTGGATCCAGCCTGGAGGGTGAAACGTCCATGGCACCCAGAACTCCACAGAGACACTCAAGAATGGGGATGACAAAGGGGTCGTCATGTCCCCTCTGCAGCCAACTGATGCCATTTTCTGAGGGTTTCCTACCAGAGAAGGAAGCCTCAAGGTTTGTCTGCTTAAACACTGCTTCTCTCAACCCATGGCTGTCAGGCCTCCATATTTGTTTGGGGAAGAGCACTGGACACCTGGCCCCTTTACTTCCCTTTACTCCTTACTTGATAAAAAGTGCAGCCCAAAGTAAACACAGCCCCATCTCCCACGGGCGTTTCCATCAGTGCTGGGGGAAGATGGTGTCTGGGCTGGATCCAGTATTTATGAAACCCGTCACGCATAGCTTCACTCTGGGCTTCCAACGGACCTATTCCATGGACATACTTGTGAAGCCAAAAATCCAGAAGTGGAGAACGGACAAAATGGCTAAGAGATGAAGGAGAGAAGCAGGAGGCCAGATCAGAGAGCAGGAAGGACAATGGAAGAGAAAGGAAGTTAGAGGAAACAAATCAGGGATATTTCCTTCTTTTTTTTTTGGATGAAGTCTTGCTCTATCATCCAGGCTAGAATGCAGTGGCATGATCTCAGTTCACTGCAACCTCCGCCTCGCAGGTTCAAGCAATTCTCCTGCCTCAGCCTCCTGAGTAGCTGGAACTACAGGAACCCACCACCACACCTGGCTAATTTTTGTATTTTTGGTAGAGAGGGCGTTTCACCATGTTGGCCAGGCTTGTCTTGAACTCCAAATCAGGCATACTTCTGATAGAAAATGCTACAGTGTCTGTAACCATGGCCTTGGCTGTTACCCAGTTAGCTTAGTTTATTTGCAGCTCTTCCACTGAATGAAACCAATCACCAGCTACAATTTTGCCTCAGAATTTGCTGGTACCTTCAAGTGAAGAATCTTGACTAATTTGGTTCACCTTTTGCCTTTGGGAATTGTATGTCAGGTGGTTTCCTTGACTCATTTACTTTCTTCCAGTTGTTTAGAATAGACAGAATTGGAGAGAAAACAAAAGGTTAAATTAAAGAAACCGACTTTATGCCTTTACCTTTAGTGGTAACCAGCTTTTCTGAAGCTGAACTGGATTTGATACATAATACTAAATTCTACAGATAGTTATGGAACACTTCGCCTAACGGAAAACCCCATGATCACAGGCCAGTCCTCAAGTTGCTTGCAATCTAGAGGAGAAAAGAAATTCAATATAGGTTGGTAAGTGCAGTACTACACACATCTGGTAACCAATTCACATCTGCTTTGCCTTACTTCTGACTCCAGCCAGGGCTGGGTGGACAGGCAGGTTTCAACTTATTTCAGGCTAACAACCTGAGTGTCACACAGCTTCACTTTCTGCCCCTGGGTGCCCTCAACATTGCAGAAACCCTGGAGAACTGGCTCAGGCCATGAGCCTGTACAGCTAGAAAGTACAGGCAGATTAATAACTCCTGGTATGAGACTCAGCCCATGAGGAGTGAACCAGTTGATGAATATCTCATTTCCCAGGTTCAGATGGCCATGCCGGAGGCATTCCATACACTTTGCAGGAGGACCCAGAAGAATCAAGTTCCAGAGTGGTCACCTCGATCATGCATCTTATTATTGCTTTTCTTCCTCTCCCGGTTTGCTTTCCTGGCTCTCTCCCTCCTACACCCTGAACCCACTACCCTAATAAACTATCTACATCCCAGTTCTTATCTCAAGGTTTTGCTTGTAAGGGAACCCAAATCAAACAGGATGATACAGGAGTTCACTTTAGGGGCATCAAACCTAGTGGTAAGGGCCTGGAAGAAGACATTCTTGGTAATGTGTAACCCAAACAATGCATATTGAGTGGGCATCAGCTAAGTAGAGATTCAGGGAGAGGAAAGAGGTAGAAAAGTAACCCATGCAGAAAGCAAAGCTGGGAGCTAGAAAAGGCATGCCACATTTAGGATATTGCAATTAGTTTAGACAGAAAGTTAGCTTGCTCAAATTAGATAAATATATTTATAGAATCAGATAAAAGAATTTTTCCCTGTCCTTGATGACAAACCCAAGAGTTACCTCTTTGGCATTACAAATAATCACTTGGGCTGTGGCCAATGAGGGTCTTTTTCAAAAGCACGTAACAGGTTGTGAAAAATGTGCAAGATAGTCTTTTGTATGGCAGGGGCTGGCCTTTGGGTTGCTGAGGCAGAGAAAGCAAGTGAAGGCTGTGGTACACAGGGCTGAACCTCTGTGAGGCTTAGTTTATTCACCTGTAAAATAAGCCCTTATGTCTCAAGCAGAACTGAGTGACTGGCACCCATTTGGTCACAAGGCAGAGAGTCAGTATCACCAATCCAGTTGGGAAAAATCAACGTTTGGCCAAATCTTTGTTGCCGAAGATGACAGACTTTATCTATTCAGCCATATCTTGGAAACCTATCTATAAACAGCTTCCAACAAGTAAGATATTCCATTTTAACACAGCAGGGCCAGGGAAGGGCATGGGAGCAAAAGGCAGAGGGGCTGGAAACGTAACTGTGCATTTTGACATTAAATGAATTACATGGAAATTATATGCAAATCATTATGTAAATGTGGCATATGTTGTGTTTGAGTTAACAGCTTGGACACTTTTAATAATTACAGCATTTTTCAGGGTGAATTAAGAGCCCCAATAAACTATATTTAGGAGTCACTACAGATGAACAGGATTTAATGATCTTTGTTTTTCATTTTAAGTGGCTCAGGTTAAGAGAGAAATTTGAAATTTTCTCTCTCAGTCCTACAAAGACCACTATATATTGCACAATACTCTTTGGATGACAGTGACAATCTATGACAATTAATAAGCACATTAATGCCAAAAGCCTTTGAAAATATGGACTTCTCAAGAGAGGACTGCTTTATCTTATTTTATCCTTTTGTACCTGTGAACAGATGTAAAAGATTAAAATGAAATATCCTTCTCTCTGTTGCATTATTCTTCCATAATTTAAGAAAAAAAGCCATACATCACACACTAAGATGTCCTGCCGTGATACCATTGTTCCTTCATACAGTGCTATCGCCTGAAACACCCTAATTTATTTCTTCATCCAAAAAGGAGATTTTGGATTTCCTATTCTTTCCTCCTCCCTCTTGCAAAATCTCCTCACAATGTTTATTTTCTTCTTTTTAAATTTTAATTTATAATTTTTATGGGTATATAATAGTTGTACATATTTATAGGGTACATACAATGTTTTGATACAAACATAAAACAAAAATGTTTATTTTTTTGAGAAAATTCAGCCACAGCTTAGGCTAGGTAGGTAGAGCTTGTGAAAAAGAGGGCTTTTAATTTCCTTTGCAGACCTTCATTTCTGGGAATATTTTGGACTAGATTACCTGAAGAATCTCTGGTTACAAAACCTCAAGGAATGCTGGATGATATATAATGAACATCCTTTTAAGTGCAAAGCTGAGCTTGAAAAAAAATTCAGGGAAATCCCCAAAGGCTTAAAACAAAGAAGCATTTGAAGTCTTGAGGGTTATATGAGAACTGATGCTGCAGCTGTCCCAGGATGGGGTTCATGGTTGCCAAGCAGGGAAAAATAGGAGCTTAGGCTTTAACAACCACACAGGGATAGGAGTTCATGCTTTCTGTATCTATAAAGCCAGGACGCTCAAAGAGCTACACCCACAGTGACAGGATGGACTAGGAAATATTCTCTCTAGCATAGAAAGATAAAGAAGCTTAACTGTCTAGACCTAGGCCTAAGTGGAAAAACTAAATATCTCCCATGAGGATTCAGAACTACAAGATTGCTTTTACTCTGTTTGGGGTTCATCCTAGAACCCACAAGTTGAGTGGTCTCAACGGAGAATATCCCCGGGGACATCTGGCAGATAGAAACAAGCATACTAGAAGGATATACCCCTACACCGGCCCCAACAAGATTCCCACACATAAAGCCCCACTAAAGATGAGGTCACAACACAAAATTATAAAACACAGGAAGGAAAAGTTAGCCTCTGATGCACACAAAAAATTGTGCTCAAGGTTTCTCCTCCAGCAGCCAGAGATAAATAGGCTGATGACTTAAAAAGAGATTCATCTCATCACCACCTGGATATGCAAACCCTGCAAACTGTTTACTCCCCTCATAAATATGGTTTCTGAAGGAGGACCCTTTATAATCTCTATGTGAAGAGTCAGGCAAAGACAGAGAAGAGGGGCAACTCTCCTGTTTCTCACTGTGGATGGAAAGGTAGCCATGAGCCCCAAGTCCCCAAATCCTTCAATGTTGGGTCACTGCCAGCTTGGAAGTCCAACTCTCTGGACTCAGTGCAGCATTTAAGAATGTGCTGCCCCTCCAAGAGCATTCCAACTGAAACATGAAAGAATGAATTTATACTTATGGAAGTTTAAGCAGACAAAAGGCATTTTGGACAGGACTTCTAGTCATGGAAATAAGGCCACATAGCAGCTGACTTAATAAATAAGGAAAAGACAAATTTGGGGAAACACAGGTTCCTGGGCCAACTGAGTGACAGATCCTATGAGTGTGATCCTAATAATTCACATTCCCTATTGAGGAGCCTTCAGTGAATACCCACTCCATTTCAAAATAAACCCTGCTTCCTAGCCTGTTTTTAAAGATCTTGATGATTTTGCTTCAATCTACCATGTCTTTTAAGGCTCTAGGCAAACTGGATGTTTGCTGTTTTCCAAACTCAGGTTGTACTCCTCCACTCTCTGTTGGGAATACCTTTCTCTTTGCCTCTCCCTTCCTACTCCCACATCCACATAGTCAAGAGCTACTATTCTTCAAAGTTAACTCAAATGCCTCTTCCTCCAGGAAGTCTTCCTGATCCCCACTCCAGAAGTGACCTTATTTCCAGAAGCTTTCATGTTCCATCTTCTATTATAGCTGCAACATGGGGCTTATGAAAGTTGAGGCCTTAGAAAAATATATGTTGAATAATTTCAAGATGTCTATGAACAAATTCTGAGAAAATACTAAAGTATCACAAGGCAGAACCTGTACAACAAGAGTGTAAACACCAACCTATCCTTATGTCCTTCTGCACATAACTTTCTGCAAGCCACAGATAAGTGAAGTGTTGAGAAAGGCAATGTTTTCAACATTTCAGTCATTTGAGTACCAGCTTCACATAGTTCCTCTATCTGCATGTGATCCTATTACTTATTTAGCATTTTTCTTTACATTGATTCACTTTTAAGAATCTAGATAGATGTATTTTAAAAGGAAACTTCTTTATCCTTACCATAAGTGGGAAATTAATATCACTTAGAATAAAAAGAAAGTCACCACAGAAAATAAATATAGGTATAAGAACAACAATATGATTAAATTCTAGTTGTTCATAGTTGCTTGCCCAAAGCTCCGTGCTAGAGGCTGCTGTCTCTTTATTAAAGAGACTAACAAGTGCTATATGGTTGTAAGAGGCTCAATACCAGCAAGCCAAGAGGTCCTGCTTCATGTAAACAATGGTATTAAAGGAATATACGAAAGGAAATCTCTTTTATTTTACTTTAAGTTCTGGGATACATGTGCAGAATGTGGAGGTTTGTTTCATAGGTATACGTGTGCCATGGTGGTTTGCTGCATCTATCAACCCATCATCTAGGTTTTAAGCCCCGCACATACTAGGTATTTGTCCTAATGCTCTCCATCTCCTTGCCCTCCACCCCGTGACAGGCTCCGGTGTGTGATGTTCCCCTCCCAGTGTCCATGTGTTCTCATTGTATCCGGAATCCACAAGGAACGTAAACAAATTTACACGAAAAAACAAACAACCCCATCAAAAAGTGGGCAAAGGATATGAACAGAAACATCTCAAAAGAAGACACTTATGCGGCCAAAAAACATATGAAAAAAAGTTTATCATCGCTGGTCATTAAAGAAATGCAAATCAAAACCACAATGAGATACCATCTCACACCAGTTAGAATGGTGATTATTAAGAAGTCAGGAAAAAACAGATGCTGGTGAGGCTGTGGAGAAGTAGGAATACTTTTACACTGTTGGTGGGAGTATAAATTATAAATGAGTTCAACCATTGTGGAAGGCAGTGTGGCAATTCCTCAAGGATCTAGAATGAGAAATACCATTTGACCCAGCAATTCCATTACTGGGTATATACCCAAAGGATTATAAATCATTCTACTATAAAGACACATGCACACATATGTTTATTGCAGCACTATTTACAATAGCAAATGCTTGGAACCAACCCAAATGCCCATCAATTATAGACTGGATAAAGAAAATATGGCACATGTATACCATGGAATACTCCACATCCATAAAAAAGAATGAGTTTATGTCCTTTGCAGGGACATGGATGAAACTGGAAGCCATCATTCTCAGCAAACTAACACAGGAACAGAAAACCAAACACCACATGTTCTCACTCGTAAGTGAGAGTAGAACAAAAAGGAAATCTCTTAGTCACAACTGATTCAGAGTTACTTTGTGCATTGCCCTTGGGAGGCCCTAAAACTTTCTTGCATCCTTCCAGTAGAGTATGTTCAACACTTCTGTTGGGGGCTGGGCATGTATATGGGAGAGGACACTGGCTACAGAATCAGTGAGATGCAAACTTGAACCCTGACTCTGTCATTGAACGGAGGAGTGATCTTGGGAAACTATGATGTCTCTTAGCCTCGGTGTTTCATCAGCAAGATAAAGATAATACAACCTGCTTTTAGAGGGTTGCCAGGAACTTGGACATAAAGTTTTTCAGTGGAGAATCTGCAGCATGGTAGAGTGTTAATAAGCTTGTTATTGGTTTTCCCTGGTATTTGGGCTCAGTGAAAACAACTTGTCATCCAAAAGATCTAAGGCTAGAAATCAATCTCTTGACTATTTCATAAGAAAATCTCCATTGCTTTAGAATATGGATACACAGTACCAAATATTAGACCTTAAAGTGCATCATAACTTGTTATCAAGTACTTCTTTGAGTAAAACAAAATTACTCCATGATTTCCATTCCTTGTGGAGTTTTGCTGATCTTACAACACTTCATTCTTTTCTTTTGCCAGTAATAGTACAGAAGGCCTCAGACTAGCATAATGTAATAGAGGAAAATCATATTTTTAAGGGCACTAAAAAAGAAGATGGAGGAGTGAAAGGAATTTGGTGCTTCTTATCATTGTAATTAGTTGTACCAAAAAAAAAAAAAACTAGAAAAAGAATTTTAAGGAAAAGGAAAATAACCATGACGCAATAACTAAGAAAAGTACGATTATACAAGAGGTACACAAAAATATAATTTACATTGGATAATACTGCCATCCTCTGTGATATTGAGATGATCCACTTAAACATAAGTCTATTTAACTTTTATAGTCAGCATCAGTCAATTCCCTTTGAAAAGAAAAATCAAATTCTTATAGACCTACAGAAATCTCAAGGGCCTAAGGACCTAGTTTAAGAAATGCTGTTTGGGGAGCATGAGAAGCTATTAAATTAAAATAGGTTCGTTGCTAGTGGTGAAATGGATGGTCAAGGGCCTTTTCTTAATGTGTCGCTTAAAGGACAGGATTCTACATGCTGCAGATGGAAAAATCACAGTACTGGAAAATCCAGACCCCAGAGCCTGACCTTGGCCAGTATCTCACTGCTCATGTGACCTTGGGCAAATCCTTTAACATATCTCAGCTTGCATTTCTTCACCTGTAAGAAAAGACTGGACTTTTTTAGTAGGTAAGTCCCTAAGGTCCCTTTTAACTACAAAATTATGTGAAACTTACTTTAATTGTGTTTTTGTTGAGGAGCTCATGACATGTTAAGATTTTCAGAGCTATCCATGCTTGTTATAAAACCAGAGGTGTGAAGCACTGATGAATGTAAGCGCTCCTGGCCCTAGAGTGAGCACAGCTTAAGAATCGCTGGCTCTTAGGGAACCCAAGCAGAAGATGAGGGCCTGATGGAGGATGAGCCAGATTCTCTCGTTACACTTGACTGGATTCTTTTCTTTCAGTTAAACTCCTGATGTTTCATTTAAACATCTCTGCCTGGTCCTACCTACTGGAATGAAGAGAGAATAGTGTTCACACACAGTCTAGGCCTCAGAGAGGTGCAGACCTAAGATGTCGGTGTGGTGGTGGCCACGTGATTAGCTGCATGGCACCAAGGACAGGTGAATCTAAAGGTCAGGATGGACTTCCCAAACAGACCATATTCTCATGGCTTTGGCAGCCAGCTCTATACAGCAAGATTTGCCATTTTATTTTATTTTATTGAGACGGAGTCTTGCTCTGTCACCCAGGCTGCAGTGCAGTGGCATGATCATGGCTCACTGCAACCTCTGTCTGCTGGGTTCAAGCCATTCTCCTGCCTTAGCCTCCCAAGTAGCTGGGATTACAGGCGTGTGCCACCACGCCTGGCTAATTTTTGTATTTTTAGTAAAGATGGGGGTTTCTCTATTTTGGCCAGGCTGGTCTCAAACTCCTGACCTCAAATGGTCTGCTCACCTCTGCCTCCCAAAGTTCTGGGATCACAGGCATGAGCCATGGTGCCTAGCCAGTGGCATCATTTTTAATCTCCCCAATTCCCAATATAAAATAGAGCAACTAGATGGAAAGAGCAAAAGTCTACAGACACATTTATAATTAAACTGTGTTTCAAATATTCCTATGAACCCCAAAATACAAGCAGGAGCAGGTGAGGACAAACCAACAACAAGCACTAGACCTACACGGTGTCAGTGCCTGTGCAGGAAGAAGCAGAGAGAAGCAACAGGGTATTAGATGAGCCTGGAAACAGAAGAATCTTAAAATGGCCAAGTATTTGCTAGACCAGTAGGAGCATAGCAGAGCAGCTAAGACGAAGGGGTTTTGCTCAATCCCAAAGTGGGTGAGTGTGAGAGGTCCACAGTAAGAAATGAAGGGGCTGGAAGAGTCTAACTCCACTCAACTTCCAACACTAGCATGTCAGGACTCCCTTCTAGGAGAGGACACCACACCGAGAAAACACCAGTAGAAACAGAATCAAAATTAAATAGGGGAGAGTTCACTGAGACAAAGGATAACATCCAAGTAAGCATGGAGGAGGCAGAGTCAGGAAATGTCAGAAAGTAAGTGACATGATTTGGCTCTGTGTCCCCACCCAAATCTCATGCTGGATGGTAATCCCCACATGTCAGAGGAGAGAGCTTGTGGGAAGTGAATGGATCATGGGAGCAGATTTCCTCCATGCTGTTCTGGTGATAGTGAGAGAGTTCTCATGAGATCTGATGGTTTAAAAGTGGTGGTTTCCCCTGTGCTCTCTCTCTCTCTCCCGTCACTTTGTGAAGAAGGTGGCTGCTTCTCCTTCCAACATGATTACAAGTTTCCTGAGGCCTCCCCAGCCATGCAAAACTGTGAGTCAATTAGACCTCTTTTCTTTATAAATTGCCTAGTCTCAGGTAGTTCTTTATAGCAGTGTGAAAACAGACTAATATAGTAAGCCATCATAGTTCTCAATACTACACAAAAACATCAGAAGGGTAAATCTCTAAAGCATGGGTGTCCAATCTTTTGGCTTCTCTGGGCCACATTGAAAAAAGAATTGTCTTGGGCCACACATAAAATACACTAACTAAAAATAGCTGATGAGAAAAAAAAAAAGAAAACCAAACAAAACCCATACACACACACACACACACACACACACACACACACACCCCACCTCATAATGTTTTAAGAAAGTTTACAAATATGTGTTGGGCTACATTCAAAGCTGTCCTGGGCTACATGGAGCCCACAGGCTGCGGGTTAAACAACTTTGTTCTAAAGCTATAAAAGATACCCTGAATTATACTCCCTTTTAAAAGTTCAGGAAAGCTAATTTTATGTAAAGATGAGCAGCAGTATTATTGCAAAAAGTATCACAAGCAAAAACGCATCAAAGTAAATTCCATATGAAGTTACTATAAGGAAAAAAAAAGATGCAGTACGGCATTCTTACACACAATGAAAGCTTGCCAGAAAAAATATGCTCACAAAATGGATAAACTTCTATTTTACAATGAGCTAAAATACAGTAAGAAAATATGCAAGATGCAAAGGATAGAAATCAGAATGAGAGAAGCTCAGAAACGAGGCAGCAAAAATAAGTAGAGTAAAAACTTTAAAAAAATAATTTTCAGAACTGAAAATGAAACGAGAAGGAACACAAGTGTAATAAATATGACAGATTACAGCTTAAGGTAAATGGATCAAAAGAAAAAGAAATGAAGAGAGAGCTTCATTTCTTTCTTTCAAAAGCATTTGAAATAAAGTGACAAATATTTAAGCTGGGCAAAGAATATCCAACACATGGATAACAGAAATGTAAAAATGAAAATCAAAGCATGGGAAGAAAACAAATGCTAAACATTATAACTCAAGAAAACTTTTCTGATGAAAAAAATATTTGAAACTATACATTGAAAGAGTATACTGCACACTTGACAATGGTGACCCAAAGCTACCAATATCAAGACACACTCAAGTAAAATGATTGAACTCAGAAGGGAAAAGAAAAAAAAAACAAGGAAGGATGAAGGAAAGAAGAAAGGAAGGAGAAAATCCTTTAGCTATCTAGAAAAGAAAAGAGAAAGAGACTATAAGAGAAAGAAAATTGGACATCAGATATCTCAATGACAGCACTTTATGTTGATGAGCCTGGAGTATCTTGTCGAAGCAGATATTAAAAAAACTTTTAAAAACTGGGGTCACGTGAAAAGGACTCAAGAGCCAACTTTGAAGAGGCCAACTATGGGACAATTTAAGCTTCAAAAGGATAAAAGATGCAACTGAATGAATTCCATCAACTGTGTTTAATTCATGAGTTCATAATGACATTTTGTAAATCAATGTTTTATTTTAGCATTGTTGTTTTACTTTACAGAAAAATTGTGTAGATAGTCCAGAGAGTTTCCATATTCTCCACATCCAGTTTCCCCTATTATTAACAACTTAGATTAGTATAATACATTTGTTATAATCCCATTTGTTACCATTAATGAATCAATACTGACACATTATTTTTAACTAAAGGCCACTACATGGAATATCTCTCCATTTATTTAGATCTCTGATTTATTAGTGTGTTATGGTTTTTCACGTACAAATCCTTTCTCTGTCTCTCCCTGTCTCCCTTCCTTCTTCCCTCCTTTCTTTCCTTCCTTTCCTTCCTTCCTTCCTTCCTTCCTCCCTTCCTTCCTTCCTTCCTTCCCTCCTTTCTTATTTTTGGTACTCAATTTGTTTCTTTCTCTTTTTTGATGACAATTTATTTTATTTTATTTTATTTTATTTGAGACGGAGTCTCGCTCTGTCTCCCAGGCTGGAGTGCAGTGGTGCAATCTCCGCTCACTGCAAGATCCGCCTCCCGGGTTCACGCCATTCTCCTGCCTCAGCCTCCCGAGTAGCTGGGACTACAGGCGCCTGCCACCATGCCTGGCTAATTTTTTGTATTTTTAGTGGAGACAGGATTTCACCATGTTAGCCAGGATGGTCTCGATCTCCTGACCTCGTGATCTGCCCCCTAGGCCTCCCAAAGTGCTGAGATTACAGGCGTGAGCCACCGCGCCCGGCCTGATGACAATTTATACTGATACTTTAAAACAGCACTAATTGGTCACCTTTGGCATGATAGGGGTCCAACTTGTCATCTTGAAAATTAATAAATATAGAGGAAGAATTAAGCCTTTATCCCACATCAAGCCTTTATCCTACCTTTCATATATAAACTGTTCCACTGGGCAATCAAGTATAGATGAGGGGAAGCATTTTTTAATATTTGTACTTCGGTTAAATTAAAAAAGATAGAATTAAAATAGTACCATTTTGTGAACCCAAATAAATGGAAGGATCTCACCAATGAGTGTCTGTGACTGCTACTATCACAAAACGGAGAGATGCACATTCACGTGCTTCCTGATGAAAGAACACACTACAGGCTACATGCTTCCTAAACAGATCAGACCTGTGTCCAGTGAAATCCAGAGTATGCGCTAATGGCAGGTAGAGGAACATGCTAAACTGCGCTCTATTTGCAGTCAGCCAAATCTACAGGGAACACTAAGGTCAAATGTCTTAGGTTCTTCAACAGAAATAGTTAAGAAAAAGAGAAAAGGATGGAAAAAGAACCTGTAAATTAAAAGAGACTTTAAACATGTAACATTTCTATTTAAATGGGCAAGACTAAAGTTCAGTGTCGGCCGGGCCTCACGGCTCATGGCTGTAATCCCAGCACTTTGAGAAGCCGAGGCGGGCAGATCTCCTGAGGTCAGGAGTTCAAGACCAGCTTGACCAATGTGGTGAAACCCCATTTCTACTAAAAATACAAAAATTAGCCAGGCATGATGATGCACGCCTGTAGTCTCAGCTACTCAGGAGGCTGAGGCAGGAGAATTGCTTGAATCCAGCAGGGGGAGGCTGCAGTGAGCAGAGATCATACTACTTCACTCCAGCCTGGGTAACAGAGTGAAACTCCATTTCAAAAAAAAAAAAAGTACAGTGTGTACAGATGCCCACTTGACTAATACAACTATTTTTATTTCTTTATTTTATTATTTTTTTGAGACAGAGTCTCCCTCTGTCTCACAGGCTGGAGTGCAGTGACATGATCTCTGCTCACTGCAACCTCCACTTCCCGGGTTCCAGCAATTCTTCTGCTTCAGCCTCCTGAGTAGCTGGGATTCCAGGTGCGAGCCACCACACCCAGCTAATTTTTTGTATTTTCAGTAGAGACGGGGTTTCACCATGTTGGCCAGGCTGGTCCCAAACTCCTGACCTCAAGTGATCTGCCCACCTCAGCCTTCCAAATTGCTGGGATTA
This sequence comes from Homo sapiens, assembly GCF_000001405.40. Taxonomy (NCBI): domain Eukaryota; kingdom Metazoa; phylum Chordata; class Mammalia; order Primates; family Hominidae; genus Homo; species Homo sapiens. Next base: position 54,789,756 of record NC_000016.10, read on the forward strand.
CAGGTGTGAGCCACCACGCCCAGCCATACAACTATTTTTAAAATGCAAGAAAGTGAAACTTGTTAAATCAGGATTGTTGGGAGGAAGAACACTATGATCAGAAGGGGGCACATAGAGGATTATCCGGGGAGACTGGCAAAGGGATATTTCTTGATCTGAATAGCAATTGCAAGGATGCTTGTCTTTTATTAGTAGTAGTAGTAGTAGTATTTATTATACTTTAAATTCTAGGGTACATGTGCACAACGTGCAGGTTTGTTACATAGGTATACATGATCCATATTGGTTTGCTGCACCCATCAACTCGTCATTTACATTAGCTATTTCTCCTAATGCTATCCCTCCCCCAGCCCCCCACTCCCTGACAGGCCCCAGTGTGTGATGTTCCCCTCCCTGTGTCCATGTGTTCTCATTTTCACCTCCCACCTATGAATGAGAACATGCGGTATTTGGTTTTCTGTCCTTGTGATAGTTTACTCAGAATGATGGTTTCCAGCTTGTCTTACATTAACTCTTTAAATTATATATTTTTGGTTTTTCTGTGTCTTATTTTACTTTGAAACAGTTAATCAAAAATAGAGAGAGAAGAATGTAAATGGAGTATTCTAGTCTTCTAGAAATCTAGAGTCAGTGATAAGCAAGTTACATACACTTACGAGTCTTGAGTACTAAGTTAAACATTTTCACTTCACATAGGAGCCAACAATATTGGATTAGGCTTATATAACACTCTACAAGATACACATATGCCATCACTATTCTGAAATCCTGAATGGATTCTTTGTTACACTTCATTGTAATGATTATTCAAAGAAATTAGCAAATGGAGGGGAAAAAACTGAAAGAAATTAATGCAGAAAAAGACTTCATATTCAGCAGCCTTTCCTCCTGTTTGTGCAAAGATCACTCTAAGAGATTTTTCAAAAATCCGACAAAGTCGAAAACGTCTCAAGTGCAGATGATCAAAGCCCTTCCTATGGGATACTACTTCATAATTGAATCATGCAAACTGCTGGGAAGTTTATACCCAGCCTACATTTTCTGTGATGTTAACCTATTATTCCTGGCCCCCTTGTGTAGTTATATTATTCTCAAAGATATCTGTAAATAGTCCCTTACCTTCTATTTTACCAGTCAAACAAACATGTACAGGAGAAGTTGAATGCATAAATAGTCTCTGCTCATATATTTGCAGTTCAAAAGATTGGTCCACAAAGGGAAAAAACTAGAGTAGAAATTTTCCCTTTAGAAGTCTTTAGACATTCACAGAAGCAGAGACAAAAACATTCATTACAGAGGAAAGAAACAGCAGCTTTATGTGTGCTATGGGCAAGGACTACCCTGCTATTTTTTTTTAAGACTAGTTATGGTTTTGCCAAATCTTACAAATGCATAATCATTTGGATCTTTTCAGAGGTGGCCAAAGCCAGATTCTAGGTCTGGGTGGATGATCATCGTCTCTTGAAATAGGTTCATCTATTGGGTTTGAATTTAACACAGACCTTCGCCAATGCCTTCCGTTTTATTGATGAGGAAACTGAGGCCCAGAGAAATAAATGTGCTCTCCCAAGATCAAACAGCAAGGTACTCAAAACCAGGATTTGAGAACAGAGTTCTAAATTTGACCTTCCCTAGAGTTTCTGAGCAAAGACGAGTTAAAAGATATTTGCCAGATTATCCTGGTATAGGGGTGGAGATAAGGACAAGGAAGTAGTGAAGAATTCCAACAGTAAGGGCTGGACATGGGACATGTCATCCCCTGGGTATCAGGGAATGCAAACTGGGAGCTCCTTGGACTTTCAGAAATGAGAAGGCCTAGGAAACACATTTTCAAACAGGATCCAAGGTTCTATCTTTGAGACATGAGGTCCCTTCGAAGTCCAGTACAGTGGCACTGCAGGAAAACATGCTCAGTGTAACCTCAGGAAGAAGCAGGTACTAGACTGAAGGCAAAGGAAGGGAAACATCTTCTCCTGTGTGAAGGTACGGTGCTGATAAAGGGAGGACACCATTCACAGGCAATTGCCATCCCAGGACCAACCTGAATCCCATGAGATCCCGGGTGGATGTAGTCAAAGCTTGAGGTCAGCCTGCTGCCAGCTGGAATTATCTGAATGACTGGAAGACAGTAGTTCACCAATCTCTTCCAGTTGCTGAAGAAGTTTTTAGAATTATGCACTGCACAATCATGACAGATCTCTGAGAGCACAAACTAAAAAAATAATTTCATCTTGGCCGGGCGCAGTGGCTCACACCTGTAATCCCAGCACTTTGGGAGGCCAAGGTGGGCAGATCACAGGGTCAGGAGTTCGAGACCAGCTTGGCCAATATGGTGAAACCCCGTCTCTACTAAAAATACAAAAATTAGCCTGGCATGGTGGCAGGCGCCTGTAGTCCCAGCTACTCGGGAGGCTGAGGCAGGAGAGTAGCTTGAGCCCAGGAGGCGGAGGTTGCAGTGAGCTGAGATCACACCACTGCACTCCAGCCTGGGCGATAGAGTGAGACTCTGTCTCAAATAATAACAATAATAATAATAATAATAATTTCACCTCTGTCAATAGAGCATAATCTTCCTTCCACTCCAGGGTGTCCAGAAAGTAAAATGTTATCAGTGGGAAAATTGCACATATTAAAATCTTTCCAACTTTAATGTTGTTCCAAAAAAAATGACATCATTTATTTCCCTGTATTTTGGAAGCTGCCAAAATCCCTCTGGGTCAGAACCAAACAGCTGCAATTAGCCAGCTAAGTTGGACAAATGAGAGGGGGTCTATTTGCCCAAATTATTCAAATAATTGGAACTTTTTAGACCTGGCCCTCAAAACAACATCAATATGAAGTCTAAATCTTGGTGGCTATTCTACTAAAGGAAACAATATATTACACTATGTATAATAATTTGGGAAGATGGTCTTTTTTTCTTATTTTTTGACATGAGATCGATTAGAAACCCACAGCAGGAGAATTCCACATGGGTAAGGGAGGAAGAGATCCAATTAAGTAGGAAATGCTAACAAGCTGCTTGAGTGAGCTCTGAGGCATGCCGGGATAGTACATGTCCACAAAGAAAATATTAATTTTAAGCTCAAAGAAAAAATAAAAACTGGGAATTTAAGGGAGGGCGGGAGAATAAGAAAAAAGTGTCAGGATATTTATATAAACTGTCATTCCTGTGTTTTCATGAAGGCTCATGCCCTCTAAGCAGTCAATCAACACTCTCTCTGATCACAGCCTTTGCTCTGATTGAGTGGGGAGATGTCAGCCAAGGAGAAAAACATGTGGAAAATCTGTTAACCATGTGTGTCATTCCTGATGCCAACATGTAAGGAAATACAGGAGAGGCCTAGAAATTTGTGCATTTCCGTGCTAGCCCCAAGAATGGTAAAGAGCACTGTTGGCCTTAAAGTATATATATTTATTATGATCATTGTTGTTATGATGATAATGATGAATATACACAGGGTTCAGTGTTAGCCCAACATACTTCAAATAAGACCAGCTGGTGCCTTGGGACTCATGTAACACCAGCAATGCATGTGTAAATAAGAGTTTAGGAATTTAACTTTGCATTTCTTGCAATGAAGAACTGAAAAGAGGATCTTTTGGAAATACTGGGAGTTAGTTTTTATTTGCTGGTCTTCTGAAAACCCCTTTCCCGACAGGATGTAGAATTCCAGATAGTTTCAGCCTAAGAGGTCAATCAGAGCACCTGTAGCAGTTTTATTTAGGGGCTACTTGTTGGCCAGCTATCTGGGACAGCAGAGAGAACTGTGGCCAGGAGCTCACCAGTGAGCTCCGGTTGGACCTGTATTTGCACTTAGCCTGGGTGATCTTGGATAAGTCACTGAACCTGCTGAAACTTGGTTTCCTGCAGAGTGAAAAGTTTTGCTAGAACTGCACTTCCTGTACCATAATACACATACAAATCACCTGGGGATCTTGTCAAATGCAGATTCTGGGTCACTAGATCTGGGAAGGGGCCTGTTATTCTGCATTTCTCATGAGCTCCCAGACAGTGCCAAAGCTACTGGTGCACGGATCACTCTTCCAGCCGTGAGGGCTTAGATGATATTTACAGCAGACATCTGTGGCTCTGAGCGGCCCAGCCACCAATGCCGCATTGTCTAATAAGGCACCTGATTTTCTTCTGGAGAACCACATTCCTTCTCTCTCAGTTAAGGCATTCAGTGGGGACTGCTGCTGATCCTAACGCCCAGTTCCACGGCTGGGCCCATGTGTTAGGCCTTGCCAGTCAAGGCACTTTTATCTCTGTGTCTGGTTCCTCTGTGGGCACATGACCCATCACGGGTTAACACAGCACAGGGCTTTCCCTGCTGCAACCACTGTGAAAGTGATGTTCTCTTAGCTGGAGTTCCTAAACTACAGCAAGGATATTAGACAGGGACTTTGAGAAGCCATTTTGTGACATCATGGAAAAGCCAGCCTGAAAACAAAGTTAATACAGAAGAAAGCAAACCTGAGAGATGCGGTTGTTACCAGATCAGGGTCCAGATCCAGACCCCAAGAGAGGGTTCTTGGGTCTTGGGCAAGAAAAAATTCGGGTGAGTCCATACAGTAAAGTGAAAGCAAGTTTATTAGGAAAGTAAAGGAATAAAGAATGGCTACTCCATAGACAGAGCAGACCCAAGGGCTGCTGGTTGCCCATTTTTATGGTTATTTCTTGATTATATGCTAAACAAGGGCTGGATTATTCATGCCTCTCCTTTTTAGACCATATAGGGGAACTTCCTGATGTTGCCATGGCATTTGTAAACTGTCATGGCACTGTGAGAGTGTAGCAGTGAGGACAATCAGAGGTCACTCTCATTGTCATTTTGGTTTTGGTTGGTTTTTGCTGGCTTCTTTACTGCAACCTGTTTTATCAGCAAAGTCTTTATGACTTCTATCTTGTGCCAACCTTCTATCTCAGCCTGCGACTTAGAATCTCTAACCATCTGGGAATGTAGCCCAGTAGGTCTCAGCCTTACTTTACCTAGCCTCTATTCAAGATGGAGTTGCTCTGGTTCAAATGTCTCTAACACAGTGACATCATTTGAACTCCTAGATACAGCCATGCCTGAAGACCGATATCCTGGCTTCTTCTAATTAAAGGCAGGGCACGAAGGTCATACATTTCTTCTGTATTTTCAATATTTTATCTGTCACTTTCTAAATCTAGACCAGAGGTCAGCCACTTTTTTGTAAAGAGCTAGATAGTAAATATTTTAGGCTTGCAGAACATACAGCCTCAGTAGGAACGGCTCAGTTTTGCTATTGTAGCACTAAAGCAGCCATAGGCAATATGTAAATAAATGTCCCAATTAACTTTATTATAATAGACACCCAGTCGGCAGGCCAGAGTTTGCCAACCTCTGGTCTAGACAATCAATAAAGCTCTGGTTTGTAGTATTTGCCAGTTTCCACAGTATAAAAATCCCACCATGGCTGCGTTCATGCTACCAACACAATGTCACTGAGTGCAAAGCTGGGAAGAGATAAGCACTAGCTCACCATTATATAGCACTTCCACCATACAGATACAATAGCTACAACCTCAAAAACATAGAGAATAGGAAAATGTAGTAAAGCAATCAGGAAGTGATATGTTTTAAGTATTTACCACCTTTGTCTTGATATAATTTTTCTAACTGTAAATTTCCTTTTCTTTTTTTTTTGTTGAGGCAGGGTTTCACTCTGTCACCCAGGCTAGAGTGCAGTGGTGCCATCTTGACTCACTGCAACCTCTGCCTCCCGGGTTCAAGCGATTCTCGTGCCTCAGCCTCCCTAGTAGCTGGGATTACAGGTGCATGCCACCAAGCCCGTCTCTTTTTTTTGTATTTTTAGTAGAGACAGGGTTTCACCATGTTGGCCAGGCTGGTCTTGAACTCCTGACCTCAATGATCACCCCACCTCAGCCTCCCAAAGTGCTGGGATTATAGGTGTGAGCCATTGTGCCTGGCCTTACAAAGTTCACGTTCTAATAATAGCTTTGTCTAACCCAGTTAACAAAATTTCTGAAAATTTAGCACTCGGCTCTTGGGACACAGTACAAGCTGGCTCTAGTGTACCACTGCCCCCTCTGTAACCATTTTTAAATACAGTCAGGCACCACATAAGGATGTCTGGGTCACTGATAGACCGTATATACAATTGTAGTCAGTGCAATAGGGTGTACCATATAGCCTAGGTGTGTAGTAGGCTATACCATCTAGGCTTGTGTAAATGTACTCTACAATATTTGCACAATGACAAAATCACCTAACTATGCGTTTCTCAGAACATATCCCAGTCTCTAAGCAATGCATGACTGTAGTTCAAAAGTGAAAACAGAGGAGCCAGGGTCCAAAGATATCACAATAGTAGATCAAAGTTTGGAAGGGGATTAACAGCATCTTCAGGAATTGCAGTTTAAAATTCCAATGTATTAGACAAGTCCTTTTTGAAATGGTAATGCCTCGTACCTGAGTAGAAAAGACAATTAAGATAATGTGTTAATTTTCCCCTTGAATCTGGCAGTAATATTTTGATCCTGTTAATTATCCAGAGAACAGAAAATATATATAATGTGATAGCTCTGTGCAGAGTTGACATGCTTGCTGCCTGGCTAAGTAGCCACGCTTATCCTATAATTAGCTGCTTGGAATGCAATTTCCATTCCTTCCTAAATACACCCACTAAAAAATAAACCAATGTAGCGTTTCACAGCTATTCCAATCTGGTTTTCCCCCGGGAAAGCAAGCCAATGATTATTTACTAAAACTTATCCTCCTTTCAAAACTATCAGAAAATAGCCATCCGTTTGCTAATGATTTCTGGCAGGTGAGGGTTAATCAATGCCTTAAGAACACAGAAAGCACATGTCATTATAGCCCCAGCATGCTCTCTTTCTGCAAAGGATAAACTTATCGATGTCACTAACTGGGCATTTTAATGAGAGTTCATTACAAAAGGGCAACCTTCTCAGTGGGCAACTAAATCCATAAGGGGGAAAAATGTGGACCCAGATTTATTCTTATAAGTGGGGAAACAGGGCTTTCTATATAATATGAGGTTCAGGACTTTATTTCCTTCTGAATGGAAATCACAGACAGCTTAGTTGTACATTTCACAGTTGATTTGTTTTTACTCTTTGCTCTGTCATCCAGGCTGGAGTGTAGTGGTGCAATCTTGGCTCACTACAGCCACAACCTCCTGGGCTCAAGTGATCCTCCCACTTCAGCCTCCCAAGTAGCTAGGACTATAGGTATGTGTCACCACACCTGGCTAATTTAAAAAAAATTTTTTTTGTAGAGACGGATCTCTCTATGCTCCCCAGTCTGGTCTCAAACTCCTGGCCTCCAGCAATCCTCCCACCTCAGCCTCCCAAAGTGCTGGGATACAAGTGCTAGCCACTGCACCTGGCCTATTCACTCTTTGGAAAAAACAAACTCCCTGTATTAGCCAGAGTTTTCCAGAGAAACAGAATTGGTAGGATATACTTACGTATATAGAAAGAGATTTATTGTGGGAATTGGCTCACATGATTATACAGGCTAAGAAATCCCATAATCTACCCTCTGCAAGGTGGAGTCTCCAGAAAGCTAGTGCTGTAATTTTAGTCTAAACCCAAAGGTCTGGGAACCAGGGTAGCCAGGGTTGTAAGTCCAAATCTGAGTCTGAAGCCTGGAGAACCAGAGTGCCAATGTTCAAGAGCAGAAGAAGAATGGATGTCTCAGCTCAAGGAAAGAGGGCAAATCCAACCTTGTTGTGTTTCACCTTGGAATTCTAATCAAACCTTCAATGGATTAGGTGATGCCCACACACATTGATGAGGGTGATTTCTTTATTCAGTCTACTGAGTAGAATGCAAATCTCTTCCAAAACACCCTCCCAGACTGACACACCCAGAAATAATGTTTTACCAGCTATCTGGGGATCCCATAGCCCAGTCAAGTTGTTACATAAAATTAACCATGGCACTGCCCCTCCTCTCAAGGAAAGCTTATAATAGAGACAAGAACTTTTATTAAAATGGTGGCATTTAGTTTGTTACATAATCATAATCTATGTCTACCCATGGTATTTTATACATTTTATAAAATCACAAAGCATTGCTATATTGTTATATTCCTATCACATGTCTAGGTGTCTGATCTCCTTTTTTACTTTAAGCAAGTACATCAGGATGGAAGTAAGACTAGGCCTGGGGACAGAACATCTAGGTTCAGATTTGAATTCATTTTTTTTCTAATTGTGGGAGCTTGAAGAAGGCATGTAAATTATTTACCCTTCAGGTGTCCACATCTGTGAATATGGTCATTAAAGCATCAAGGAATCCATTTCTAAACTATGCTGCAAGGAAAAAAGATTTTTTTTTTTGCATTTGGATCCCTGCACAGAAGGCTTCATTTATAAAAGATGCTTCCAGATCTGTAGAATGAATGCATGCAAACATACATGCATGCATCCCTTCATTTGGTAATCTTCAGACTGCAGAAGGGGCTATGTTAGTGTAGAGTTTGGGATCAATCACTCTGGGGAAACTGACTGCATGGTTTTGAATTACACTTCTACCACTTACTCAATAGCTGTGTGATTTTAGGTGACATTACTTAATCTCTCAGTGCCTCATCTATAAAAGAGAGGGTGTCTTAGTCCATTTTATGTTGCTAAAACAGAGTATCTGAGACTGGGTAATTTAGAAAAGAGGTTTATTTGGCTCATGATTCTGGTGGCTGGAAAGTCCAAGATCAAGCAGCACATCTGGCAAGGGTCTCCTGTCGCTTTGACTCATGGTAGAAAGCAAGAAGAGAAGTGCATGCAAAGAGAAAGCAGGAGAGACTGGGCTCACTTATAACAATCCTATCTCTCTCAGAACAAATCTATTCCTGCAAAAGGGCATTAATGTATTCATGAGGGATCCACCTCCATGACAAAACACATCACACTAGGCCCCACCTCCTAACACCACCTCACTGGAGATCAAATTTCAACATAAGCTTCAGAAGGGGGAAATCATATTCAAACCATAGCAGACAGTGATAATAGTTCTTCACTGGATTAAGATAAAGTGGGTTAATAGAAATAAATTTATTAGAACAGTACCTAACACAGAGTTGGCACTTCATAAGTATTAGCTATTATTACTTTCATCATGATAGGGAATTTACCAAACAATATACTATATTCTATGTTCCACATTCAGCATTTGATGTTTCATAGGCCTATTTCTCCTGGAAATTAGAGTGAAATAAAATGTAGTTTCTCTTTTAAGTTTTGCTGGGGTATCCAGGCCTTGATTCAGATGCATCACCAAGCTCTTGGTGGTCATTCATTCTTTCTCTCTCCCCTGGCTGTAACCTGCTCATGGGATCTGTTGCAAGGGGCATAGGTGGGCCTGAGGCTTCGTGAGGACCAAGAAATTGGGGCTGTCCTGGCATTGTCTTGCTTAATAATGGCAACAGCTGAGGATCAGATTAAGCAAAGCTGTGTTGTACTGAGGAACTGCATCCTTCCTGCAATTCCTTTTTTTTTTTTATTCACTCATTGAACAAACGTTTTGAGTGCCTACTCTCTGCCAGGTATTATGAAATCTGCTACAAACATAATGGTGAAGAAAATAGACAAAACCCCTTCTTGGATCCTCACAGACCACGGGGAAGCCTGATTTGGTCTGACCTAGGTACCAGGAACACTGTTTAATAGACCAAACTTTTTTTTTTTTTTTACACATTAAGTTTTAGGGTACATGTGCACAATGTGCAGGTTTGTTACATATGTATACATGTGCCATGTTGGTGTGCTGCACCCATTAATTCGTCATTTAGCATTAGGTATATCTCCTAATGCTATCCCTCCCCCCTGCCCCCACCCCACAACAGTCCCCGGAGTGTGATGTTCCCCTTCATGTGTCCATGTGTTCTCATTGTTCAATTCCCACCTATGAGTGAGAACATGTGGTGAGGACCAAACATTTTTTTTAAAAAATCCCTAAGCTGGGGTTTCCCATGTGTCACTGACTAGGTGAGGACAAGAAAGAGAGAAGTCCAGTTTAAAATTCTCTTTCTTGTATCAAAGTCAAAGCTCTGTCTCTCAGGCCAGGTGGGTAATTGCTCACCTTTTCTTCCGGGGAATTGTTAGGGATGTCTTCAGCTCTTTCTCTGGAGCTTCACACCCCTAAGGAAGCAATTCATCATGTACACACTCATGAAAAAATGTTCAAATGTTCATTCATATTTCCATCATTTCAAATATTTCCTCATCCCTTCACTCTAGCATTTCTTCCTTTAATCACTCATTTATTCAAATACTTATGGAATATCTGCAGTGTGCCAGACATCATTCTCGGCACTGGGAATGTGATAGTTAACTAGAAAAAGTGCCTGTCCACATAAAGTTTACATTCTAACAAGCTCCCAGGTATCACCAATGCCGCTGGACTACAGACCTGGCTTGTGGTTTCAAGGGGTAAACAGTAGAATGCCTTCCACACTCTGCACTCTCAAAACTAAAACGCATCTTCACATATGTGTCACATCTCTCTATGTGGTACTTGATGCTATGGTAGATCAGAAAATGCGTGGGCACATGGCACAGTCCTGGTCACCCAAGCACTCACTCTGCCTACTCTTAATTGCCACTCTCGGAAAGAAGATATAGAAGGATGCTTTTTCTCTCCTGGAAAAATTAGCGTTTTCAATATATTTCTTACTGTAAATTTAAAGATCTCATTTTCTGATAATGGAGTTAGATGTTGAGGACAGAGGGGCCTTTGCACATACTTCTAAAATCATACCCTTCCTGCAATTCCTTTTTCGGCCTTTATTCATTCATTGAACAAACATTTATCGAGATCCTACTGTGCCAGGTGTTATAAAATCTGCCACAAATATAATGGTGAAGAAAACAGACGTAACTCCTGCTTGGTGTCCCATAGACCATGGGAAAGCCTGACCTGCCCTCGGGGCTTGGGAAAGCCTTTCTTCTGGAAGCAAGGCTCATGTTGAGATTGAAAGATGAGAAGGATTTTAAGAGTGGAGTCTAAATGGAAGAAAGAGTATGAGCAAAAGCCCTGTGATGGGAGAAAACAGAGTGTATTTGAGAAACTGAAAGGCAAAACAGGGAAGGCAAAGGGGAAATGGGAGATGTGACTGGAAAAGGTAGGAGACCAAATCGTGCAGGCCTTCATGGGCTCCCTTAACAACTGGCAGCTTATTCTAAGAGTAGTTAGAAGCCCCTATAAGATTTAGAGTAGGCCATTGTAATATAAGCAGCTCACTCTGGCTGCAGTGATCTCAAAGGCCTGGTGGGGACCAGAGTAGCTTTGGGGGTGGGGATAGAGGGATCAGCCTGGGGGCTTCTGCAGTGAGCTGGGCAAGGAACAATAAAGCAGAATTCTGAGAGATGCAGAAGAGGTGGAGATAACAACTGGATTGCTGGAAGAGAACTCGAGGAGCAAAATGCTCTGTGCTGTCAGCCCTACATCCCCTGGGACCCTCTGGCAGGGTCAGTTACATACCTTCCCTTCTTCTCTCTTTGCAGGCAGGGACCATGACCTTTCCATCTGGCATTTCTCCCCAGAGCCTAGTCCAGTGTCTGAGTTGTCCCTAAGGAGCTCGCAACCCAGATAATGAGATAAACCCAGAGATGAATCTATTGGAGAAACTGCAAAGCAATAAATGAAACGATTGCCAGGTTAGTATAAATCGAATGCGTAAGTGCTGAAAATCCATGGAGCAAAGACATGATTAAGAGGGGCTGAATAATTAACTGGAAACACGGAGAGGCTCTTACAAGGGGCCATGCAATTCCAAGGAAGCAAACTGGTGTCTCATGAGCCGAATATGGCCCATAGGCCTCTTTTGTCAGGGCTATGCTTATGCTGACCAATATAGTGATGTTTGTTAGATCAGCAGTTTTACATTGCTGATGAGAATGTAAACTGGTGTCATCACCTTGGAGAGTAATTTAATAGTAGCGGATACAATTGACAATGTCTAGCAGTTTTACATCTAATTAGACGCCAATTTTTAAAAAATAAAATAAAATATTCAGAGATTTTGTATTAAAAGTCCAAATTTCCAAATTCTGCTGGAGCTCAGGGAAGCAAAGATGTGCCAACCCTGGGCTGCACTATAGTAAGTAGCTTCCTTTAGCCTGGGAGTGTGTGCTGCTTTCCAATTTAACCACAGTCCCCACTGCTCCCTATTGCCTCCCAGCATGAAAGCTGGTGTTATTTGCTATGTATCATCACACCCATGCTATTGTTCTTATAGCCAAGAGGTACGTGACCTACTTTTCACCCCTTGTCTCTATACTTAGTGGGAAAATGAAAGCCAGACAAGGAGGGCAATGTGTTTCAACTCAAATTAAAAGCAAACAGGTATCTATGGGAAAATGAAGAATATTTTAGTTAGTATTTAATATGTAAACGAAGTGTATCAGTCTTATTTTTATGTTTGTTTGTTTCTGAGCCCTGCATTCGGGTATGGGACTGCTGATCGAATCCCATTCCCTCACTGTATAGATGCACTCGTGGGGCCCAGAGTGGTGAAGCAATTCACCAAGGATCACACAGCATTAGAAGCCAGGTTAGAACTAGAACCAGTAGATGGAGGGTGTGGATGGCAGATGGGAAGAGGATGGAGAAAAGAAAAAGAAAGATGGCTGAGAGATGGAAACAACAGTACAGGCACCTGGGCAGAGGAGGGTATAGTGCCTGGACCAGTGAGGGGAGGGGTCAGTAAAAGCTGGAAAGAAGAGATGGGAGAGAGAAGCAGATGTCTCAAAGGCGTGACTCCAAGGTTCTGTCTGGGAAAGTAAGTCAATGGCAGTAGAGTGTGGCAAACATGACTTTGGCATCAATAAGCAATACAGAGGTCCCCAGAGGGTACCCCTAAGAGACAAGGAGAACGGAGAACACCCCTAAATGATATTTTTGAAAGTAGACCAGGATACGCAGCCTGGGGTGATGAGAAAACCACACATGGCCCAAGTCTAACAGAATACCAGGGGAAAGCCCAGACCCTCTGTCTTTTGCCCCTTTCGGGGGGGGGGGTCACATGGTCCCCCAGGGACTTGGGCTAAGAAGGTCAGAAACTTGCCAGAATGCTTGGTCCTAAATGAAGATTTCTCTCTCTTGTGTCTTGGTTGAGCAGATTTCCAAACAGATACTTAAGAAATCTAAACAACAATATTCCTTTTTAAGCAGCTAAATGGCGAACAGCCTCCAATGTCATGCAAAATGTAACTTCTTTCTCTACCTGATTGATTTTTAGGTCAGAACACTGTAACTCCATAGTAAGCCATTGCCCAGTGGAAATAGATGACTGTTTCTCTCACTCGTAAGTTTCCCGGTTGAATTATTACCTTAAAAACATCAGTTTGGCAGGTGAAAACACACAAGCTAAGGGCAACAAAGAAAGGTACTAAGACCAAGCGTTGATGAGGAGAGTGAAAAATGAGGACCCTTCTTATACATTGCTGATGAGCATGTAAACTGGTGTCATGACCTTGGAGAGTAATTCAGCAGTAGCAAATAACATGGACAATGTCTAGCAGTTTTACACCTAAGGGCCTGTCCTAGAGAAGCCCTTGCCTGTGATGTACAAAAAAAACACATGTAACCCCAAGATGTTCATTGCTGCCCTGTTTGTAACAGTGAAAAAGTGGAGAGCATGTAGTATCTCTGAGTAAGAAGGTGGTGTGTCCTGGCTTCCAGGAAGTCCCGGAGGATCCAGGTAAGCTTCATATGGTCAGAGTGGGAACAGTAGTCGCACTGTGGTTGCAACAGAGGTAACACCAGTGGTACATGCCAACTAATGCATCCTATCCCTTTAGGAAATGTGAACAGGATATAGTCTTGCCTCTCATAGAGAACACAGGCTAGGTCATCTATAAACAGTTCACCGACCGTCTCCACTCTATTCCTAACAGCCAATCATGCTCACGAAATGCAAGCATGGTGTCTGTATTCGAACTACTGCATTATCATCAAATTATATCTGTCCTGCTTCTATCTTAAAATCTCAGGGTGTCAGCCAGGTGTCGTGGCTCACACCTGTAATCTTAGCACTTTGGGAGGCTGAGGTGGGTGGATGACTTTGAGGCCAGGAGTTGGAGACCAGCCTGGCCAACATGGCAACACCCCATCTCTACTAAAAATACAAAAATTAGCTGGGCATGGTGGCACACGCCTACAGCTCCAGCTACTCGGGAGGCTGAGGCAGGAGAATCACTTGAACCTGGAGGCAAAGGTTGTAGTGAACCGAGATTGCACCACTGCATGCCCTGGGCAAAAGAGTGAGACTCTGTCTCAAAAAATAAAGATAAAATAAAATAATCAAAGGGTGTTGAGTAATTTAGGGGACGTTAACATTACAAAGTGGCATGGTTTGGAAGTCCCGGGTCCCAAAGGAGCATTTTCCCAGAGGACTCTCCCTACTGCACATGGAATATTATTAATGATTATAATTATATTTCTGGTTTATCAAGAAATGATTAAAACAGATCAAAAAAGGTATCCACAACTACCAAAAACATTAAGAGAAAAATTTCAAGCTCTTGAAAAATCTAAGGTTTAGCTATGTTGAAATTTTCCTGATGTGAAATATCTTATTTTCATTGATACCAGATTAATGAGGTCTTCTGCACATTTTCTCAAATGACTAAAGCATTGTTTCATTATTTCTCAAAACATTTGTAAGAGTGTGGTGACAGAGGAAATGTCCGAATTTGAAAGGAAGTCTTAAGGGGTTGTGAAGTCTCAGGAAGGTTCTTAAATGACCTAACCAGAGGTTTTGAAGTCTGATATACCCTTAACCCAAACTGAAATTCATAACAAAGTCAAAAGCAATACAGTCAAATTGATTTCAAAATGCCTTTTTCTAGCAAATCCGTTGACACCAACTGACTTTAACAGGGCCTAATTCCTACTTGGGAGAAATGATATGGCCATGGAAAAAACGGGATGCATAATAAAGTTTGGGGATGAAATAAAACAAAATTCAGGTACGTTCTTAGAGGTGGCTAAAGTAAGAATCCACATTTCTCAGGCTATGGAGAATGAAGGTGAAGAGACTGGGCCCTGGGGCCAGACTGCTGGGTTAAATCCCAGCTCTGCCACTTGTTGGAGGGTGCCCTTAGGAAGGTACTCGATCTCTCTGCCCCTCAGTTTCCTCATCTGTAAAATGGGGGAGAAAAATGGTACCCACCCATAGGAATGGTATATGGATTAAGTGAGAGAATAAAGGGCCCAGAACAGTGACTAGAACACAGTGAGTGATCAATACTTTTTATCTATTGTAATTATTTTATTTTACTTTTTGAATGTCAGTATTTATCAAGACAGTGAAATTATGGATGAATGTAGGTTTTTTCTTTTTATATTTAAATGTATACAAACAGATGTTTCCTGACGTTTGATGGAGTTATGTCTTGGTAAACCCATCGTAGGTTGAAAATATCATCATTTGAAAGCATTTAATATACCTAACCTCATAGCTTAGCCTGGCCTACCTTCAACGTGCTCAGAACTCCTACATTAGTCTACAGCTGTGCAAAATCGTCTGGAAACACGGTACACTATCGAGTATCGGTTGTTTTCCCTCCTGAGCATATGGCTGATGGGACCTGCGGCTTACTGTCTCTGCCCAGCCCAACATTGAGAGTATCTTACTGCATATTGCAAGCTCAGGAAAGGGTCATAATTCAAAATTCAAAGCACAAGTTCTGCTGAATGTGTATTGCCTTTGCACCAACCACAGAAAGCCAATCCACAGTAAGTTGAGTACGTTCTGTATTTAAATTTTTTAAAATGTTATTTAAAGGAGGAGAAGGGAGAAAAATGAGGTTCTTTATATCTCTCCACCCCAAAAAATAAGAATCCTGGGTTGGGATGGGGTAGAATATGGTTCCTCTTGTTGGTTAATTGGTGTATTAGTCTGTTTTTGCATTGCTATAAAGAACTAACTGAGACTGGGTAATTTTTAACGAAAAGAGGTTTAATTAACTTACAGTTCCATAGGCTGTACAGGAAGCATGGCTGGGAAAGCCTCAGGAAACTTACCATCATGGCAGAAGGCGAAGGGGAAGCAGGCACGTCGTACATGGCCTGGGAAGGAGGAAGAGAGCAAAGGGAGATGTCACACACTTTTAAACAACAAGGTCTCTCATGAGAACTCACTCTCAAGTTCAAAGTTCCACACATCTCTAGGGCAAGGGCACAATGCCTTCAATCTCTTTGCTAATGCATAACAAAAGTGACCTTTGCTCCAGTTCCTAGAAAATTCCTTATCTCCCAGTTCACTGACTCAAAATCTCCTCTGGCAACACCCTCACAAACACACCCAAAAACAATACTTTACCAGCCATCTAGACATCCTTCAATCCAATCAAATTGACACCTAATATTAACTATCAGAGATGGTTTAGTGGATGGAGAGGTGTTTTAATTTAAATGGGTTTTGTTTGGTGTAAATCATTTGAGACATTAACCAAAAATTTATCGATAGAGTCAAACAAAATGGTTCTCAGTTGTATCCACTCCAGGTCCAATAACCAGACAAAGTCAAAAGAACACCAAGCTGGTGGCTGGCATCCTGATTTGCTTGCATGGTAGCTTTACAAAATCTAACGGTGGGTGACCCTGAGTGAGTTGCTTCCGCTTTCTGGTCCTCAACTTCCTCACCCACAAAATGAATGCGTTGGGCTAAATGACCTATAAGGTTTCTTTAAGCTCTAATTGCTTCTAGGAGGCTGCCATATCTGACTGCTCCAGGGACAGACTTGACCCTGGACTCGGCCGGCTAGCAGCACCATGGTTCTGGCCCAAAGCCAACTGCATACCCCGTCCTTCTCACCTACTGCTCACCAGCTGCCTTCTCACCTACTGCTTGTGATCTCAAGAGACCCAGGCATGTCAGTGGAAAATGATCAGTCCAAACCCATCACCACTCCAGGAGAAACAGCTCAAAGCACAGGCCCTGCCAACTCCAGTTCCAGTCGTGTCCCCATCATATACAAAGCCCTGTTTATCCTACTAGAGAGAAGGATGGAAACCACTTTGCTTAAAGTAGAGCTGAAGAAATAAATATTCGAGCAGCAATAGCTCATTATTTTTGAGGGCTCTGGAATGAAAGTCCAAGGTAGAAAAGCAAAACAACAACCGTTAGCATTTCCTTTCTGAATAGACAATATATGCCAGGAGCTCTGAAATAAAGATAGTGCGATTCATTTATTATTCCTTCTCTTTAAAACCTGCATTAATTCTGATTTCTATTTAAATAAGAATGATTACATTTTATCAGCTGAGATGGAAATATTGTGATAAACACTGGCTCGTGGCCAAACTAATCTCCCAAGCCCACAGCTTACGGCCATTGTCTTGTATAGATATTTGAATGGCAATGGGCTTTTATCAGTATTTCTAAAGGCACTCATTTAATTATGTGGTTGTAAGGATTTTCAAAACCCAAAAGAATACCATCAATACATATTCATTTCTTGGATTAATTTGACATTAACATCAGAAAATATTGTTATTTAAAGGATGCTCTTACTTGTTTTTGCTTTTGCAAGAAAATAAGGCAACCTGATTGCAATAAGATACCATTGCAACCTGATTCTGGTTGCAATGGTATCTTTTAAACTTTCTGTTTAACTGAAATTAGGAAAATAAAATGCACAGTGAAGCAAGGCTAGAATTTTGAATTATAAGGGGTAGAGGGAGGACTCAGAAACTCCACAAGTCTCAGAGCCTTTAATAAGCTAATACATATTGTTAATTAACAGTATGGGCCGGGTGCAGTGGCTCACACCTGTAATCCCAGCACCTTGGAAGGCCAAGGCGGGTGGATCACTTGAGGCCAGGAGTTCGAGACCAGCCTGGCCAACATGGTGAAACCCTGTCTCTACCAGAAATACAAACATTAGCCAGGTGTTGCGGTGCATGCCTGTAATCCCAGCTACTTGGGAGGCTGAGGCAGAAGAGTCGCTTGAACCTGGGAGGCAAAGTTGCAGTGAGCCGAGATCGTGCCACTGTACTTCAGCCTGGGTGACAGAGTGAGACTCTGCCTCAAAAACAAGCAAACAAACAAAAAACCCACCAGTATGCACAATTAAAAATGTTTGACTACAGAATCCTTTTTTCCAAGGAGCATCTTATAATACTTGCGCTTGGGAAATCCTACTTTAGGAAAAACAGCTGTGAGCAAAATTCCTCCTTTTAAAGATGGGGAATAATACTCCCATGTGGCTGGTTCCAGGCAAGGATGGCACCACAGTAAAGTTTCTCAGACTTTAATGTGCGTAAGAATGACCTGGGCATCTTGTTAACTGATTTCATAAGTCTGGGATGAGATCTGAGACAGCATTTCTTACAAGTTCCCAGATGCTGCTGCTGCTGCTGCTGGTCTATACACCACCCGTCAACTAAAGAAGCAAGAAATTCAGACACACATCTCCTAACTTTGTACTTACCCCACTGCCTTGTAGCCTCTCTTAAGTGGCACTAACTAGCATTTCTGTCAAAGCAGCATCCTTGCCTTATTCTAGTTTTATTTGCTGAGCTGATGTCTCCAGTTCTTTAAAGCGAGTCCCTATGATGATAGAAGGATGCATCAAGATTAAGGAAGTATTTTCTGGCCCCTAACATAAATTTTCTTTTTGTTATATGATAAATTAGAAACAGAAGAAAGCTTCTGACCAAAGTGATCTATCCCAAGGCTCTGTGTAGAAATTTCCATCAGAAATCATTCAAACCTATTGTTTGACTGAATCAAATCAAGGAAGGACATTTTCCATGGCCATTTTCATGTATTTTTTCAATTACTCTGGAAAAACATGGCATGCCTCTTGACCAAAATTTGCTCAATAATTGTTCAACTATCTGGCTATTGCCAAAATATGAATAGGCAGCAATTACCAGATGTTTGCTCAGCGTAAAGATTCTACACTACAATGAAAACATGCTCATCTTGATGCTTCCACAACTATTATATCTGCATGTGTACAATCCCCACAGTCTTTTATCTGTTGATGCTAGTGGGAAGAAGTCAGTTAATTGAAATTGTTTCTGTGTAACAACCTTCCACCTTGTCACTTCAGGGTGTGGGAGGGATGGTTAAAAAGGAATGACCCAAAATGAAGAAAAATGACCTGCTTATTGACTAGACTTTTCACTTTTCAACAAATGATTGTGGTGTAATTCAAAAATTAGACTATGTCTATGTCTCCATGGCATTGAAACCAACCAAAAATAAGCAAATTTGCAACTGAACAAGCTGGGTGGTAGAATATTATTCTTGCTTACAGGCCAGCTTCTCCCTCCAAAAAGGCTGAACTCAGGCATTTCAGCCAATGTCAGCCACACTAGGTATTTGGCAGCCACTCCACAGTACTCAGCAAAAGAGACTGGATTTCCCAGCCATTTCCAAATGGCCAAAGGGAGAAGGAAGACAGATTCTGTGGCCTAGAGACTCAGCCCTTGACTGGGAGAAGCAGAATCTAACTCCAGACTGAAGACTCAGGGAGCCCTCCCCTAACTTCTAGTTCTTGTAGGGACCTCAGAATCCCAACAGCCTGGATTTAAGGTCTAGCTCTGCTGCTCACTCATTATCGCACCAGGCAAAAATGGCCAAGACTCGATCATTGGCTGAGGACTTCACAGTAAGAGTATGGTCTTACCTGAAAGCTGAGGTGAATTCTGAAGGCCAATGGCTAGAGGCTGTTGGAAAACTGCCTTCCTTGAAGCTAAATGGCAGATTCTTTCTCTAAGAGAGATGTGAGCAGCACACCTTCATGGCTACCACCTTATAGGGTATAGATCAATATTGTACAATCTAGGCATTCATAAAGTACTTCTACTAAATATTTGTTAAATGTATACATTGTTAACAATGCTTATAAAAATATCAATTATTTATTTGTGTGAGATGAATTTCATGATCACAATAAGACAGTAGCCAATTGATGAGCCAGACATGCAGTCAACCAACAAGTTTGATCTACTTGATACATCCTCAAAGGTTGACCTCTCTTCCACTTCCTCCAAATGAACTTGACTTTGGCAACGCAGCCTTAAATAGCTGGCCTGTGTGGACCAAGGCAGAGCGAGATCTGACGAATCTCTACAGCTATTGGTCTTAACAAGCTTGTCATTGAGAATAGCACTTCCCCAAAGTGCCAGAGGTTGGAGTGGTGCATCCTACTTGTGGGAAACACATCACACTCTATTAAACCCCAGGAGAACATGTT
This sequence comes from Homo sapiens, assembly GCF_000001405.40. Classification (NCBI taxonomy): domain Eukaryota; kingdom Metazoa; phylum Chordata; class Mammalia; order Primates; family Hominidae; genus Homo; species Homo sapiens. The sequence continues at coordinate 54,809,988 of NC_000016.10, forward strand.
CCAACTCATAGATTATTAAATCTGCCCTCCCTCAAAACAAAAAAAAAATTAGCTAAAGTTTTGCTAAATAAGGCACCATTTAGCCAAACCAATCTTCACATGCCATATGCTGTGGCACATTCTTCTGTGAGGTGTAATTGTGTTGTAATCGTTTGTGATTATCTGTTAAATGTCGGTTGCTCCTCTAGACTGTAAATTCCATGAGGGCAGGAATGATGCTTTCTATCTCCAACATTTAGTACTGAACCAGCAAACATTTAGAGACTCAGTGAATGAGTGAGCAGTGAAATGCATCCCTGTTTGATCTATTTTGGGAATCTAGATTCACATGCATAAGGCTTGGTTCAGGAAGGAGGTACTGTTATATTCCCAGATCCCTTATGAGGACTGATAAAAAAACGCTTGTCTCATTCGAGGGCTCTTCAATAATGTGCCCAGGTTACTCAGATTAATGGCCAGGTTATGTTCTGCTACAATTTTGCATGTTGAAAAGCTTTTTAAATGCATTAATCCAGCCATCCTGTTAACCTGTATTCATTAAGCACCTACTGTGTGCCAAACAAAAACAGGATCAATGGTTGATTGAGGGACTGTTTCTCTTTTACCCTACCTATTTATTCTACTCACTTCTATTTACTTCTTTATCCATCCATATGTCCATTTGTTTATTTATTTGTTTATGCATCCTGTACCTTATTCCAATATGGATTGAAGGTTGTTTATAGAGATTCATAACATATACCACTGTAATATAAATTATGACTATGTTAAAAATGTAAAGGAAAAAGCATAAACTCAGTATATATAGGCTGAATCACTAATAATGCAGACTCTTACCTGGCAAAAGAATGATGGGCTGGAATCCTTCAATCATGGCAGATGCTCAATGTAAGAAACTGGGACAGAGCTACCACAAAAAAAAAAATTCCCTGTGGAGCGTTTTCTTCATTTGACCATTAGAATAAATCTCCTTCGAAATTCTCATGCTTGTGTGTGTTTCAGGGGGGCTTTTCAAGAGGCCAAGCAGCTCATTTATTCATTTATGTATTCATCTATTCTTCTTCATTGTTTTTGTTGTTCTTATGTTTGCTGAGTACTTAGTACATGCTAGGCACTGTGCTAAGTAAAAGGACACTGAATGCATGGTTGTTGCTGTTAGAAAAGCTCCAAGTCTAAGAGGTTTAATAAGCCCTGAGATCTGCTCATAGCCCTGTCATTGCCTCACTGTGTGACCTTGGCCAAGTCTATCCAGTCTCTGGCCCTCAATGCCTTCATCTGAAAATGTTGGGCTAGATGGTCTTGAGTATCCCTTACTAGATCTAAAGTTATGTTACATAGGGAAAGCTAAGTTAAAGCCAACATCTTGCCAGTTTTTTTTTGGTTTCATCCCATCATCTGCGATCAGGACAATACAGTCTGAGAAAAATGATCAATGCCTCCTAGAAGGTATAATTTTAGCATTTTACCCCCTCAGTGGAATGCATGTCACATGGAAGTCTTCTCCCAACAAAACCCCGAAGCACCGTTACCTGATAAACACCTTGAAAATGTTCTGGCCTGAAGAACAGGTGCTTCTATAATGAATGTTGATTTTCAAATTCATAAAGATGTAAATGCAAATATCCTATTTGAAAAATAATAATAATAGCTAGTACTCACTGAGCTTTGCAAAGTCTGGGCACTCTTCAAAACATTTTATATGCATCATCTCATTTAATTCTGGCCAACAACCCCATAAAGCAATTCTCATTATTGCCCTAATTCATCAGTAAGGAAACCATGGCACAGGGGCAGTTAAGCAAGTATCCTACGAGGCAGATTGGAGATTTGAGCCCAGGAAGTTGAGCCCCAGAGCTGGGCTCTTCTCCCCTTACTTACTATACCTCTCCTCAAAATGTTATACTTGTGGTTCCCTAGGTGCTTTTTAAAGTTGTGGCTTAATTTCTTAAAAAACAGTATGCCTTTTAATCTATAGTCTATTTCTGATGATTCCAGGTAAGAAAATAGAGTCTAAGTTCAAATGGCTACATAAAGAACTTCTTAGAACTGATTTCCAACTCCAACAATCTAATTAGGAATCTCAAAAATAAAGCGCATAAAGATATTAATACTTTTACTCTAAACCTGGATTTGGCAAACTTTCTGTAGCAGGTAAATATGTCAGCCCTTTTAGGTCATAAGGTCCCTGTCACTACTACTCAACTCTGCCATTATAGTGCAAAGGAAGCCAATAGCTGAACAAATGAGTGTGGCTGTATTCCAATAAAACTTTATTTATGGGCACTAAAATTTGAGTTTTATGAAACTTTTAAAGTGTTGTGAAATGTTATTCTTCTTTGATTCTTTCTCAACCGTTTAAAAATGTGAAAACCATTCTGACCTTGGGAGATGAACAAAAACAAGCGTTTGACCAGATTTGGACCTGGGCTCTAGGTTGCCATCTCCTGTTCTACGCTGACCACTTCCATTTCAACTAACATTTCAACTAACATGAGTACAAACCAGTCTTAAGGGGGGAAAACACTATAGTCAGTTTTCTCATTTCTTTGCAATATGAATCTATATTTCCTTGATCACACTTTGTCATATTTTCTCAGAGACTTAAAACTTTATGTAAGTAAATATTTAACCATCAAGAAGGTTACATTTCATTCCTACCTGGGCTACCAGTAAGCAGAAGTCAGGGTTGTTGTCTGTCCTTGTTTCAAAATTCAAGCCGAAGACAAAGTAAAATATATTCCTAAATATCTACAAATGCACACATGAAATATAGGTGTATTTTAAAGAATAACCTAACGGAAAGTACTTTAAATTTCACAGCCACTGCTAATGTAGGCAGCTAATCCTATTTACATTCATATTAGCCTTCGTATCTTCTTCCCTAAGATTTACCTATTTGTATGCTTGCATGAGTTAAACTGCCTTTTGCATGATATCAGTACTTTTGTAATTTAAATCTATAAAAGGCAATTTCTTTTAAATATACTTCCTAACAGTGGGTGAAAGAAGCACCAAAGTTATTTGAGAGCTGTACACCTCAGTAAACATGTGCACTGAACTCCTGGCAATGTGCAGAATGTGGGAATTAATCTTATACTCTAAGAGTGGAACGGAAAATAAAATCGAGGCTGAGAAACAAACAGTCTTTGAAAGGGGCCAGTTTGCAGTGTTATGGAAGGAAATGGCGTGTTTTAGAATTGATATTTAGGCGAATAAAACTTTCTCCCCTTTTGAAAGAATGTTGAGGACTGAATTCTTTCATCATTGTGGGTTTTTGCATCCAAAATAACTTTAGCCACATGATAAGCCAGTTTTACAATTTAATGTTGGTGTTGGCTGATAAACAGAACATAGTCAGCCGTTGGTGGCCAGGGTAAATTTTAAGATGTCAATAGTGACTCCAGTAGCACACAGTGCATGTAAGTATGTATTTGGAGCAGGGAGGGTGAAGTTTCCAAAGACAGAGATAATTTCATGCAATTAGAGTTAGATTTTTTTCTTCACATAATTCCTACAAAATGTTCACCCTCACCATCTTCAGTTGACATAAATGAGATGCAAATAGGTTAATGTATAATCTTGCCCCAAAGTAGTGTCTTCTCGATATGTAGGACACATACATCAATTCTAAGCAGAGCTGGGATTTTCCTAGCAAAAGTCAACGGGGTGTAAAATCAGAAGGGAGGGACTTCCAGATGCATGCCCTCACTTCTGGCTACATTGAGCATTTTCTCCCAAGAGAACTAGCCCTGGGGTTCACTTCTTTGCACTCAGGCCAGGACACACTTCCGGGAGTTTACCAGGTCTCAGGCTTGAAGGAACCCCATAAAGAAGCCAGGAAAAGAGTGTTTCAAACTAGGCATTGGGGCAGTGGGATGTGTGGACTCGAGGCCTGAAACCCACAGAGAACCAACCAGTTAGTCCCCACTTTAGACGTACTTTGGGAAAGGCGCCATCCTCCCTTTAATCTCTGAACTTTGCCCTGTTCTTTTTGCTCTGGCTGTGATGTCTACACAGCACCAAGTATCCAGATGAAAGTGGTGTGTGGGGTATTCAGCTCACTTCCCAGATATTTAGACAAAGCTTCAGCCACTGTTTCATGACTACTGAAGGCTTGCCTGCCGCATACCCCAAAACCCGCCACCCTGAAAGTAGCCATTATAAATGTTTCATGTGGAACTTTCACAACCCATCAGGCTCACCAGAGTTTTCAAATTAACTCCCTTTCCGCCCAAGGGGATTCCTCTGTAAAAGATTTCTCCAGCCTCAAATCTCAAAAAAAAAAAAAAAAAAATCTGAATTTGAAACAGAATGCAAATAATGCATTTTGACTCCCTAATCAACAAATGGGATCAACTTGAATTGATTAAGAACCTTTGAAATTAGCTGTCTTTAATTCTCTCCATGGCCTGCTGCTGGTACTCTGAAGATAGGAGGGGTATGGGGGTTGGGGGGGTGTGCATGCACCCAGGCATGTGTTTGTGGGTTCAGGGGTGGAGAGTTCGCTTTTATTTTTTTTTTTCAGAGCTCATATAATGGTGTTTAAATTTTTTTTTTAATTTAATGGTGACACAACTCTAAGAAAGAGAGCATTCACCTGGTGCAATGATATGGTTTTTTTGTAGACTACATTTCTGATAGTTACTTGGCTGCATAAAACCTGCACAACTTTAGTGGGGAAAAAAACCACATAAAATCTAAAATGAATGTATAAATAATATGCAACTGTCTAGACAGTATAGGTCACTTGCAAAGATAGCAGGTCGGGAAAAAATTGTCCATCAGTCAGACAACCATAACTGATTCCGATGCTAAATAATGGTAGAGATATTCAACATTCTCTGGCTGCGAAAGGCTTCGCTGAGCATTTGCTCTTCCCAAGCCAGTGGTCTTCTACTTATCTGGTATTTTATGCAGCCTTTGGAAAATGCACTTGCTATTTAAACATTAAAATTAATGCCCAAAGAATAGCAGTTGAGCAAAGGAGTGCTACTGACCTATGTGATTGGCCTTTGGTAAAGCAAAAATAACCCTTCTCGATCAACAATATGAGCTTTCCATACCCACAGAATCTTAAGCAGATGTAATTATGGAGGCTTTAGGATAGCAAAAGACCCAAGCACACAACCCCACCCACATACACAGGTTTCAAGAAACATTTTTGCTCTCTTGTAATGACCTGCAATGGCAGGTTCAAGTATGTAAGTCTTGTACTTTTAAAAAAATATTTATAATAATAATTTCTGTACATAGAAAAATGCTTGAAAAAGAAAGTAAATGTATTAAATAATTCTCAGAGGACAATGGTTGCTGCTGTCACTGCCCTCCAACACTGTGAGGACAAACAAGCTCCTTAGCTGGTGCCCAGAGCTGAGGACAGCCATCAGCTGGCTCTCCATGCACATGAGACAGTTCCACGTGCTTTTTTGAGAGAGTCCCAAAGCCAAATGACTGTGAATTAGGCTGGATGCCTGCAGGAGGAAAGATCCGTGCTCCCCTGGCCAGGGAGGAGAAAGACAGGCACACAGGTACTCTGTCTCCCCGCTCTGAGCTGAGCAACCACACTCTCCAAGCCAGTCAGATTCTTAGGAGAGATGCTGATAATAATACAAGAAGGGTGGGGCATGGTGGTTCACACCTGTAATCCCAGCGCTTTGCCAGGCCGAGAGAAGTGGATCACCTAAGGTCAGAAGTTCGAGACCAGCCTGGCCAACATGGTGAAACCCTATCTCTACTAAAAATACAAAAATTAGCTGGCGTTGTGGTGCATGCCTATAATCCCAGCTACTCGGGAGGCTGAGGCAGGAGACTCCCTTGAACCTGAGAGATGGAGGTTGCAGTGAGCTGAGATCACGCACGCCATTGCACTCCAACCTGGGCAATAGAGCAAGACTCCATCAAGGAAGGAAGAGAGGAAGGGAGGAAGGGAGAAAAGGAGGAAGGGAGGGAGGGAGGGAAGAAAAATACAAGAAGAGGAATAGCCACCATTTCTCAAGCACTTACTAAGTGTCAGATGCTGAGTTTGGTACAGAGGCACTGTCTTATTTAATCCTCATACACACACACACACACACACACACACACACACACACAAAACCCACAGAATTGGTATGATTTATTGCTCTCATTTGACATTTGAGAAAGTTGAGGCTCAGAAAGGTTAAATAAATTACTTGAGGCCAAACAGCTAGTAAGCGGCTGAGAGCAGGTTTGAAGCCAGGTTTATTTAAAGCTCAGCTCACACTCTTAACCTCCGTGAGAGTTTGCCTCTCCTGACTGCACAGACTTTCCCACCACCCACTCAGGACCAGCCTTTCCATAAGGATCAGTGCTGAGGGCCCATAGCAATTTTAGGGGCCCAGGAGAATGTTTTGCTTCTTGCAATAAGCAAGATACGCATGTTGGCTATGCTGATATAAAGGTAAAGCAGTGGTAAAATATAAATATAATATTTTTCCGATGGAGGAAAGGGCTCGTGAAGACAAAAGTGCTTAAGATCCACAAAGATCATCATGCAGCCAGTTGCCTATTAGGTCCTACAGATCTCTTGGATTTTATTTTCTCACTTTTTCTATAGAGAAAGTGAGGTCCGGCAAGAGTAAAGGATGCATCCTGGGTCATGTGGCAAATGAGTGATTGAGTCAGCACCCGTGAACTTCCCATCTCACTTCTGAGCCTTTTGCATATCCAGTCCAAAGAGTCAGAAACCAAGCTTCCTCTTTTGTGCCTTCTTGTACTTCTCTGCTGTACTTACACAGGGGAGTCAATCTTAGATGGCATTGGATTGGCTTTGATTTTTGTTATGCAGCATCTCACGAGTTAATGTGTTCATAATTTTTATTTTATTTTCATACTTATTTTTATATTTACTTACCTGAGACAGGGTCTCACTTGTTACCCAGACTAGAATGCAGTGGCGCAATCATGGCTCACTGCAGCCTCAAACTCCAGGGCCAAGTGATGCTCCCACCTCAGCCTCCCCACAAGTTAATGTCTTCATTATTTTATATATTTATTTTATTTTTATATTATTTACTTATTTGAGACAGGGTCTCACTTGGAGTGCAATGGAGCAATCATGGCTCACTGCAGCCTCAAACTCCCAGGCTCAAGTGATCCTCCCACCTCAGCTTCCCAAGGAGCAAGACTATAGGCGCATGCCACCACGCCTGGCTTTCATTATTTTTTAAAGAATGTAAGTAGAGCACATGTGAGAAATAGATGACTCTAGGTGTTTTTTCCCCTCGTGTTGCCACCATTTATATTAAATACAACCCCATAAGTACAAAGGCTCAGAGAAGGTTAAAAAGTGCTTATAGAGTGGTAAGAGATTATTATGAGAAAGTATTTATTAGGCTGGATGTTTAGAGCCGAAAAATGAAAACAATTTCCTTCAAAAAAAAAAAAAAAAAAAACTGCCAGCAGACATTCTGGAACACCTATCCCAGTAATCTATTTTTTTGGTTTTAAATTTGTTAGAAGTGCCCTTACTCTGGCCCCTTCCCGGGGAATGCTGGAGGCTGGTCCCGGTTATCCGAGGCCTTCCCCTGCAGTCTCCGCTTTCCGACAGGTCTCCGCTGGGTCTGCCCCATGACCCGGGCCATTTCACCCTCCCATCCCTTCCTTCTGGGTTGCCGGTGTTATTTATTTTTAATGCCTTTGATTCATTCCTCTCTTGTTTTGACCAGGCAAACAGCACACATCTGCTGCCACCAGGAGGTGTCAATAGTTCATACTGCTCAATTTGTATGCCCTAAACCCACTGTAGGACTGATTTTGCAATGCCTGTATCTCAAGTTTCAATTTCAAAGCATTATGCTGCGTTCCGGGAATTAAAGATTAATAGGTTGAATTAAAGATTTATTTTAGGGGGTGCGTTATTATCAGGCAAATCACGTTCTTTTCATTTTAGACATATGGGCTATTACGATTTCATCTTTTTTTGCTAAAAGCTCAATTACATCAATATCACTCGAGACCCTCCAAACACTAAGCTAAAAGCTGGGCTTCTCCGCGGCCAGATGCCTATTGCCCTTTAAGGATTAACTTTCTGAGGATGAATGCCGTCCGTCCTGTGCGGAGTTATCTCCCTAATAAGAAGCTGATCAGTTACACCTCTGCTTAAAACCTCGGCTGGCTTCCTGTTGCTTACAGAAGGAAGTTTAAACTCCTTACTCGGTCCTATAAAGCATTTCATAGCCTGGGCCCAGCCGTCTTTCACAATTCCCAAGGCACCCCCCTGCTCTTCTTCATACTGAAGAAGACCAGGCCCTGCCAAAATTGTCCATCTTTTACATAGGACGTCTTCCTTACCTCCGCAACCTTCGTTTAAGAGAGAGGTAAAACAATCCCCAAGTGTCCCTCACCCTAGGCCAAAGTGCTCTCGAAGAGCCTGTGTGCTTCAGGAATGCGGCTTAGCTGGCCACACTGTTAAATATCCATATATTCCTCCCTTCCCCCACACTGAGTCCCCAAAGACAGGAGTTGAGAATTATTCCTATTTGTAACACTAGGGTTCAACACAGTGGCAATCACATTCAATAAAGATTAAGAAGTGGGCCGGGTACGGTGGCTCATGCCGGCAATCCCAGCACTTTGGGAGGCTGAGGTGGGTGGATCGCTGGAGCTCAGGAGTTTGAGACCAGCCTGGGCAACATGGAGAAACCGTCTCTACAAAAAATACAAAGATTACCTGGGTGTATGGCTACATTGGGGCTTGAGGCAGGAGAGTCACTACTTGGGGGTCTCAGGTGGGAGGATCACTTGAGCCTGGGAAGTCCAGGCTTCAGCGAGCTGTGTTTGCACCACTGCATTCCAGCCTGGGTGACAAAGTGAGACCCTGTCTCAAAAAAAAAAAAAAAAAATTTAGGAAGTGAATGAGTGAATGCACTTGCACATGAAGTCACACGCAACACAGCCAACAGAACACAACAGCAAAATCATCAACAACAATCACTGTTGTTAGCTACTGGTGGCTCCATTTTGATTCTTATATTCGGTAAGTATAGAAAAACCAGGCCGGGCGCAGTGGCTCACGAGTGTAGTCCCAGCACTTTGGGAGGCCGGGGCAGGTGGATTACTTGAGGCCAGGAGTTCGAAACCAGCCTGGCCAACATGGTGAAGCCCTGTCTTTACTAAAAACACAAAAATTAGCCCGACATGGTGGCACATGCCTGTAATCTCAGCTACTCAGGAGGCTGAGGCAGGAGAATTGCTTGAACCCGGGAGGCAGAGGTTGCAGTGAGCCAAGATTGCGCCACTGCACTCCAGCTTGGGTGAAGGAGCGAGACTCCACCTCAAAAGAAAAAAAAAAAAAGCAAAAAGAAAAGGAAAACCTGAGTGTATACAGGGAATATTAAAATTCCTAAACAAAGCTCCTTATATAGACTGGGACTGCAGTGAGTGCTTAAGAAATCATCTGAATGGCTCCAGTCTTTGGTTTTGACCAGGACTGCCGAGGTGTGTGTAGTGGGTAGAGGGCAGGGGTTTAGGGGAGGGAGAATAATGTCTCTAAATGGGTGGCAGTCACCTGGGCTTGCAACACAGTATTAAAGAGGCCATTCTAAAAGAAAAAGGTGGGGTGCACAGATTTTCAGTTTTTCGGGATGAGGAAAGTGACAATGACAAGGACCTTTTAGGGAAGAGATAGGCATGATGGAAAGGGGAAGGAATCTCTATAAAAGTTAAACTTGGCTGGGCGCAGTGGCTCACTCCTGCAATCCCAGCACTTTGGGAGGCCGAAGTGGGTGGATCAGGAGGTCAGGAGTTCAAGACCAGCCTGGCCATGATGGTGAAACCCCATCTCTACTAAAAATACAAAAATTAGCCGGGCGTGGTGGCGGGAGCTTGTAATCCCAGCTACTCGGGAGGCTGAGGCAGAAAATTGCTTGAACCCAGGAAGCAGCGGTTACAGTGAGCTGAGATCATGCCACTGCACTCCAGCCTGGGTGACAGAGTCAGACTCCGTCTCAAAAATAAAAATAAAAATAAATAAGTTAAACCTGGCCAGGTGCAGTGGTGCCTATAATCCAAGCACTTTGGGAGGCCCAGACAAGCGGATCACTTGAGGCCAGGACTTCAAGACCAGTGTGGGCAACATGGTGAAACCCCATCTCTACTAAAAATATAAAAATCAGCCAGACGTGGTGACGCACACCTGTAGTCCCAGCTACTCCGGAGGCTGAGGCACGAGTATTGTTTCAAACTAGCAGACAGAGGTTGTAGTGAGCCGAGATCACACCACTGCACTCCAGCCTGGGTGACAGAGCGAGACTCTATCAAAAAGTTAAACCTAGTTCTCCAGAGTCAGTCGGAAGCAGCAGAGAAGCAATGGAGTGGCTGCTTTGCCAGGAGGAAGACACTCCTCCTTGAGTCTCAGCTACTCAATTTCTGAACAAAGTTTTCAAAGTGGTGTTCTGAGCTTCAAGACAGAAAGGGCATGTTCAACACCTTGCAAATGGACAGTTATTCCCTTGTCTTTGCGCTTCTAAGACGGAACTTCCACGCCATATCCATGCTAGCTCCTTTCTCCCCTCCACTCACTGACCCTGAAGGTGGAGGGGCCTATCTACTGATGACATTTGGGAGAGCCTGCACATGGCGTGGCCGTTGTTGGCTCTCTCTCAGGTCTACCTGCAGAGGGCTTCTCTTTTTGCTCCTGAGTCCATGGGATAAGTCCAGGCAGAAATAAGCATTTCTGCCTGAGGCCCAGCATCTGCTTTCTGGAGACAGTGTAGAAGGTCATTTTGTGTCCGGAGTTGGTTCCTTCCAGTGGTGTTCATGGTCTTGCTGACTTCAAGAACGGAGCTGCAGACCTTCGCAGTGAGTGTTACAACTCTTTACATGGCACAGACCCAAAACATGAGCAGCAACAAGATGTACTGTGAAGAGCGAGAGAACAAAGCTTCCACAGCTCAGAAGACCCAGGTTGCCACTGCTGGCTGGAGGGGTGGGTGGGGGGTGCAGGTTTTATTCCTTTATTTATCCCTGCCAATGTCCTGCTGATTGGTCCATTTTACAGTGTGCTGATTGGTGCATTTTACAAACCTCTAGCTAGCTACAGAGCACTGATTGGTGTGTTTTTACAGAGCACTGATTGGTGCATTTTACAAACCTTTTGTAAGACAGAAAAGTTCTCCAAGCCCCCACTTGACCCAGGAAGTCCAGCTGGCTTCACCTCTCAATTTCTATAGGTCCTAACTAATGAGGTTTTTCAGGTGGGAGAGAGTGATCCCATTTGCAATTGACCAAGGAAGAGTCTGCTTTACAAAGGGGCATCCTAATCCCTTGTCTTGGAGGAGGGTGTGAGAGGCAAGGTGTGAATTCCCACTTCCTAGCCACAGATTCCAGCCACATTTTTAAAATTTTTTTTTTATAGAGATAGAGTCTAGCTCTGTTGCCCAGGCTGGAGTGCAGTGGCACAATCATAGCTTACTGCAGCCTCAAACTCCTGGGCTAAAGTGATACTCCTACCTCAGCCTCCTAACTAGGACTATAGGCACATGCCACCACACCCAGCTGTTTTTCTTTTCTTTTTTTTTTTTTTTTTTTTTTTAGAGACAGGGTCTTGCTATGTTGTCCAGGCTGGTCTTGAACTCCTGGGCTCAAGTGATCCTCCTGCTTTGGCCTCCCAAAATGTTGGGATTACATGTGTGATCCACCATGTCCAGCCTCAGCCACATTTTCTAATTGAGCTATGTTAGCTATAAAGATGATATTTTGATCTTCATCTCTCAGATTCTCATAGCTATTTCTTGATTAATTCTGAACTTCGAGGGAAAAGGGTTTCAATTGGCCACTTAAGGTGTTGCCCACATTCCTTTAGTTCTAAGTCAAATGATGGGTCCCTGGACCACAACAGGAACCCATGAAAGATCTCTTTCTTCAATCCACATTTCTGATGTAAAAAGTCTGATTCATTTGATTCCATTTGGATCTCCATTTGCTATTCTAAAAGAGAACCTTGAGTCACTGGGGATAAATACTGGGGATATGAACTAAACCACAGTGTGAACAACAGCACCTTCAACAACAACACCAGAAAGAACCACATTACCTTGGTGAACTATGAGGCAAATGGAATTCAACTGTGCGTTGTACTCCAATTGAAATAAGCAAAGTTTTACTAAAAAGAAGTAGACCTAAAGAATTATTCAAACAGACTCTAACCTAGATATTTTTCTTAAAAAAAAAAAAAAGACTTCACCTACTGCACCCAAACAAAATCAAAACTTCAAAATATTTTTTGAATCGAATTATTTAATTATCTTCAAGTATTCAATACACTTTATGTGATTTTTTTTTTCCAGGTGTAGAAAAATTTTCAGTAAATTCAACCATATGTATTGCTTCTCTCCTAACCTTTCAATTCCCCTAAAGTAAATCACATTCCCTTTTGGTCACCATCCTTCAATTCTGTTTCATCTTTAATAATATATATGCATAAAGGGCCAACAAAAGTAGCCAAAAGATTTTATCTAAGCTAGTATAATATTTCATGTTTTTTCAAAGAAATTTTGAAATTCATGGTTGAAGCATGTCTGATGATGGAATTTCCACTTTTCAAGAAGCTTTAAAGAATTGTTGAAGGATGATCTTTTAATAGGTTTCAAGTAGATGAACCTGTCCCACTGCCATCCGAGTAGATAGCCTGTGGGGCTTCTAGTTCTGACTCGCACACTGCTCAAACCAAATAGTAGAGTACTATTTAAATGAGAGGGCTGAGAGTCGGATACCTGTTTGATTATTTGTTCATCCGCTGGCTCATTCATTCATTCATTCATTCAACAAATACTCAGCAAGCCTCTCTCTGTAAGGTGCCCCTGGTGAATCAGGAAGAATTCGTAGTGAATAAGTCACAGTCTTCCTTGAAACTCACAAATTGGAGAAGGAAACAGAAACACTGATGGATAAATCATGATAGAATAAGGGGTACGGATGTGACGGGGAATTCTGAGAACTCTTAGTGTTTCTGCTGAATGGCAGTGACCATTTATTAGCCATTGGTGAAATAGCTATTTCCAGGAAATTCTCGTTCAAGGAAATAAGCTTCTCCAACTCGATTGAGCTGCATTCTGTCATGCAGGAAGTGCTTCTAAGACTCATAAGGGCCTGTGAGTAGCACCAAGTATCCAGCAGACAATAAGCTGAGCTGTGATTAGAAATTACCTAAAATAGTAGTTGTAGCTAACTGACTGTGCACTGACTTTGGGCCAGACACTGTTTGATGCACCTTAACCCTCAAAACCACCCTGTAAGGTAGATGCTATTATAATTCCCCTTTGTAAATGATGAACCTGAGCTACAGAAAAGATGAATAACTTCAAACACACAGTTAGTAAATGGTAGAGTATATATTTTTTATTGGCTCAATGCAGTACAACCTAGATGGGGTTTCTTGAGCTAACAACTTTGTGCTTTTGTTTCTCTCTCTCTCTCATAAAAATAATATGAAAGATTTACAAAATCACACAAACAGGAATACCTCCATCATGGTGCTTTGTTGTTTTGGGGATTCTATGTTAATAGGAATATTTTGTTTTCTCAAACATTAAGTGTTTCATCTTCTATGGATACTTTCATGCAGGTCTAAAACACACAGCTAATGTTTTTAGAAAGCATCGACTTAAAATCTAACAGGTAAAAATGTACATTCATAAAAATTTATGTAAAATATATAAAAGCAATAATCTAATTTTTCTTCCAGTGAGACAATTTGAAACAAATTCAGTAAAGTTCAAGTCTGTAAATTCATTTAAGAAATATGCACATAAAAAATTAAATTAAAAAAGAAATATGCACATAAAATCACTGCAAAATTATAGGTTCTTTAAGGAAGATTATATGAACAAGGCCCCCTTTTACTTTTCGGAGATGAAAGAAGAAAGATTTATTGAACTCAAGTGAAATAAAGATTTCAGCATTCATTCTACCTAAGGGACTGTATCATAGAAATCATGTCTAAAATTCACAATTGGAGACTCTCCTTTGAATTAAAACATTGTCACTAGAAGGCCTCTATACTCTACACATCACCTAAGAGAAGAAGAAGCTCCTTATGATATATTAACATCTTGTAATAAATTATTACACTTAACTTGTCAAATGAGCTAATTGCAACCTTGGAAAGCATTTCAGCAGAGGTATGAAAAATGGGACTCAGAAAAAGTTAACAATGAATGTTAACAATGTAGTTAACAATGAATCTTCATGGCTTTTCATGACTTTTTGAAAACACCGTTTCTTATTGATTTCTGAGTGCTCTTTGTATACATTACTGAAAATTTGCTATTTTTGCCCCTTAGCATTCCTTCTCCCTTCTCTGACAACAGAATCACTGTGTATTGTGAAAAATGCATTTCAGGGGGTTTGGATGGCACTGACGTATGCTTTTCTCTGCCACAAGGGTAACACATGGTCCAGGCTTGCCCAATCAGAGTATTCCACTCCAGCAACAATGATTACTCAGTGATATGGTTTGGATCTGTGTCCCTACCCAAATCTCATGTTCAGTTGTAATCCCCAGTGTTGGAGATGGGGCCTGGTGGGAGTGATTGGATCACTGGGGTAGTTTCTAATGGTTCAGCACCATCCCCCTAGTGCTGTTCTTGTGATAGAGTTCTCACAAGATCTGGCAGTTTAAAAATGTGTAGCACCTTCCCACTCTCTCACTTCTTCCTCCTCCAGCCATGTGAAGTGCTGGCTCCCCCTTTGCCTTCCACCATGATTGTAAGTTTCCTGAGGCCTCCCCAGAAGCTGAGAAGATGCCAGAATCATGCTTCCTGCACAGCCTGCAGAACTATGAGCCAATTAAACTCCCTTTCTTTATAGATTACCTAGACTCAAGTATTTCTTTATAGCAATGTGAGAACAGACAAATACATTCACTGATGAATCTGTGACCCAAGCTGGGCTAACATCCTTTTAAAAGTTTTTCTGCTGGAGCTATCAGAGAAGGAGGTCTCTTTCCTGGAGGGCTATTCAGCTGGTAGGATGGAAGGCTTGGCCTATGGGTGAACAACCTGGCTTCCTTATGAAGAGAGCTTCAGCCAACATCATCCCTGGGCTTTCCAGTTACAGAGCCAGCAAATCCCCAGGTACACATCAGCAAAGTGGAGTTGGATTACTTTCACTTCGGTTAAAAGTAGCCTGATGAAATTATACATTGAAGATACCAGCATTTTGCTGTCACCTATGTGGCAAGTGTTTCCTCCAATTGTTTGTTTTTTAATTTCATTTAAGGAGGTTTCTGTCATATAGAAATTTTTCATGTTTAAGGAGTCAATCCTTTTTCTCTTTAGTATCTAGCTTTGTTGATACACTTCGAAAATCTGGCCGGGTGTGGTGGCTCATGCCTGTCATCCCAGCACTTTGGGAGGCTGAGGCAGGTGGATGGCTTAAGCCCAGGAGTTCAAGACCAGCCTGGCCAACATGGAGAAACCCTGACTCTACAAACAATACAAAAATTAGCCAGTGTAGTGGTGCATGCCTGTAATCCCAGCTACTTGGGAGGCTGAGACGTGAGAATCACTTGAGTCCAGAAGGTGGAGGTTGCAGTGATCTTCCTCAAAATCCGTCTCTAATCTGTTAACAGTTACCTACTTTTTCTAGTACTTTTGTGGTTTTGTTTTCACATTTAATTTTTGATTCTTCATGACTTTGTTGTATTATAAGGTGTGTAATAGGCAGCCAATTTTATTTACAAATAGTTTCTTGTCCCAATCTTTTTCTAAATATTTTAACACTACATTTTCTTTGTCCCAATTCATGTTCATGCTTTGACTTTTGTCTTGCTTCAGGTGTCCCAATTCTTGCACCAATTTTAATTAATGGAGACTTGTACCTTGTAGAAGAAAATTCACCCTCATTATTCTTTTCCTGGCAATTCTTGCACATTTATACTTCTAAATTAGTTCTAGAATCATTTTTGTCAAGTTTCAGAATCACCTTGCTGGAATTTGCTTGGGACTATATATATGTGTATGAATTTGGAGATAATTATAATATTGAGTCCACGCATGCAAAGATGCAATTCACTCTGAAACTATTAAAGTTATTTTTATGTTCCTTACTAGAGTTTAGTAACTTTCTTTACATTGGTTCTAAACACTCATTAAGCTTATGCCTGGGCATTTTGTGTTGTGGGTTTTTAAAAAATTTTTTTAGTGGGATTGTTTTAACCATTGTATTTCCTAACTAGTGTTTACTATATATGAAAGCTATTCGTTTTGCAATGAGTTAGGATAGTAAACTCTCTTGGCCCTAACAATTTCTCAGTATCTCTCAGGTATTTCGGGTGGACAATTTCAATAACTGTAAATGACAACGTTTTTGTCACTTTCCTTCAAATACAGAAACCTTATTTCTTATTTTCACTAATGACATTGGCGAGCACTTTCAGAAACTTGTTAAGACATATTCATAACAGGACATCTTTGTTTTGTCTCCAACTGTAGTGACATGATTCTAGTGGGTTTCAGTAAAAAGCAAGACAGTGACTATTGGTCTGAGATTATGTATATGGTAAAGTTGTCATACTAGATTATGGAAGTCTTCTATTCCAATATTACTAAGTTTTCATCTTTTCGTTTTTTACTGAGGCAAAAATTTACCTGTGAAATGTATAGATCTTACTTGTTATAGCTTGATGAGTTTTGAAAAATACATGCACTCATATAATTCATATTCCTAACAACATCTAGAACATTTCCGTCACCCCAGAAAGTTCTTTTTGTAGTGAATCCCCATCCACAACCTCCCTCTGAGGTAACTACTTCTCAAATTTCTGTCATTATAAACTAAGTTTTGTATTGATGTGTAACTCACATATCAAGTCAAACTTTTAAAATATATGATTCAATAGTACTTATTATATTCAAAGTCATGTCATCACCACTGTCTAATTCCAGAACATGCTCATCCCCATATGTGGAAAGAAACCACATACCCGTTGGCCGTCACTCCTCATTCCTCCCTCCTCCCAGCCCCTGGTGACCACTAATCTACTTTCTGTCTCTATAGATTTGCCTGTTCTTGACATTTCATATAAATGGAAGCAAACAATATGTAGCATTTTGTGTCTGGCTTCCAGTTAACATATTGTTTGTAAAGTCTACTCCTGTTGTGACGTATATCAGTACCTCATTTCTTTTAATGGCTAAAAATATTTCATGGTATGGAAATACCACATTTTGTTGATCCATTCATCAATGGATAGATATTTGGGTTGTTTTCATTTTTTGATCATTATGAATAATTCTCCTACACACTTAGTGTACCACTTTTTGTGTAAATATCTTTTCAGTTCTCTTGAGCATATATGTAGGACTGTTACCGAAACACCAGGGGCTCGGTCTAAGTCCTGTCGCTCGCTGCACAGAAAGCCAGTCACTGAGACAATGATTACCCCCAAGGAGGAAGGCTTTAATTGGATGCTGCATCCAAGGAGATGGGAGATCAGTTTCAAATCCATCTCCCTGACTGACTAAAATTAGGGGTTTATATAGCAGGGAAGAAATGTAACAATGTGTAAGAAAAGAGGAACTGGGGAGGGGCAAGGAAGCAATCATGATGAATGAGGGGTCCAGCATCTCATTGTCAGGATGTGTTGATCTGGTGGGTTTCAGTTCTTTGATACTTTTTTCTTTTTTTGAAACGTCTGAAAGTCATTTTCTGAGGAAGGAGCTCAGATAAAACAAATGTTAGGTTTCAAGCTTTAAGACCAGAAAGGTCCATTTCTATGTTTATCAAAAACAAAAACAACAACAAAACAAACAACAACAACAAAAAACTATGGAACTATTGAGTCAGTTTCAGGACCGTAGGTTAGTTTTTGCCTGTCGTAAGGCTTGATATAAATGGAATTATACCTCTTATTTCCAACTTTTATCTCTCAGCAGTGTTTTTGATATTTATTCAGGTTGTTGCATGTATCAGTAGGTTATTCCTTTCTATTGCTGAGTAGTATTTCATTACAGGAATATATCACAATTTTGTTTATCTGGGCTCCCACGGATGACATTTGGGCTGTTTTCCATTTGGGGCTACTATGAATAAAGCTGCCATGAATATTCTTGCATATCTTTCAGTGAACCAATGTTTTAATTTCCCTTAGGTATTCAGCTAGGAGTTAAACTACTGGATCACAAAATAAGTATATGGTTACCTTTACAAATAAATTAGTGTTTTCCAAGTGATTGTACCATTTTGAATTCCCACCAGTGATGTATTCAAATTCCGATCATGCTACATACTCATTAACATTTAGTATGTCGGTCTTTTAAAATTTGAGCCATTCTAGTGGGTATGTAGTGGTATCTCATTGTCGTTTTAATTGTTAATATTATTTTTCTAAGGACTGGTGATGGTGAGTGTTTTTTCATGTGTTTATGGACCATGCATAGCTCTTCTGTTGTGAATTGTCTGTTCAAGTCTTCTGCACATTTTAGAAATTGTATTGTCCTTTTAGTAGTGAGTTATAGAAGTTCTTTAGGTATTCTAGATGCAATTTTTTTGCCACATATCACACGTCTTCTCCCAGTCTGTGGCTTGTCTGTTCACATTCTTAATGGTGTCATTTGATGAGCAGAAATTTTGTAGATAGCATATAGTTGAATTTTGAGATTTTTTCTCTGTCTGTGCATTATGAATTATGTAATCTATTTACATTTACTATTACTGTTTAGATGCTGATGTTTAAATTTTCCATCTTTTTATTTGTTTATCCCATTTATGTTTTGCTCTTATTTTTATCTGTTTATCCCATCTGTATTTTGCTGTTATTTTTCTCTCTTATTTTCTACTTTCTTTCGGATTAGTAGAGAATTATATAGTAAATCCATTTTATAGAGACAGGGTTTTGCCATGTCACCCAGGCTGGTCTCGAACTCCTGAGCTCAAGCAATCTGCCTGCCTCAGCCTCCCAAAGTGCTGGGATTACAGATGTAAGCCATCACGCCAGGCTGAATTTTATAGTATTTCATTTTATCTCTCCTACTGGCTTTTTATTCTTTTTTGTTGCATTTGTGCGTGTGCGTGTGTGTGCGTGTGTGTGTGTGCGTGTGTGTATCTCTAGAGATTACAATATGCATACGTATAGTTTTCCATGAACGAATATTTTACCACTCAGTATCTAATTTTAACACTTCACAGCAGTATCATTCATTTACCCTGATCTTTTCCTTTGAATAATTATTCATACATTTTTTCTTGTACCTATTACAAAAACCTAATACATTGCTATTGTTTTGCTAAATTATATTTTTTAAAAAAACACAAGAAAACAATGTCCTTTACATTTCCCTACCTAGTCGCCATTTTGGGACCTTTCCCCCATTCCTTTGCAGAGGTTGTCTTTAATTCTTTTGTAGTGACCCCCAAATTTTATTTTCCCTCTTGAAGACCTTCCTTGATCATTGCTTTATCAATTCTGTTAACAAATTCTCTCAACTTTTATTGTTCTGAAAATGTCTTTATTTTCTCTTCACTCTAAAAAAATTATAATTCTTGCCTAATATAGAATTCTAGGTTGTCAGGGTTTTTTTCTTTCTGCACTTTAAAGATGTTGTTCTTTTGCCTTTCAACTTTCATGGTTAATGAGTCAGCAGTCATTCCTTTCTTGCCCTCAATGAAATGCTGCTTTTTTTTTTTTTTGAGATGGTGAGAGGTGACAGCGTGCTGGCAGCCCTCGCTCGCTCTTGGTGCCTCCTCGGCCTCCGTGCCCACTCTGGCCTTGCTCGAGGAGCCCTTCAGCCTGCCACTGCACTGTGGGAGCCCCTTCCTGGGATGGCCGAGGCCGGAGCCGGCTCCCTCAGCTTGCAGGGAGGTGTGGAGGGAAAGGCATGGGCAGGAACCAGGGCTGCGCTGGGCGCTCGCAGGCCAGCTAGAGTTCTGGGTAGGCGTGGGCTTGGCGGGCCGCACTCGGAGCGGCCGGCCGACCCCACCGGCCCGGTGCAGTGAGGGACTTAGCACCCGGGCCAGCAGCTGTGGAGGGTGCCACCGGGTCCCCCAGCAGTGCCGCCCCACCGGCACTGTGCTCGATTTCTTGCCGGCTTTAGCTGCCTCCCCGGGGCAGGGCTCAGGACCAGCAGCCCGCCATGCCTGAGCCTCTACACCCCTGCCCTGGGCTCCTGCATGGCTGGAACCTCCCAGACCAGCACTGCCCCCTACTCCATGGCACCCAGTCCCATCCACCACCCAAGGGCTGAGGAGTGCGGGTGCATGGCTCGGGACTGGCACACAGCTCCACCTGTGGCCCAGTGCAGGATCCACTAGGTGAAGCCAGCTGGGCTCCTGAGTCTAGTGGGGAATTGGAGAAGGTTTATGTCTAGCTAAGGGATTGTAAATACACCAATCAGCACTCTGTATCTAGCTCAAGGTTTGTGAACACACCAATCAGCACCTTGTGTCTAGCTCAGGGTTTGTGGCTGCACCATTTGGCATTCTGTACCTAGCTAATCTGGTGGGGACTTGGAGAATCTTTATGTCTAGCTAAGGGATTGTGAATACACCAATCAGCACCCTGTGGCTAGCTCAAGGTTTGTAAATGCACCAATCAGCACTCTGTGTCTAGCTCAGTGTTTGTAAATACAACCATCAGCACTCTGTGTCTAGCTAATCTAGTGGGGACTTGGAGAACTTTTGTGTCTAGCTCAGGGATTGTAAATGCACCAATCAGCACCCTGTCAAAATGGACCAGTCGGCTCTCTGTAAAACAGACCAATCAGCTCTCTGTATAATGGACCAATCAGCAGGATGTGGGTGGGGCCAGATAAGGGAAGAAAAGCAGGCTGCCCGAGCTAGCAGTGGCAACCCACTTGGGTCCTCTTACACACTGTGGAAGCTTTGTTCTTTCCCTGTTTGCAATAAATCTTGCTGCTGCTTGCTCTTTGGGTCCGCACTGCCTTTGTGAGCTGTAACACTCACTGCGAAGGTCTGCAGCTTCACTCCTGAGCCAGCGAGACCACAAACCCACCAGAAGGAAGAAACTCTGAACACATCCGAACATCAGAAGCAACAAACTCTGGACACACCACCTTTAAGAACTGTAACACTCATCAGTGAGACCAAGAACCCACCAATTCCAGACACAATGGAGTTTCACTCTTGTTGCCAGGCTGGAGTCCAATGGCACTATCTTGGCTCACCGCAACCTTCAAATCCCAGGTTCAAGAGATTCTCCTGCGTGATCCCCCTGAGTAGCTGAGATTACAGGCATGCACCAACATGCCCAGCTAATTTTTGTGTTTTTAGTAGAGACGGGGTTTCACCATGTTGGTCAAGCTGGTCTTGAACTTCTGACCTCAGGTGATCCACGCACCTTGGCCTCCCAAAGTGCTGGGATTACAGGCATGAGCCACCACACCTGGCCAACATGCTGCTTTTCTCTGGCTTCTTTTAAGGTTTTATCTTGTCATTGGTTTTTAGAAATTTGACTATGATATAGGCATAGTTTGAATTTATCTCACTTGGAGTTTGCTGAACTTCTTGTATTTGGGGAATAATATTTTTCATCAAACCAGGAATAGTGCACACCTATATTCCCAGCTACTTAGGAGGCTGAAGCAGAAGGATCTCTTGAGCCCAATAGTTCAAGGCCAGCCTAGGCAACATAGACTCCGTCTCTAAAAACAATATGTATATTTTTTCACCAAAAGTTGAAAAATTTCAGCCCCAAACTCTCTATCTCTTCTTTGAACTCCAATTACATGTATGTAAATCAATTGATATTTTGATGACTCACAGATGACTGAGGCTCTGTTTTAACCTTTTTTCTGTCTGTATTTTGGTTTGTACATTTTATTTATCTTGCCCTATTTTCAAGCTCACTGATCTTTACTTTTGTAGTGTCCAATCTGCTGTTAATCCAATGACATAATTTTTAAATATTTTCAGATATGGCATTTTTAAATTTTAGAGATACCCTTAGGTTTTTAAACAATATTTATTTCTCTGCTGAGGATTTCCAGCTGGTCACTTATTATGTCCATATTTTTCTTTTTTCTTTTCTTTTCTTTTTTTTTTTTTTAAGGTCTTGCTGTGCTACCCAAGCTGGAGTGCAGTGGCACAGTCATGGCTCATTGCAGCCTTGACCTCCTGGGTCAAGAGATCTTTCTGCTCACTCTCATGAGTAGCTGGGACTACAGGCGCATGCCACCATGCCCAGCTAATTTTTTACTTTTAATTTTGTAGAGATGAGGTCTCACTGTGTTGTCCAGGCTGGTCTAAAAACTCTTGACCTCAAGCAATCCTCCTGCCTCAGCCTCATCTTTTTCTTTATATGCTTAACCATAATTTTTTTTATTTCCATAGGTTTTTGGGAACAGGTGGTATTTGGTTACATGAGTAAGTTCTTTAGTGCCGATTTGTGAGATTTTGATGCACCCATCACCTAAGCAGTATATACAGAACCCAATTTGTAGTCTTTTATCCCTCACCTTCTTCCCACCCTTACCCCTGAGTCTGCAAAGTCCATTGTATCGTTCTTATGCCTTTGCATCCTCATAGCTTAGCTCCCATTTCTGAGTGAGAACAAATGATGTTTGGTTCTCCATTCCTCAGTCACTTCACTTAGAATAATAGCCTCCAATTCCATCCAGGTTGCTGCAAATGCCATTAATTTATTCCTTTTTATGGCTGGGTAGTATTTCATCATATATATATGTATACCACAGTTTCTTTATCCACTCATTGATTGATGGGGATTTGGGCTGGTTCCAGATTTTTGCAATTTAAAATTGTGCTGCTATAAACATGCATGTGTAAGTATCTTTTTGGTATGCCCGGTCCTTAACCATAATTTTGATAGCTGCTTCAAAGTCCTTGTCTGCTAATCACAACATCTCATCCTTTCTATTACTTTTCTGCAGGTTTTTGATCACATTTCCCTGCTCCTTTGCATTTCTAGTAATTTTTTATTCTATGCTAAACATTATGGAAACTACACTGTGAAGAATCTGGATTTTTCTGTATGTCTTTAAATAGTTTTGGGTTTGGTTCCTACAGTCAGTTAATCTATAAGCAACTTGATCCTTTAGATCAAGTGGATGGGGAAGGGGGGTCAAACTATCACTTACGGTCAAATTTGGCTCACTACCTGTTTTTGTGAAAGAAATTTTAATTGGGATATATCCACATTCATTTGTTTATGTGTGGTCTGTGGCTGCTTTCACACAACAGTGAAGTTGAATAGTTGTGACAGACGCCATATAGCCTGCAAAGCCTAAAATATTTACTATCTTGCTCTTTACTTTGGTTAGGTCTCTAGTTGCCCTACTCCTAAGGCATGACCTCTCTGGGATCTTAATTACTTAGGACACACACACACACACACACACACACACACACACACTTCACACATTTTGATATGCTATGAATCTGTGTCAGCACCCAAATCTCGTGTAGAATTGTTGGACGTGGGGCCTGGTGGGAGGTGATTGGATCATGGGGGCAGTTTCATATGAATAACTTAGCACCATCCACTTTGTGCTGTTCTCATGATAGTGAGTTCTCACAAGATCTGGTTGTTTAAAAGTGTGTAGCACCTCCCCACTCTCTCTCTTGCTCCTGCTTCTGCCATATGAGAGGGACCTGCTTTCCTTTCGCCTTTTGCCATGATTGTAAGTTTCCTGAGTCCTCCCCAGAAGCTGAGCAGAAGCTGTTATGCTTCCTGTACAGCCTGCAGAACCATGAGCCAGTTAAACCTCTTTTCTTTATAAATCACCCAGTCTCAGGTATTTCTCCATAGCAATGAAAGAACGTACGAACTCACAGTTGTTCTTCTCTGCCTCTTGGGTCCCCCAAATACATAGGGGCCACCTGCTCAGATTTCTGGAGCTCCTTCTATGTACATATTCCTCTTCTCTAGTAACCTGTCCCCAAAATTCCAGCTGCCACACCAGCCCTGAATCCTAATTTTTGCCCCCTCAAATCATAAGGCTTTTGTGCTCTGTTGAGCTTTATCTCTAGGCACCCTGAACCAGAAAGCCAGTGTGGATGTGGGACCCATCTCATGCATTTCTCTTCTCTGGGTCACAGTCCTGTCCTGCCTGTGATCCAACATCTGCGAACAGTCACCTTATCAATGCTGTCCAGTCTTATAGCTGTTTGCAGAACCATGACTAATCCAATGCCTGTTAGTTTGACATGGATGGGCATAGAAATCTTTTGTTTGTTTGTTGGACCAGTGTGGTGGCTTATGCCTGTAATTCCAGCACTTTGGGAGGCCAAGGTGGGAGGATCACGAGATCAGGAGATCGAGACCATCCTGGCTAACACGGTGAAACCCCGTCTCTACTAAAAATACAAAAATTAGCTGGGTATGGTGGTGTGTGCCTGTAGTCCCAGCTACTCGGTGGGAGGCTGAGGCAGGAGAATCACTTGAACCCGGGAAGCGGAGGTTGCAGTGAGCCAAGATCGCGCCACTGCACTCCAGCCTGGGTGACAGAGCAAGACTCTTGTCTCAAGAAAACAAAACAAAACAAAAAACAGTAGATGTTGGCATGGATGCGGTGATCAGGGAACACTTCTACACTGCTGGTGGGAATGTAAACTAGTACAGCCACATGGAAAACAGTGTGGGAATTCCTTAAAGAACTAAAAGTAGAACTACCATTTGATCCAGGAATCCCTACAGCCCTCCTATGATCTTGAAGTCCTACAGCCTTCCCTATTCAGTGTAAAGCTCCCTGGAAGTTACTTTTACATTGTCTCATTTCACTGATTTCTTTTCCCCTCCCAGAAATATTAAATTACTGGCTGATGACATCCTCTTAGCTTTGTGATGGATATTGTCAACTCTATGGCACTTACCTATGTTGTTACAAATTTCATAATCTCCAGGCAATTTTCGACTCTACATGTAATGGAGTTCACAGTAGACCTAATTTTTGCATTTTCAAAATTGGAAACCTGTCATTTTGGAGTCATAAACATTACTGAATTCTAGGGTAGGATTTAGAATTAGTGTTTGGGAAAAAACTTTCTTCTTTTCCGGGGAGGTTCAGTTTGAAGGTTGTTTTAGTTGACAGTGTATAGAAGACCTAGACCTAACCGGCCAGGCGTGGTGGCTCACGCCTGTAATCCTAGCATTTTGGGAGGCTGAGGCGGGTGGATCACCTGAGGTTGGGAGTTCGAGACTAGCCTGACCAACATGGAGAAACCCCGTCTCTACTAAAAATACAAAATTAGCTGGGCATAGTGGCGCATGCCTGTAATCCCAGCTACTCGGGAAGCTGAGGCAGGAGAATCGCTCGAACCCGAGAGGCAGAGGTTGCGGTGAGCCGAGATCACGCCATTGCACTCCAGCCTGGCAACGAGAGTGAAACTCCACCTCAAAAAAAAAAAAAAAAAAGACATAGGCCTACCCATGGTTCTTGGTAGAAGTCCTGGATTAGCAAAGTGATCAAAATGCAGATACTTCATAGTGAGATACTTAGCACTCTATTTGATAATGCATGTGGTATGTTTGAACAGAACTGTGCCCCTGAAGAACTATAAACCTCTTTTCCCATGAAATCTGGATTTACACTAATATTGGTCTGAAAAATGCTTATGAGATGTCTGTGTGTTCTAACCTAAACATTGCTCACAAGAGATTGGAAATTATGGAGTTGACAACCCACTCACCCTTTCATCTAGCAGCCCAAAGGACTGTGATAAGAAATTGCACTGGGTTTAGTATAATACTACCTATATTGAACTCTTAGGGTGCCAGACATGGTATCATTGAAGACAAAATAACTTTGAGTTTGGACAAAGTCCTGTGAACTTCTGGGTTCATCTTGTCTAGGCCATGAGGGCTTGTGACATATTAACGGTGCAGCACAGGTTTTTCCCAGCAAGGGAATAGACGTTTCTTTGTTGATTACACTGAGACAGGAAAGGAGTTTTAGCCTTACACTGGAGGAGAAGTGTCTTCTCCCTCAGGCCAATTTGGGCCTGGAATCAGAGGAAAGAAGTTGTTTGGAGATAACAGGAATCAGAGCAAGTTCAAGTAGGCTGATGGCAAAAGATGAAGCCCTAAGTGAGGTCAAGTCAGGGCTGTGAGTTCAAGCAGAGACACCTGTAGTATTAGTGGGGCAAACAACTTGTCCCAGTTTATCTGGGACTGTCCTGGTTTTAAAATGGAAAACTCCTGGGAACTCCCTTAGTCTGGGGCAAATTGGGATACTTCGTCACCCTAGGTATTATGAATAGTTATTTGGTGCCCTTTGTGTTGTACGACTGATCCCCGCAAGACTTTAGTCTGGTTAGAAGTCTCAGCTCCAAGCCAGGTGCAGTGGCTCACACCTGTAATCCCAGCAGTTTGGGAGGCCAAGGTGGGTGGATCACCTGAGGTCAGGAGTTCAGGACCAGCCTGGCCAACATGGTGAAACCCCGTCTCTACTAAAAATACAAAAATTAGCTGGGCGTGGTGACACACGTCAGTAATCCCAGCTACTCGGGAGGCTGAGTGAGGAGAATCGCTTGAACCTGAGAGACAGAGGTTGCAGTGAGCCGAGATCGCGCCACTGCACTCCAGCCTGAGCGAGACTCCATCTCAAAAAAAAAAAAAGAAGAAGTCTCAGCTTCATTTTAGCTGTGCTTTGGGAATAGAGGGAGGGGACTGCATCGATTTGTAAGGATACGTAGTCTAGGGAAAGCTGTGGCAAGCCGGAGGGGGCCCAACAAGGGACTCTCAGCATCTGGTGCAAGGCAGCTGACTGGGACTGAGTATTAACCAGGGCTGGTTAGGGGAACACATAACGATCTTCAGAGGCCCCAGGAGAAAAACGAAGAGGGGTCTATGGGATAGGATGAAGCCTGGACTTCCTGTGGTACAGAAGGGTAGGGGCTTAGAGTATTCTTTGAGTATTAAACAGAAGTCCTGACCTTGAAGCTGGTGAACTTGGCAACATCTGGGTTACATATACTTCTAGGTGTCTTCCTATACTGTATGGAGAAACACATGCCAACCTCAGAATCGATTTTCCATTCATTTCTTTGTTACCAAATATATAAGTGATATTTTTCATTCCTAATATCAGGGTTCCAATGTAGAATTGCCTATACATCACACTCTTCTTCAGTGGAAGGAGTTGGACAATAGTCTTGAGAATGGACTCAACCACTTCCTAGTTATAGGACCCTAGAAAATTTTCCTAAGTCTTCAAAACAGCATTTTCACAACATCTTCCAGACCTTAGAATTCTCTGAAGAATTACATGAGATACTTTATATCTACCAGGCCGACTTATGACTTCTATGGGCTCCTGGCACTTTGCCTGTGTGGATCCCTTCCTCCATAAAAAAGTATTAAGGTACAAATACCATCCGAGCAGGATTCATTATTATATTCATTATTATTATATTCATGATCATTTAGTATATTAATTTTAAATTTTATTTTATGTTATGTCATTTATTATTACTCTTGTTATTATTTTGACACAGGGTCTTGCTCCGTTGCCCAGACTGAAGAGCAGTGGCTCATTCTTGGCTCACTGTAGCCTCAACTTTCCAGGGCTCAAGCGATCCTCCCACCTCACCCTCCAAAGTAGCTGGGACTACAGGCACATGCCACCACGCCCGGCTAATTTTTTTATTTTTCGTAGAAACGTGGTTTAATCCGTTGTCCAGGACGGTCTTGAATTCCTGGGTGCAAGTGGTCCTCCCACATCAACCTCCCAAAATGCTGGGATTACCGGCATGAACCGCCATGCCTGGCCTAATTTTTAATTTTACATATTGTGATATGTTAGTACATTTTATTATTATTTTCCGGTTTTTTTTTCTGATTTGAGAAACATTAAAATTAAGACTTTTTGTGAGCTCAGTCACTGTGCCTCCTGTGTCTTATGTCTTCCCTGATATCCAGCACCTGGGACAGGGTGAGCACGTAGTAGGTGCTGCACGCAGTTTTTATTCTCTTTCTCTTTCATCCACATCTAAAGCAACATTTTCAAAAACTCCAAGTGGCAAATTAAAATTTAAAAAATAAAGTCAAAAGAAAATGTTCTCCAAGCCAGTGGATATCTGTAACAGCAGGTTTCACTTATAGTGAATATCACTTTACTGCTTTTAACAAACTTCAAAGAAAATGTTGTAAGGCCATTCATTCTACATGTCTGTTTCACATCAGTCACAATTATATTCCAGCTTCACTTCTCTCCCCTTGTTATACCTCATAAATCGTGTAACCAGAATGTATGTGTAGTATATGGATTACATTAGGAATTGTCAGAAGTAGCCTGATAGTCAGCATCGGCAGTGGCCCTCCCACCCCTGGCAAATCCCTGGGAAGGTATGTTAATACCCGCACCCGCAGTCATTAGAAGAACCGCAGCTCAGGGGAAGGGACCCATTTCCTTAACAGTCTCTCTAGAGAATTGAAATTGCCATTGCAACATTTAAACCATCGTGCCACAGCTCTCCAACAGATATATTCATTGACCTGTTGAGTGGTCATACAAAAATAAAAACAAAAATCAGATTTGCAGTGGAAATGAAACCTCGTGTGTGGTACGCAGGGAACATGCAGGTTTCCAGAGCTGGTTAGTTGAGCCCCCGAGATGCTGTTTTGGCAGTGCAGGGTAACATTCTGTTGTCCTAGAAATCCTCTCTACCAGTGCCTCGCAAAGAAGGAAATGTCTCTGGATTTCCAAATTTCACTGCTGTCTGCTTTTTCATTCATGGCAAAGACTCCTGGATGACAGCAGCCACCCTTCTCATAAGGAAATGACAGAGATGAGACGGCAACCTGGGGCCCCTCTAGCAATCATCTGGACAGGGCAGAGCGCTTTACCTCCCCTCAAACCCTCCCCGCTCCCTGCTTTGATACTTTCTCCCCACACAGTAAAGATCCAAGGAAGTTGCCCATCAATGGCAAGCACATTTTTCCGTTTGAAAGATGCAGTAAAAAGAAGTTATATAGTCAAAGAATACAGATTCCTTGTTCTAAATGAAAGAGCTTAATAGATTTATATTTATCACTCCCGTTACATTTATAAGATCATTGAAATTCAAGACCTTCTCATTTATCTGGCAACGGTTGAGAGCGAGCTGCTTCCCACATGTGGCTTTTTCTGATAACCCACACTTTATACCCTTTGAAGCACCAGCACTTGTTAAAATGGAATCTTTTTTTTTTTTTGATAGAAAAAATTTTCAAAATGTCACACATGTTTCCCAGCCTTTTAAAACAGATTTTCGTGAAGCGTAATTTAGCATCCTCTGGCTTTCTAAGAATGCATGTGGAGGTGTGATGGTGAAAGAACTCTAGAATCAGACAGATGGGTTCATATGAAACTCTGACACTGCCATGTTGGTCATGAGACCTTGAGCAGTTTCAAATCTCTGGGTGCTGCCGTGTTCCCATCCATAGAGATGGATGAAACTCTGAGACATGCTGGGAGGCTGAGTGACCTGCTACATATTGCAAGTGTTTAATGTGATACTGGGGAAATATTAACCATTTAAAAAAAAAGAGGGTAAGGCCAGGCCAGGCATGGTGGCTCACGTCTATAATCTCAGTATTTTGGGAGGCCGAGGTGGGAGAATCATTTGAGCCCAGAAGTTTGAGACCGGCCTAAGCAACATAGTGAGACTTCATTTGTACAAAAAAATTAAAAAATCAGCCAGGCGTGGTGGTGCATGCCCATACTCCCAGCTACTCAGAAGACTAAAGTGAGAGGATCGTTTGAACCCAGGAAGTTGAGACTGCAGTGAGCTGTGATTTTACCACTGCACTCCAGCCTGGGTGACAGAGTGAGACTCTATCCCTTAAAAGAAAGAGAGAAAGAGTGTAGTAGAAAATAAATGTGTAATGAAATAAATAAAATTAATAAGCAAAACCAACATGTTATAAATAATAAACTGATGAGCACTGCTATGATCTAAAGATGCCTTCAGACTTTTTAATAGGCACGGTTAACTTCACCTATTCTAAATGTTCTCAGCTCAAAATGCCATTTGAGTTTCTTACCTTTTTTTCAAGTTTTTGTTTTAACTTTTTTTTTTTTTTTTTTTTGGAGATAGAATTTCGCTCTTGTTGCCCAGGCTGGAGTACAATGGCGTGATCTTGGCTCACTGCACTCTCTGCCCCCCAGGTTCAAGCAATTCTCCTGACTCAGCCTCCCAAGTAGCTGGGATTACAGGTGCCTGCCACCACACCCAGCTAATTTTTGTATTTTTTAGTACAGATGGGGTTTCACCACGTTAGCCAGGCTGGTCTCGGACTCCTGACTTCAGGTGATCCACCTGCCTCAGCCTCTCAAAGTGCTGGAATTACAAGCGTGAGCCACCGCTCCCACCTAACTTTTGTTTTTACAATCCACGGATCTCCCTTCTCCCTGGGTTCAGTGTCTACCTCTGGCCATAGCTCCTCTAGTATTTTCTTTCTAACATCCTGTGAGATGAGAAACCACATACGCCAGTTGGCTAGAAGCATTTTTCAGTAAGAGTAAGTGTGTTCTAAGGCATGGCTTTGGGTAATTTTTTTTTCCTGAGAGGAGGGGAAGTATGACTTTTAGTACATGGTATTTGTCAAGATGGGCCAGGTTTTGCTGCAAGAAAAAAACCTCCAAAGTCTCAGGTGGCTTCACAGAGTAAAAGTTTATGTCTCATTTATTTTGTGTGTCCACTTGGGTTGCGGAAGGGCTCTATTTAGCATGGTTGCTCAGGTACACAGGCTGACAGAGCCTCCATCTCAATCCATGCTTCCACAGTCCCCACAGCAGGGGAAGGGAACTTGGTAAATTGCCTAGGAGGTCTTAAAACTTCTGCAGGAAATCACATATGTCTTCATGCTGACATTTCATTGGCTACCACAAATGACATGACCACACTTCTAGAGGGCAGATAGGTACAATTCTATCATGGGCTGGCAATGGGGGTTGGGGAGAACTGGGTAATCTCACATATGGCTCTGGTTTATATATTTTAGCTAATAATAATCCCAGTTTATATTTACTGAGTGCTTTTATTCCATGCCATCTACTGCACTAGGTGCTTTTCAGGCACAGGTACTTTCCCTGTTTTTATATATGAGAAAATTAACATGCAAACAAGTTAAGGCACTTGTCCATAGTCATACACAGAGTAATAACATGGGTAAACTGATACTCAAACTGGGTCTGTCTGACACCAAAGCACATGTTCTTAACCAATGTTTTCTGAATCTCAAATATGTTCTAGACCACTGAGGTTGATAAATAACCTTGAAATAAGTGACTCATGTTATTGTTGTGTTTGTGAAATTTATCCATGGAAGGATGGTCAAAATTTCCTTTGTTCATGTTCTTTTCTTCATTGCCTTTCCCCTAGTGGGATGGCTTTCAATTTAACAAGTATACTCTGAGCACTGACTATGTACTTATCTGTGAAACATGCCAGGAGTGATTCCTGGGCAGGATATAATCAACGCCACAGTTCTTGATTTCTTAGAGTCTATAATCTTTCAAAGAAATGATACCGAATAAAAGTAAATACTTTAAGATGAAATGTAAAATATAAGGTAGTTTGTAAGAGAGTTAAACAGAATAGTACGATGCATTGTGTGCTACACACAACTCTACTTGCTGTTGTCAATGTCAGGGAATAGAAAGAAGGGCTTGAAAAACGAAGAGAATTTAGACAACAAAGGTGTGCATCCTAAAATAAGCAGAGGGCGTATGAAAAATGAGGAGACTGGCTTGACGAGGGCGAAAACTGTGTGTTGGGAGGAAGGGAGGGAACTAAGCTGGCTGGAAAACATAGAGCCAGGTTACAAAGAAACTTGAATACCGGTGGAAGGCTTGGCCATGTCCCCTGCCTTGTCCCCTAGGCAGAGAGAAAGGGGATACAAGGCATATGATATTTCTCTTTTCCTATAATGTTTTAAACATTTTAAATTTTTCAAATAAAGTTGAAGTTTACTTTGCCTCCTCATCCATTCCTGGTCACAGTCACCTCTCCTCTCTCCTAAGAGGAAATTACCATCATGATTTGGTGGGTAATATTCCTGTTCACATTTTAATATTTTCCCCCACAGGTATGCAAGTTATGAATTCTACTTCCATCCTTTTACCCCTAAATCCATGACTACCCATAAATTAATATTCCCACATCTAAATTAAAGTCTAGAATTAATATTGCTTACTTCCTTCTAAATAATACACACTTTAACTCTCATCTGCCCTCCAATCTTCCATGATTTTGTTGTTTAGAAATTTACTTCTACCTTAGTTTTAAACACTCACAAAAAGCCATTTTAATTATACTGTTGAGAGTTTATTTAGATTTACCAACACATTTATCCACTTTTAAAGGTTTCTTGCATCCCTCTTCTGTTCATGGTAATCTTTTTTCTTGCCAAAGTAATCTTGATATAGATATGTATATATATGCCAAAGTACTACTTGAAGACCAGGCGCAGTGTCTCATGCCTGTAATCCCAGCACTTTGGGAGGCCGAAGCGAGTGGATCACTTGAGGTCAGGAGATTGAGACCAGCCTGGCCAACATGATGAAACTCCGTCTCTACTAAAAATACAAAAATTAGCCAGGGGTAGTATTGCATGCCTGTAATCCCAGCTACTCGGGAGGCTGAGGCAGGAGAATCACTTGAACTCGGGAGGCGGAGGTTGCAGTGAACCAAGATTGCACCACTACATTCCAGCCTGGGCAGTAGAGTGAGAGTCTATCTCAAAAATAAATAAATAAATAAATAAATAAAATACTATTTGAAAAAGTAGCCTTTTGATGTCTGAAATTGACTTTATTTTATTTTCACCCTGGAATATAGTTGAATATAGATATGAGAGAACACATGTCTTGGATAGTGAAAATTATTGATTATTATCTCTTTGCTTCTTATCCTGTCATTTTTTCTGTTTTGCAACTCTTAATCAACATATGTAAGACTATCTCATTTGATTAACTTTTGTATTTTCCATCTCTTTCTTTCTCTCTTTTGCTGTATTTTGGATAATTTCCTCAGATCTGTCTTTCCATTTACTTATTCGCTTATCGACCACATCTGTTTTACAGTTCAACTCGTCTATTGAGGTTTTTATTTCAATTACTCTTTTTTTCATTTTTAGAATGTTTTCCTCCAATCTGCCTGTTGTTTTTAAATTTATGTTATTCTTAGTTTATGATTGGTGTTCTTTTTTTATGTTTTGAAATGCTTTAAGTCTATTTATTTTAAAGTCCTTTTTAGATTGTTATTCTGTTACTCCCAGCTCTTGAGATGCAAATTCTCGCATTTGTTTCATCTGTTGGCTCTGCTTCACTGTGTCTTGCTTCTTTATGTGGCTTCTTTCCTTATTTCCTTTCTGTAAACTCATCCTTATGAAGATGAAAGTGAAAGAGGGGCCCATGACAGTTTCATGTGCTCTACAGCATCTTTGTGAGGTGCCTTTGAATTTACTGATTCTGGACAAGATTTTAAAATAATTTCTTAGTTTTGGGTCCGGGTACATAAGTAACAAGAACTCAGATCTTACTCATGACACAAATTCATTTCTTTTGAGTGATGCCTGTTACTCTCATGGCCCTGAAAAACTACAAGCTTCCCTGCTATTCCCCTAGGCTAGTGGGTGGTTTCTTTAGTTCCCAATTCAGAGGACATTAGTCAGCTCTTCAGAAATCCTGGCTTTATGCAGGTAGCCTGGCCCCTCCTCCTGATTCTCTGGGGCTCAGGCCTATAGGATCCTGTTCACCGGGCCTCTAAAGTTTCAGCTGTTAAGGTCTCACTCCTATCCTGGTTCACATGTAAGTATTTGTATTTTACCTCCCTCTGATCACTCTAACTTTGGGCATCCTCTTTGCATCTGGCACTTGAGGCTTTTCCTTTCTTGGTTTTCAGTTTGAGACTGTATTAAAAATGGTGGAGAGGGTATTTTTACCAAAATTTATATATGTGTGAAGTGGGAGGGTTGGTTGGTTTGTTTTAATCAGCTCAGATTAGCACTGTTGAACTGCAGCTATGGAAAAAATACTTTAAATGAAAAACTACACAGGACTTGGCAATTAATCACACACAACTTACTTAGTTTGCATTCCCCCTCCCCATCCTCTTGCTGTCTACTTCCCAAAAGGAGATTTTGAGACAAGGACTTGAGAGTAAGTTGTTAACATTGAAGATGGGGATGGGTGTGGTGGCTCACGCCTGCAATCCCAGCACTTTGGGAGGCCGAGGGGGGCGGATCTTGAGGTCAGGAGATTGAGACCACCCTGGCTAACACGGTGAAACCCTGTCTCTACTAAAAATACAAAAAAAATTAGCCAGGCATGGTGGCAGGCGCCTGTAGACCCAGCTACTTGGGAGGCTGAGGCAGGAGAATGGTGTGAACCCACGAGGCGGAGCTTGCAGTGAGCCGAGATTGCGCCACTGCACTCCAGCCTGGGCAACAGAGCAAGACTCCATCTCAAAAAAAAAAAAAAAAAAGTTAGACAGGGAAGGGAAAATGGCCAATAAAGGGTGTTATCAATCCAGTTACTATTCTAGAAACTGGAACATAATTACCCTGGAGAAACCCTGGGTGTTCAGTTATCCTACTCAAGGGGTGAGGAAGCTATTATATTGATATTAACTACTGTATGTCACTGGTGGAAGGTGCTTCCAGTGGGTAACCCACCAACATTTCCAACCTGTCATGTAGATGGGTTTAGTTATATACCAATGTGTAACATACTATCCCAAAATTTAGTGGCTTAATATGACAATAAATATTTATTATTTCATACAGTTTGCAAGGGTGAAGAAATTTGGAATAGCTTAGCTGGTGAGTTCTGGCTTGAGGTTCCTCATGAGGTTGCATTTAAGAAATGGGCAGGGATTTAGTAATCTGAAGGTTTGACTGAGGCTGGAGGACCTGCTTCTAGGGTGGTTCACTTGCACAGCTGGCTGGTCAGTGCTGGCTGTTGGTTGGAGGCCTCAGTTCCTCACCATATCAACTTCTCCATTTGACTGCTTGAGTGTCCCCACAACAAGGCATATGCTGACCCCAAAATGAGTGATCCAAGAGAGACCATGAGACCACAGGGCCTTTTATGGCCTAGTCTTGAAAGTCACACTGTCATTTCCACCACATTCTATTTGATAGAAGCGAGTCAAGTCATAAAGTTTGGCCCACGTTCAAGAAAAGGGGAGGGAGGAGTATTAAAAAATGTGTGAATCTATTTTTAAGCCATCAGAGCAGACAAATCAGGCTTTGGCAATCAGAGTGAGTTCTCAGGCAAAGAAACACAGGTACATTTGGAATTCAGGTAGGCTAAAGTAGCAAGGAGGAGGGAGGATGGGTGGGGCACCAAGAGTGTCCTCTCCAGGAATAAATAAAGATAAGTCCAACCCACTTTTAAGGTGTAGGGAAATAGACTTGATCGTTTCATGGGAGGAGCTGCAAAGTGACACGCTAAAGGACATCAGGATATGAGTGAAGATCTGGGCCATCTTCAGAATCAATGTACTGCAACCACTAAGAAAGAAAAAAACTTCCAGTTAGATTATGATACTCCATAGATTGTAAGATGTATCTCAGTTTCAGGCCAGGTGGAGTGGCTTATGCATGTAATCCCAGGACTTTGGAAGGCTGAGGCAGGCGGATCACTTGAGGTCAGGAGTTCGAGACCAGCCAGGCCAACATGGTGAAACCCGGTCTCTACTAAAAATACAAAAATTAGCTGGGTGTGGTGGTAAGTGCCTGTAATTTCAGCTACTTGGGAGGCTGAGGCAGGAGAATGGCTTAAACCCAGGAGGCAGAGGTTGCAGTGAGTTGAGAGCATGCCACTGCACTCCAGCCTGGGTGACAAGAGCGAAACTCCATCTCAAAAAAAAAAAAAAAAAAAAAAAAAAGATGTATCTCAGTTTCAGACATACTAATATGAAAAAAGTATATCTTAGAATCAACAAATATAGTAGTTGTACAAAGAATTTCAGAATTATATATATACGGTAGCTGCAGAAACAAACACCTCTAACTTTTGTTTTCCATCTTACATAGATTTCATTAAGAATTAAGCATAGACAGTAGGATGATGATGGTATGGAGATTTAGATTTTAGCCCTTACCAGGCCATATCCTAGAAGTTGAATAAGTCATTTAATCTCTCTGGGTCTCAATTTTCACATCTGCAAAATGGAGATAAGGTACCGCCTTGACTTTCCCACAGATCAATAAAAAACAAATGCAAAATAGCTTTAAAAATTAAGATGTCATTGAGATATAAGGTGCCATCAGTGTGCAGAAGCAGCTATAAAACTCACAGATAGTGTGAAAGAAAATGAACGTTTTTGTTCCCTCGGAAGCTCAAGAAAGACAAAATTCCTGATTCCTTATGGTGCTAATCATACTGGACTGATTCCCACATTTTATTTATTTATTTATTTATTTAATTTTTTTTTTTTTAGATGGAGTCTCACTTACTCTGTCACCCAGGCTAGAGTGCGGTGGTACAATCTCTGCTCACTGCAACCTTTGCTTCCTGGGTTCAAGCGATTCCCCTAACTCAGCCTCCCAAGTAGCTGGGATTACTGTTGTGCACCACCACACCCAGTTAATTTTTGTATTTTTAGTAGAGACAGGGTTTCACCATGTTGGCCAGGCTGGTCTGGAACTCCTGACCTCGGGTGATCTGCCCACCTCAGCCTCCGAAAGTGCTGGGATTACAGGTGCGAGCCACAACGCCCAGCCTGACTCCCACATTTTAAAGAAATATCTTTGTTTAAAGATCAAATTTTTAGAAATGGAAGAAGGCAGGGGGGACTTGAATGTGATCCTACACAAACAGATCTTGCACGTCAATGAAGATAAAAAACAATTGGTCATTTTCCAGCTGGTGCAATAAACCCGGGCATAGGAGAACCATAAGCCTCATTGGCTGAGCTAGCAAATCTAGGTATTGTTCACACATGGCCGTTTCCTAGTGGTGTCTGCCCGAGCCCAAATAGAGACAGAACTTGCGGCTTTCAGTCAGAAAAACCCAGCTGCCACTTGGGCTGCTGAAAGCTCCCAGTATAAAGAAATGACACACACCTGAGCAGGTCTGATATATATTCCTTTCTGCAGAGGGCAGTGGAATACATTCCTGGGCCATTCATCATGTTGCTAAAATTAGATCCTGCTTAGAAGGAATGATATATTACTGATTACATAATAAAGATAGCTATATTTCTCATGAGAAACAGAAGGGAGAGATATATTTAGGCATAGGGCAAATATATCCTTGATATGAAAAATGGATTCATTAAGTATTTAATCTTTATACCATTCCTGTGAAATAAATGCACACATACATCACACATGTTTTAAAGTGACTTGATAATTAATATTGTTACACTTGAGAAAAATCCTGGCTCTCCATGGAGAAGTCATGTCATGAGTCAGAAGAGTGCAGGCTGAGGCATGCCCTCCACTGAATGGCTTGTCTGCACTCTGAAAGCCAAGTGAACCAACCATTCCATCCGTATGAAGAGCGTAAGTCCTAGATTTGCGTCGTGATGTCATCTCAGGTGGGTGAGGCCCAGAGGGAGTCACTGTGGCTTTTCTGAAGTAGTACATTTCAAAGAGTCCATGGTGATGACGGCTGAAAATATCCTATCTACAAGAGACAGCTTTCATTCTCCTTTGTCTGTAAAAAAAAAAAAAAAAAAAAAAAAAGCAAACAGAAAAAAGAAAACATCAGTTGCCTTACATCTCATTCTAGTTCTCTGCAACATCCTTACCATACAGGAAAAATCTCACATTTTAAAAAACTTGTAGCCATGGTGGAGGCATTTCCAGATATCCTGTGATGATATTCCCACTTAAAACAAACATGAGGGTGTTTGGTTGAAGTTTAAACAAACACACAGATTTGTAGCACCTCATGTGTCAAAGGTCAGCAAAAACAAATCTGGGTGAAACGAAAGAGCGAAATAATTCTAAGAACAATAGCTATGAAGAGTAGATTGATCTAACTCAAATTTATCCTAAAAGGATTACAGTTAGGAGGAAAATGCTAACAAGTTATAAAAGATTAAAAGCTCATTACTTGTATGTTTATGTTACAGGAAAATAGCATAGGCTCTGAAGTTAGATGGGCTTGAGTTCTAGTCCTGGATCTGACATATACTAAATTTGTGAGTTTTAAGCAAGTAATTTAACCTCTTGTGAGCTCTTTTCCTCAACTGTAATATAAAAATCAAATTGCTCTGACCATACTGTCCTAAATGTTGATGGCGTGTATGGTATCTAGCACAGTGCCCGATATAGAGCAAGAAGTCAACAAACATCTGCTGCCTTCCATTCTCCATCCCCTGGAGTCCATCCACTTAGATGAGTCTAGGAAGGTAGTGGCAGAAACCTTTTCCAGCACTCAGTGATATCATCATCGTCATCATTATCATCACAATGCTTCTCTCTACCGGGCTGTCAGTTAAAATTCTAGAGTGAACAGGAACACATTCATGGACAAAGTCCTCAAAGTAGTCAGAGTAGGCTAGGCTCTGCTGCCATAGAAACAACCTCCAATGCTCAGTGGCTTAATACAATAAAGGTTTACGTCTCTTTCATGCTACATGTCCATTGCGAGTTAGCAGGTACCTGTGCTCACTTTAGTCACTCAGGGACCCAAGGTTCTGCCCTCTTTTGATGCCACCATCTCAACATGAGGTTTACACTGGACTGTGGGAAGAAAAGAGCATCAAAATAGAGCAGTGGCTTTTCATTGCTTCCATGAGGAAGTGCTATATGACACTTCTGCTTACATTTCAAAGGGTCAGAGATGTCAATCCACCCAGGTCCCTAGAGAAGAGGCGACTCAGAGAATTGAGGCTCCTGTGGAGTAGCAAAATGATGACTAGAATGCACCAGTACACCCAAGTCCAGGGAGGCTTCCAGTAACCCCAACTGCAGGTGCTGTAACCCTGACTCCCCGGCTTCCCTTCCTGGGAGGATGCTGCTTTGCATGTGACCCACCAATCTCAGCCAGGATCTAATCCAGGCCCATTCTCTCCCCTGGTTCAGGCTTGTGAGTGGCTTTCTGAAGTTTTGATTATTAACCTTTCTAAATAATTCCTATACTCTTCTCAAGTCACATCTAAGTTGTCAAACTTGCAGATGCTTCATGGCAACATGATTGTTATTTTGTCACCAGATGCACCTTACTGTCACCTCAGATCAAATTAGACTCCCTATGTAGCTGATGTTGCTACAATTTTTGCTTCTTTCCCAGAAATAATCAGTATCTCCCTTATTTGCCAGTGGTTGACTGATTGCTTTATTGGCCCTTATTTTTCACCCCTCCCTTGTATTCAGGACCCTTGACATGCATTTTGCATGACCTCTTGCTAAAGAGGTGGAGTTTATTTCTCTATGAATAAGAAAAGTGGCTAAAAGCTTTATGGAAGGGCCCATGTTCAAGGAGATTGACCTGTCAGGGGGTTTGACAGCAGTAGGAGTTTCCAGGGTGGGAAGACTCAAGAAGGAGACTCCACTGTGATCCTGTGTGGTTCAATCTGATGGAAGCGGGACCCCAGCTGGTGGTTCTGGATATGAGGAACAAGGTCTTGATTCTGCAAAGAAGAGGTTACAGTAGCTAAGTCAGAGTGGCCAGGCACTGAACAAGCAGGCTGAGATTTGGTCCGAGGGTCCAGGAGGGCATCCAAAAAACAAACAGAAAATCTAGACAGGAGACCAGCAATCCTGTGGGGCCTGAGAAGACGGTGCCCTGCTGGCACTGCCAGGCTCATCAGACACCATATTGAAATAGGAAGTCTCATTCCAAAAACCACCGACAGTGGGAAGGGGGATCCTGAGCTTTTTCTAAGTTCAGAGCTGGATGAGAGTCAGGTCCTCTAACTTGGAGGGCCACGGAAAGCATGCACCCCTCCCCCAACAAGATTCTGACTCAATTGGCCCTGGTTAGTAGAATGTATTAGGTTGCCACAAAGGTAATTGTGGTTTTGCCATTACTTTTAATGGCAAAAACTGCAATGACATTGCTCCACCCTATATTATTATTATTAACAATATGCTGCCTGTATTGAAAAGCACTTAACCAGTTGGCTGGACCCCAAGCCTTCCTCCTGGTACAGGCCTCAACACTGATCTTTCTAAACCACAGTTTAATTAGGCACCCTAATTGCCATTTCTAAAGAAAAAAAATTAATGATGAAAATAACTGTTTTAATCTGCGGATTAACGCGCACAGTCATTGAAAATCTATAAATTGACCAACAGAAGCCCTTGCCACGACACTTGCTGTATGTCCTTTTTTTAAGACAAGGTCTTGCTGTGTTGCCCAGGCTGGGGTGCAGTGGTGCCATCACAACTCACTGCAGCCTCGACCTCCCAGGCTAAAGTGATCCTCCCACCTCAGCCTCCAGAATCTTGAAACTACAGGCATGTGACACCACACTTGGCTATTTTTTGTTTATTATTTGTAGGGTCTCCTTGTATTGCCTAGGCTTGTCTTGAACTCCTGGGCTCAAGCTATCCTCCCTCCTACAGCCTCTCAAAATGCTAGGATTACAGGCCTGCGCCACCGCGCCCAGCCCTCTAGCCATGTTTTACATGTCCCCCACAGTCAAGAGCTGATGCCTTGCAAAGACAGGGAGTACATTGTAAAACTTCAGAGCAATTTACCTTAAAGAGATTCTTAAAAATATTCATTTTATTTTTTTTAATTTATTTATTTTTGAGACAGAGTCTTGCTCTGTCATCCAGGCTGGAGTGCAGTGGTGCAATCTCAGCTTACTGAAACCTCTGCCTCTGAGGTTCAAGGGATTCTTGTGCCTCAGACTCCTGAGTAGCTGGGATTACAGGTATACACCACCAAGCTAGGCTTATTTTTGTATTTTTAGTAGAGATGGGGTTTTGCCATGTCGGCCAGGCTGGTATCGAACTCTTGACCTCAAGTGATCCACCCACCTCGGCCTCCCAAAGTGCTAGGATTATAGGTATGAGCCACCACACCTGGCCTAAAATGTTCATTTTAAAGAAGAATATAGCAACTTAAAAATGACAAAATATTAGCTTACCTATCTGTATTTATTCATTCGCACCAAACCCAAGGACTCTAGCATTCTTTTTTTGAGACAGAGCCTTGCTGGGCTGGAGTGCAGTGGCGTGATCTCGGCTCACTGCAGCCTCTATCTCCCGGGTTCAAGTGATTCCCCTGCCTCCGCCTCCTGAGTACCTGGGACTACAGGCATGCACCACCAAGCCCAGCTAACTTTTGTATTTTTAGTAGAGATGGGGTTTCACCATGTTGGCCAGGCTGGTCTTGAACTCCTGACCTCAGGTGATCCACCCACCCTGGCCTCCCAAAGTACTGGGATTACAGGCATGAGCCACTGCACCCAGCCTGGACTCTAGCATTCTTAACATAGAATATTGCATGCTAAGGAAGAAATAAGAAAATGCTAGGATACATTGCAATGTGGGGTTCTTTTGAATCTGGGGTCAGGGCAGGCTTTGCAGAGACAGTGCCTGTTGATTTCAGGACTAGATGAAAAGCAGGAACCAGCCTGGTGACCAACTGGGGAAAAGGTTCGCAGGTAAAGGGACCCAGCATTCCGCAGAGAACTCATGCTCAATGATCAGTGAAGAAAGTAGTTTGGCGACTTCAGGTGATGCTCACAGCAGTTCATTATAGCTGTGAAGCACCCCAGCCACCTGAAGAGAAGGAAGTAAATAACACACACACACACACAAAATGAAGAACAGGAGTTAAATTTATTTTTAAAGCACCACGAATAAGCATAGCCGGCATTACAGACAGTATTCTGGGGACAATATTATGTTCTCTCGCATAACGTTTCTAAAGAACAGAGAGGCGCATGGCCCCAGTCAGTTTTCCCTGTGAGTGATACAAAATAATCTTTTATTAATATTATTTTCGATTTGTTACCATTGTACGTAATCTCAGAAGACCAAGCAGAGAACACATTATATAAATCAAAGGAATAAATGAATATGAAAGAAAAGACAATTATAAGCCCGAGTAAAAATTTCTGCCCATTCTGTTACACTATAAAGCATTTTGTAAATCTAAATATCATACGTGAATGTTGAATAAATATATAAATATGATCTTCCTCTGGGTTTTTAAAAATAAGAATCTCAGTAGGCAAAGAGTTATCATTTCATATTTAAAAGTTCTCTCAGGCCTGTGTTTTCCAGCCTCAACAGTTACCGCAGGGAAGCCCGTATCTAGTAGAGACAATGAGGGTGGCAGTTGAGAGCTCTGGGTTTTGGACTGGAGGCAGATGGAACTAGGTTGAGTCCGTACCTTGCCATTTGGTTGTGTGACCTTGGACAAGGTACATAATCTATCCAAGCCCTCGTTTTGAAATGTCTAAAATGGGGTGGTTCTTCCCATTTCAAATTGTTGTTGTTGGAACAAAATAAGAATTAGTTAGAGTGTGGAACGGCGGCTGTGACATCCCTGTGGTTATCACGACCAACATTATTTCATCAGAGGGCATGGGTGTGTTTGAGGGCCTCACACTGGTACACTTGGAGATGCACAAAACAGCCATGGGACAGAATAAGGCTGTGGCATGGTGGTTGCTTCAGATGGGAAGACTTGGAATGGACAGCAACTCTTCTACAGCCTTACCAATCAATCCTGGCGGCAATTAAGAATTAAAGGCCTGGCACGGTGGCTCACGCCTGTAACCCCAGCACTTTGGGAGGCTGAGGCAAGCAAATAC
Source organism: Homo sapiens (assembly GCF_000001405.40). Classification (NCBI taxonomy): domain Eukaryota; kingdom Metazoa; phylum Chordata; class Mammalia; order Primates; family Hominidae; genus Homo; species Homo sapiens. Next base: position 54,852,642 of record NC_000016.10, read on the forward strand.
TTTGAGCTCAGGAGCTCAAGACCAGCCTGGGCAACATGGTGAAACCCTCTCTCTACCAAAAATACAAAAAATTAGCCAGGTGTCGTGGTGCGTGCCTGAGTCCCTACTACTCGGGATTGCTTGGGCCTGGGAGGTGGAGGCTGCAGTGAGCCAAGATTGAGCCACTGCACTCCAGCCTGATCGACAGAGAGAGACCCTGTCTCAAAAAAAAAAAAAAAAAAAGAATTCAGGAAGTTGGAGATCAGTCTGTTGCCCATTGGTTGTTGTTGCATTTCACCTAGTGAGTTTGGCTTTCAACTCTTTATTAAGGAATTTGACGATAATCTTAAAAAATTGTTTCTGGAGAATTCTTCCTGAAACAAATTGTCACCTGGAAACTCATAAAGGATAAATACCAAGCCAGACAAATAGGAAACAAACTATATAATAATTATTCACTTGTAAGAACTGCAGAGATTAATGTTATTCATGATGGAGAAAGATATTCTGCTTTAGGTATATTTTGTATCCCACTAGCCGGGGTAATCAACATATTCTCCCCCCTTCCATTCAAAACAAAGTTTGATTAATGCATTAATTAGATATAGTAGGATTTATTCTAGGTTAACAGCTTGGAATATAAGTTAAGAGAGATGAAGAGGAATCCATAATCAGCAATCATCCCTCAATAACTCATCTGCTGTTGAGATTATATCTTCTAGGTGCCACTGCTATCTGTTCTGAGGTTCACTCTGTTCAGCAGCCTTGGACTCTTCATGGAGTAACAGATTGGTATAACTACAGCCTTGAGCCTCACTTGAACCACCACAGCCTCTTCTGAACAGCCAGCAGTCCTTGAAGTCTCAGAGTCTTTTAACCAAAGGGTGTGGATGTTTCCTTATTGATATCATCAAAGATCTAGTGTATCAAGATGACAAACTTTGCTCCCTGTTGGGCCAAAAAGAGACATAAAATTTAAAACAACAACAACAAAACAAAACAAACAAAACAACAACGATAAAAAACAGCCCTCTTCTTTTAGCAACTGTAGTTGAGTACAAAATTACCTTATAAATCACAAATTTTTGAGGGTCTAGCATGTACACACACACACTCACTAATGAAAATAGGCAGATTCCATAGAACAAACAGCTGCTTTGGAAAAAAAAAATGAATCCAGAGTGACAACCCGGGTTTGAGCCCCAGGTCAATTACTGAGTAGCTAAGAGACCTTGGGCATGGTCATTTCACTTCTCAGAATGTGTTTACTCATCTATAAAATGGAAATGATAATATTTACTTCAGGCTCCTCACAACATTGTGGTGAAAATTAAAACAGATAGTCCATGTAGAAGTATTATAAAAACTGTAAGAGGCACTGCTGTGTAAGTGGTATTGTTATTACCAATTTCTAAGAATTGTTGAACACCTTATCCTTAGACCATATCAGCAAGCTGACACCTGACAAATGAGAACTCATTACTGTGTCATATCCCATTGTCTCTTGCTGTTTTCATCCTCAGCAGATAGGGTGGGCCTATGTTGCTCTGGAGCATACATCCTTGGTAGAGGGCATTTCTCTAAAAGTGGAAAGGATTTCTAGCCTTCTTCTCATCTCACCATTTCCACATATCCATATGCCAAACAAATGTCATTCAAAATTCCTAAAGCAAGAAAAGAGAAATATAGGAAGCAGATAGGCACATCTGTTTTAGGTTTCCTCACTTTTGTTAAGATTCTCTATAGATCCAAATGGCCTCTGCCTCAACTCCTGAAATCTCTGCATAACAATAATATTTACCATTTGTTGAGTACTTCTGTAGTTGGTCACGAGATAAGCTCTTGATGTTGAATATTTTCTTTAATCCTCACAACAAACATATGAAATAATATTACTGCTCTGGATTTAATGACTGGGAAATTGAGACTTGGAGAGGTTAAACAACTTTTCTTAGGTTGCAAAGCTAGCTAGTAAGTGGCAGGGATGGGAATAGGTCCTAGGTCTGCCTAGCTCCATAAAACATGGTCTGACCACTACACGATCAAGTTTTTCCTGAAAAAATTCTCTGCTGTTACTATTAGTTTTGTCTGAAATCTGCCCTTGAGCCAAGTTGCTATATAGCACTAAGAATTATTTTTGCCTCAATCTGTCAGATGGTTCATTTTTCCATCCAACAAATATTTATTGAATCTACTCTCTGCCAGGTACTGCACCAGGGAAGAGGTGGTCATCAACTATGAAGGAATCCAGACCTTTAATCCTGTAGAGCTTCCAAGTAAGGATAATGGGTCAACTACAACCTTCTTCCTAGGATATGTCGACGTGCACGGCATTAGGAAAATCTGCTCTTTAAATTAAAATACAAACTCATGAGGATTTTCTTTATCATTTACCAAAAATATATGCCTTAGAGATTCTTTAATTTCATTCATTCTGTCAGTGAAATGATAAATGTTTGTTAGGTGCCTATTAGGAGTCAGACACCATACTAGCCAATCTAAAAGATAAAATTGCATTTATAAAACCTTTGATAATCACAGTTATTCCAGATATACTAGGGAACACCTAATGTTAATACCTGTTAATTCTCAGTTATCTATTTTGATGGAGAAAGAAAATAATTGGGATATATATATATATATATATATATATATATATATATACATGCATACCCACACACACACATGCACGCACATCACCATAACCAAGATTTTGAGATTCTTTCCACTTTAAACTTTTATAGATACCTTTTGAGCTTAAAAAATTTCCTTATTTTGTTCTGTGGAAAAAGTATTTATAAACAGTGGAATAGGTAAAAATTAGAGCACAAAAAAGAGGTAAGGGAGAAGTGAAAATGCAGCATGGGTAATCCAGAGCTAAGCAAACTGTTGAATAATCATCATTATTTTTAATATGTTTCCCATGGTTTCCAAGCATCCAGATCAAATTGAGCTTTCCTTTTTCTGAATAGTGATACTGGCTGGGTGTGGTAGCTCAGATCTGTAATCCCAATACTTTGGGAGGCCGAGGCAGGAGGATCACTTAAGCCAAGAAATTTGAGACCAGCCTGGGCAACATAGTGAGACCCTGTCTCTACAAAAAAATTAAGAAATAATTGTATCTGTGCCTGTAGACCCAACTACATGGGAGGCTGAGGAAGAAGGATCACTTCAGCCTGGGAGAGCAAGGCTGCATGAGCCATGACGGCACCACTGCACTCCAGCCTGGGTGACAGAGCAAGACCTTGTCTCAAAAATCATGATAATAATAATGATACTCCTCTGGACCTTAATGTTTATTTTTAGATTTGTGGGGCCTTTCCTTTGGAGAATGTGAACTCCTTGAAGGAAACAGCCCTGCCATATTTGTTTATACCTCCATAGCAAACAAAACAATTCTGGGCACACAATGGGTGCTAAATATGTACTTGCTGATTAATAGATTAAGATTCTTAGAGAGGTAACAGTAATAACTGAAGGATTATAGAGACCAAAAACAAAGATATTACCTAAAAATAATTATCTTCCCATTTGTTGAAGTAGTTAAAATATAATGGTTTAAGAAGCCAGATTCTGTCATTTTCTATTTCTGCATCTTTGGACAAATTACTTAATCATTCTGTGCCTCAGTTTACCCTCACTGTAAAAATGAGGATAATAAGTGTGTCTATCTAGTAGAATTGTTGTGAGAATTAAGTAATTATAGAACAGGATTTACACCTCCAGCACATGATGAGTGTATAATACATGTTTGTCATTATTTGTGACTCATTTCTGATAATGCAAAAGTCTTTTAAAATGAGAAAGTAAGATACACTAGATTAATTTATTTCAAAGATAGCAGGAAATGTAGTCCTTACCACTACTAAGCTTCATTTAACTAATGAAATTCCATTTTGACTTCCAATTAAAGATGGCAGATTGTGCAAATGCATTCACTTTTGCTCTCTTCTAAGACTATTAAAGTGGCAGAAAACAACCTTCTAAAGAGATAGACCCCTAAGGATTTGGATAACAAGAGAAAAGACAACAACAAATAATTTCTTTGGTGAGACCCTTACATATTATGGAAACCGGGCTTATGACAATTGTGGCATTGATTGCCAGAAAAGTGGAAGAATGGAATGTGGATGGAAAAACACAACAGAGCATCTAAGAGATATGGGACAATAACAAAAGATCTAACCTACATGTAATTGGCATCCCAGAAAGAAAAGATATTAAGAAATAATATGTAAGGATTTTCCAAAATGAATTACAGATACTGAATCATAGTTCCAAGATGCTCAAAGAACACCAAGCAGAATAAATGCTCCCCCGAAAAGAACTCCCACATCATAGGCATATCATATTCAAACTGCTGAAAACCAGAGACAATGAGAACATTCTGAAGGCAGCCAATGAAAACAGACACACTGTACACACAGAAGTTAAAAACCAAAGGTAAGAAGGACAGAATATTTCTCATCGGAAACTATGCAAGCCAGAAGATAGTGGAATAATGTCTTTGATGCTGATTGACATCAAAAACCAGTAAATTCAGAATTCTTTACCCAGCAAAAATATCTTTCAAAAAGAAAGGAGAAATAAAGACTTTCCCAGACTCAAAACAAACAACAACAACAAAACCTGAGAGAATTAATTGCCAGTGTACCTATGCCATAAGAAATGTTATAGAAAGTTCTTCAGGCATAAGGAATGTAATAGAAGATAGAAACTTGAATCCAGAGAAAGAAATTAAGAGCATTGGAAATGGAATGACTAAAGGTAAACATAAAAGTCATGTTTTATTACTTGTAATTGCTCTAAAAAATAACTATCTAAAGCAAAATTAGAAGTATTGTGCATGTATAGCATTTGTAAGAGTAAATACAGGGCAACAATAGAACAAGGGTGAGGAGCTGGAAGTGGGAATATATTACCTTTATAGTAGACATGAAACAGAAGATAATTATTTGAAAGTAGACTTTGATCAAACAAGATGTGTATGGTAAAGTCTAAGGCAACTACTAAAATTTTTAAAAACAGTTACACATGTTAATTCAATAGTGAAGATAACATTAGATAGTAAAAAATGCTTAATTAATCAAAAAGGGGGCCAAAAGAAAGCACAAATGGAACAAATCAAAAACAGCTGTTTAGATTATTGACTTTAACTCAATCATATCAATAATCATATTAAATGCAAACCACACTAATAAAAAGATAGAAATTGCTAGACAATATAAAAAGCAAGACTCAACTATATACTGTCTACAAAAATACCATTTTAAACATAAAAACATAGATAGGTTAAAAGTAAAAGGATGGAAATAGATGTACCATAGAGACACTAATCAAAAGAAAGCTGAGTAGCTTCATTAATGTCAAAGTAGGCTTCAGACAAGAAATATTACCAGTGATAAAGAGGGTTATTACATAATGATAAAGGATTCAATTCTCCAAGAAGACAAAGCAATGAATGATTTTATGCCTATAAATTCAGCAGCTTAGAGCAAATGGACAAATTCCTTGAAAAGCATATCTTACCAAAATTAGCAAGAAGAAAAAGAAAAATTCACATAGCCCTGTATCTTTTTTTCAAAATTGAATTCATAATGAAAAATCTTTCAACAAAGAAAATCCCAAGCCCAGATGGCTTTACTCGTAAATTCTATCAAAGCCTTAAGGAAAAAACTAACACCAGTCTTACACAAACTCTTCAAGAAAATAGAAGAAAACACTTTCCAAGTTGTTTTATGAGGCCAGCATAAACACTGATGCCAAAACTTGACAAGGACATTACAAGAAAAGAAAATTACAGGCCAATATCCTGCATGAGTAAAGACGCAAAGTCCTCAATAAAATATTAGAAAACCAAATTCGGCATTGTGTGAATAGGATAACTGTTATTAATAACTTATGCCAGGATTGCAAGTTTGGTTTCCCATTAGAAAATCAATGTTATAATTCATCACATTAACAGAATCAAACAGAAAAAAGCATAACATCTCAATTGATGCAAAAATATTTTTGAAAACATTGTATACATTTTCATGATTTTTTTTTTTTTTGAGACAGAGTCTGGCTCTTGTGGCCCAGGCTGGGGTGCAGTGGCCCCATCTCAGTTCACTGCAACCTCCGCCTCCCGGGTTCAAGTGATGCTCCTTCCTCAGCCTCCCAAGTAGCTGGGATTACAGGAGTGCACCACCACGCCTGGCTAATTTTTGTATTTTTGGTAGAGACGAGGTTTCACCATGTTGGCCAGGCTGGTCTCAAACTCCTGACCTCAGGTGATCCACCCGGCTCAGTTTCCCAAAGTGCTGGGATTACAGGCGTGAGCCACTGCACTGCACCCAGCCACATTCATGATTTTTAAAAACCTCTCAAAAAAACTAGGAAAAGAAAGAACTTTCATCAGTGTAATAAATGGCATATATAAAAACCCAACAGCAAATGTTATACTAAATAGAGAAATATTTAATGCTTTCTTTCAGAGTTCAGAAACAAGATGTCCACTCTCCCTACTTCTATGCAACCATTATCCTGAAAGTTCTAATACAACAACGTAAGAAAAAAATAAAGGCATACAAATTTAAAAAAAAAGAAGCAAAACTATCTTTTATGCAGATGACACGATTTCATATATAAAACATCCTAAGGAACCATCATCTGGTCTAGTAGAACCAAAAATAAATTTAACAAAGTCACGGCAGCCAAGGTAAATATATAAAACTCAATTATACTTTAATTTTGGGCTGGGCACGGTGGCTCACGCCCGTAATCCCAGCACTTTGGGAGGTTGAGGCGGGCAGATCGCTTGAGGTCAGGAGTTTGAAACCAGCCTGGCCAACATGGCAAAACCCCGTCTCTACTAAAAATACAAAAAAAATTAGTCAGGCATGGTGGCAGGCACCTGTAAATCTCAGCTACTCAGGAGGCTGAGACATGAGAATTGCTTGAACAGGGGGCGGCGGGGAGCGGGAAGGGAAGGGGGGTGGCAGGTGGAGGTTGCAGTGAGCCGAGATTGCGCCACTGCACTCCTGCCTGGGCGATAAAGAGCGACTCCTTCTCAAAATAAATAAATTAATTAAATAAATAATTAATTCATTATATTTCAATTTTGACAAACAAAACATTGGAAAATAAAATTAAATAGCAATTCCATTTATAACGGCAGCAAAATATAAACTACTGAAAATTTAACAAAAATAAGTAAGACATTCTGAAAATGATTTCATATTGCCGAAAAAGGTTAAATAAAAAATTAAACCATATAACATGCTTATGGATTGAGAGAATTAATATTGATCTATAGCTTCAGTGCAATCCCAATCCAAATTCCAGGAGGCTTTTTAGTAGAAATTAATGAGCTGAAGTTAAAATGTATTATGAAAATTCAAAAGATGAAGATTAGCAACAGAACCTTTAAAAGAAAAAATATAGAAGACATATCCTTCCTGCTTTCAAGACTTACTATAAAGCAACAATTATTTAGACGCTGTTATTTGCATCAGATAGACAGACAAGTCAATGAAACAGAATTGAGAGTCCTGAAATAGGTTCACGTGTGTATAGTCAATTGATTTTCAACAAAGGTGTTTGTGCATGCTCACACAGGCACACACATCAATGTAGAAAGAAAAGTCTTTGCAACAAATGATTCTAGAACAACTGGATATCCATATTAAAGACAAAAACAAAACAGAAGAACTTTGACTGCTACCTCATACCATATACAAAAATTAGCTTAAGACAGGAGGCCTTAATGTGAAATCTGAAACTATTAAGCTTCAATGTTTTCTAAAACGAGATACAGGAAAATATCTGCATGCTGTTATGCTCAGCTAAAATTTCTACAGAACATAAAAAATACTAATGATAGAAGACAAAAATCACAAATTGGACATAATCAAAATGTAACACTTCTGCTCATTAAACAATACCATGAAGAAAATGAAAAGACAAGACACAGACTGGGAGAAATATTTGCAAAATAATTTTATTTTATTTTATTTTTTGTAGAGACAGGGTCTTACTGTGTTGCCTAAGCTGGTCTCCAACTCATGCCTCAAGAAGTCCTTCCACCTCAATCTCCCAAAGTGCTGAGATTACAGGCATGAGCCATAGCACCTAGCCTGAAAAATTTCTTTCTTTTCTTTTTTTCTTTCTTTTTTTTTTTTGAGACGGAGTTTTGCTCTCGTCACCCAGGCTGGAGTGCAATGGCGCGATCTGCAACCTCCGCCTCCTGGATTCAAGCAATTCTCCTGCCTCAGCCTCCCAACTGGCTGGGATTACAGGTGCATGCCACCACGCCTGGCTAATTTTTGTATTTTTACTAGAGACAGGGTTTCAGCATGTTGGCCAGGCTGGTCTTGAACTCCTGACCTCAGGTGATCCACCTGCTTTGGCATCTCAAAGTGCTGGGCAAAATCTATTTCTGACAACAGATTTGATATCTGAAATATGCAAGAATGCCTACAAATCAATAATAAAAAGAAAACCTAAGTGCCAAAAACTGGAAACAATCGAAGTGACCACCAACAGGTGAATTTATACACAAACAGTAGTATACTCGTGCAGTGGAATACGCTTGACAGTTTAAAGGAACACGTTTTCTCAGGTATCTCAAAGACATCATTTTAAGCAAAAGAAGCCAGACAGAAAAGAGTCCTCATTGTTATGATTCCATTTATAGAAAGTTCTAGAGTAGGTAAATCTAACCTGTGATGATAGACATGAGAAAAATTGGCCCCATGCAGTGGCTCACACCTGTAATCCCAGCACTTCGGGAGGCTGAGGCAGACGGATCACTTGATGTCAGGAGTTTGAGACCATCCTGGCCAACATGGTGAAACCCTGTCTTTACTAAAAATACAAAAATTAGCCGGGTGTGGTGGTGCGTGCCTGTAATCCCAGCTACTTAGGAGGCTGCGGCAGGAGAATCACTTGAACCGGGCAAGTGGAGGTTACAGTGAGCCGAGATTGTGCCACTGCATTCCAGTCTGGGCAACAAGAGCTAAAACTGTCAAAAAAAAAAAAAAAAAAAAAAAGAGAGAGAGAGAGAGATAGGAAAGGATTGTCTCCTGGAGGCTGAAAATGTGTTAAGATGGAACTTTTTGGGGTGATGGGAAAGTTCTGTATCTTGATTGGTGTGCAGTTATATGGGTGTATTCATGTATTCATACCCGTTAAACTGCACATTTAAAATTGATGCATTTCATTGTATGTAAATTATACCTTGATTTTTTTAAAAAGGGGTAAACAAAAATCACTTTAACGCTAAGTGAAAGAAGCAGGTTCCAGCAATATGATTTCATTTATGTAACATTCAAAAACAGGCAAAGTGAATCAGTATCTTTCTCACTGTGAAATTATTTTCTAAATAATCCACCACAAGAGCTGAAAGTGGTTGCCTTTAAGGAGGAGAAACTGGGGAGACAGCTAGTTTCCTTCATAAAATTAGCATTAGTTGAGACTTAAAAATCTGTTGCATATATAACTTCGGCAAAAAGTTACATATGCAAGCTAAAAAAGAAACCCATACCATTTGCAGGTTGGTGCTATAAAGTTCAAAAGAGGATTGTTGACATTCATTTCAAATAGAAAATTATTTATGATGGGCAAATCTGACAGAAAGTCCAGGACACTGGGTCCACTTGCTGTTGGTTGTGTAATAGAGGCCACCTAGTCACCGGTCATGCATAAAAGACAATGGGAAAAACACTGGAAAAGTGTACATTAAATTAGAGTGAGGGAGGAAAATTGTGACAGAAACCCTATCTGTACTCCCTAATTACAAAGTCTCGCCTTCACCAACTGACACAAATGTGAAGTCAAATTAAGTATCGTCTAATTAACTAGCATCCACACAACTTCAAGACCCGCGACTAGGTATTATTCGGCCGAATAAATGAAATGCAAGGACTTGCAGATTCTCCGTCAACCCAGATCTGCCATCTCAGCCGACCGCTACAAGGTTAGGCCATTTTGTTTTCACACATCTCTCCTTTCAGGGCTCTCCTTGTAATATTTACAGAAAAAGGCAATGCTGGTAAACAGTTTCACACAATGAGGTGTGAGAGTTGATAGGGTCTATTCAAGCTCTGAACTCCCCTGATGAGCTGCCAAAAGTTGTTATGAACGGCCCAGCTGACAGCGTGATGACTGATAAAAGAAAAACAAACAGCTCGGGTAATTCATGAAAACACACTGCACCAAGACAACTCCGAGTGGCGAGTGACAGTTAAGATAATGGAATTTTGGAAGCTTTTCTTAAGCGGTCCTCTCTATACAATTATTCTGTTAATAGACTCTGCCTTAATGTAGCTGGATCCTCAAAACTTCTTTCCATAGAAAAATATTTATTATGATCTCTGGCAGAGAGGTTCTGGCCTTGGACTTTTATACATGGCCAGTTTCACATACAATTTCCTCTTCCCAGAGCAGGCTGAAATTTAGTGTAGGGCTGTGTCTGCCATTTAAAGAAATAAAATATCCGATTTCCACTTCTAATACTAGGAACATTTTGAAGTGTTCTTCCCTCATTTCTTTCATTTACGAACCATTTGCTGCAAACCTTTGATTAAAAAATAAATATTGGTTTACACACTCAACTGCTAATATTTTAAAGGAGAACAATTTAAATGTGGTGGAAGTCAATTTCCAATTCACATAGCTTATTTTGAGTTCATTTCCTTAAATCAGGCGTGACGAAGCAAGAAAATATCAATTTGTCAATGTTTTGCCTTTGTACCCAATGATTTTTCATGAAGTACATTGTGGTTTCTGTAGCAATCGCCTATTTCTTAATTAATGTTTTAGAAAGCAGAAATATAGACATATCTAAAGCATGTGTATATGCACACATAAATAGTATGTGATCCTGTGCCCAGAGACAGAGAAGGAAGAAAAGAGAGACGAAAAGGAAGAGGGGAGTGGGTGGCTGTGTAGTTTAGGACCTGGCTACCGAAGGGTCAAGCAGCATATTAGAAATGAAGAATTTCTGCACTACCCTAGCCCCCGACCAAATCAGAATTTGCATTTTAACAAAGATCCCCAGACGATTCATATGCACCTCAAGGTTTTGAGAAGCTCTGTAATTTTGATGACTGATCTCCTTAATAGTTTAAGTTTTATAGCTGTAGAGGCTTACAAATATGATGATCTATGTTTTACAAAAAGTTTAAAACTCTAACATAAGTTATTTAAAGCTACTCAAAGTAATTTCATAAGTGTTCTTTCAAATTTATTTTTCTTCTCCTCCTTCCCGGGAATAAATCTGGAGTGTCCTTGAGCTCTCCAAGCCTTCTAGAGACTTCGTCCCTTCCGCAGTCACTTTCCTTTTACTTCAAACATTCATAGGCCTGTCTGGCACATTTTTAGGTACTAGGCATGGTGCTAGAGCCTGGATTTTGTGAACCATAGGACTTTTATAACAATAATAAAAACATTTAAAAAAATTATAACTTGATTGTAGTATCAACTATTTAACTGCTGCAATACAGAGTATCTCACAAGAGAGATGAGAAAATCATTGGAAAGACCCAAACAACAGAGGTGGCCTCCGCCTACCCATCAAGGACAGCAAAAATCTACCATTGGACACTCATTCCTTTAAGTTTTGTGGTTGTTAATATTTATACAGTCATCTTTAAAACTTGATGGGCTCTTGAGATCTGGTCTAACTCTCAACAAATTTGCTGAGTGTTCATAAATTTAAATACATACCAATTAAAGAACTTAACATGGCCCAAAATACTGTAAACAAAGATAAAAGACAAAGGTTAAATCAGGGAAAATATATGCAACTATATTTACTATTAATATAAGGACTCATTCCTTTTTATTGTTTTGAGACAGAGTCTCACTCTGTCGCCCAGGCTGGAGTGCAGTAGTGTGATCTCGACTCACTGTAACCTCCACCTCTTGGGTTCAAGCAGTTCTCCTGCCTCAGTCTCCCAAGTAGCTGAGATTACAGGCACACACCACCATACCCAGCTAATTTTTTGTATTTTTGGTAGAGACGGGGTTTCACCATGTTGGCCAGGCTGGTCTCAAACTCCTAACCTTAAGCAATCTGCCCGCCTCGGCTTGCCAAAGTGCTGGGATTACAGGTGTAAGCCATGAGCCCGTTAGGGACTCATTCCCTTAATTGACAAAGAATTTATATAATTTAGTTGGAAAAAGACACATCCAGTGGAAAAATGAGCAGTGGACATAAATAGGCAATTCATCCACAAAAGTGAGTAAATGCATGAAATGGTGCTCAACCTCATTCATAATCAAAGACATACAAATCAAAGCAATGATGAGAGAATGATTCTTACCTATTATGTTGGCAGAAATTAGAATATTTGATAATACAAGTCGTGTGCAGAAATAGGCACTCTCATCTACTGTGGGTAAGAATATGTATTAGTTCAACTATGTTAAGGGGCAATTTGGTAATATTGATCAACATTGTGAATGCACGTACCCTTTAACCCAGCAATTCCATGCTAGGAATTTAGTCTAGGAAAATACTTGCAAAAGTACATTAAACAAGATGGATAAGCAACCTCAAGGAGCATCATGCCAGGAGCTGAGCACCTCCCCCACCCTGCCCCATGGCAGTACCACCCAACAAGGAAAGACTCCCTGAGCCACACAGAGAATCAGATAGACTGGCATGAGCTTGCTACAGAATTATCTCTGAGATGTACCAATTATTCATATATACAGAGAAAAAAAGCAAGGCTCAGAGTGGTATGTACAACTTGATCCCTTCAGATTAAATAAAAATACATATATATTGGTAGCAATTCATATTTTTCCCCTGGAAATACAAGGACCAACTAACAGTGCTTGCCTTTGGGGAAAGAGAGCAGTTAGTGGCAAAGGTGATGAGTGGAAGAAAGCCTTCTAATGTTAATTATATGTTTATCTCTAT